>NC_000011.10:9756969-10060000 GCF_000001405.40 Homo sapiens | reverse complement strand
TTGGGGTTGATTTGTTCTTGCTTCTCTAATTCTTTTGCTTTGTGAAGTTAGGTTGTTAATTTGAGATATTCCTAACTTTTTGATGTGGACATTTAGTGCTATGTATTCTTCTCTTAACACTGCTTTAGCTGTGTCCCAGAGATTCTGGTATGTTGTATTATTGTTGTCATTAATTTTAAAGAACTTCTTTATTTCTGCCTCAATTTCATTATTTACCCCAAAATCACTCAGGAGCATGTTGTTTATTTTCCAAATAATTGTATGGTTTTGAGCAATTTTCATTGTGTTGACTTCTATTTTTATTGCACTGTGGTCCAAGAGTGTGTTTGGTATGATGTCGGTTCTTTTACATTTGTTGAGGATTGTTTTATGTCCAATTATGTGGTCAATTTTAGAGTATGTGCCATATGGTGATGAGAAGAATGTATATTCTGTTGTTTTTGGGTGGAAACTTCTGTAAAGGTCTATGAGATCCATTTGGTCCAATGCTGAGTTTAGGTCCTGAATATTTTGGTTAATTTTCTTGTTTAATTTAGGATAGTTAGGTCTTCTTGTTGAATTGAACCCTTTATCATTATGTATTGCTATTTCTTGTCTTTTTTTTATCTTTGTTGGTTTGAAACTTTTTCTATCTCAAATTAGTATTGCAACCCCTGCTTTTTTATTGGCTTGGTAGATCTTTCTCTATGCTTTTATTTTGAGCCTATGAATGTCATTACACATGAGATGGGTCTCTTGAAGACAACATATCATTGAGTCTTGTTTTTATCCAGCTTTATCCAGCTTGCTACTTTGTGCCTTTTAAGTGGGTCATTTAGCCTGTTTATATTTGAGGTTAATATTGTTATGTGTGGATTTGATCCTGTCATTGTACTGTTAGCTGGTTATTATGTTGTCATGTTTGTGTGGTTGCTTTACAGTGACACTGGTCTGTGTGTTTAAGTGTGTTTTTGTATTAGCTGGTAGAAGTCTTTCCTTTCTATATTTAATGTTCCTTTCAAGATCTCTTGTAAGGCAGGTCTGATGGTAATGAAGTCCCTCAGTATTTGCTTATCTGAAAAGGATCGTATTTCTCCATCATATAGGAAGCTTAGTTTGGCTGGATATGAAATTCTTGGTTGAAGGTTTTTTTCTTTATTAATGTTGAATATAGGCCCCCAATCTCTTCTGGCTTGTAGGATTTCAACTGAATGGTCTACTGTCAGCCTGATGGAGTTCCCTTTGTAGGTGACCTGCCCTTTCTCTCTAGTTGCCTTTCACATTCTTTCTTTCATTTTGAAAATCTGATGATTATGTGTCTTGGGGATGATCTTCTTGTGTAGAATGTTGCAGGAGTTCTCTGTATTTCCTTAATTTGACTGATTGGCCTCTCTAACAAGGTTGGGGAAGTTTTCATGGACAACATCCTGAAATATATGTTCCACGTTGTTTGCTTTCTCCCCCTCCATTTCAGAGATGCCAGTGATTCATAGATTTCTGTTTACATAATCTCATACTTCTTGAAAGTTTTGTTCATTCCTTTTTATTCTTTTTTCCTTATTTTTGTCTGACCATCTTTTTTGAGAGAACCAGTCTTCAAGTTCTGAGATTCTTTCCTCAGTTTGATTTATTCTACTCTTAATACTTGTGATTGCATTGTCAAATTCTTATATTGTGTTTTTCAGCTCTATCAGACCTGTTAGGTTCTTTTTCATACTAGCTATTTTGTCCTTTGGCTCCCATATCACTTTATTGTGATTCTTATTTTCCTTGGATTGGGTTTTGCCATCCTCCTGAATCTTACTGATCTTTGTTCCTATCCATATTCTGAATTCTATTCGTCAATCCATCCAGTTTGGCCTAGTTAAGAACTCTTGTTGGAGAACTGGTGCAGTCATTTGGAGGACATATGACAGACTCTCTGGACCATTGGAGTTAACAGAGTTCTCGCACTGTTCTTTCTCATCTCTGTGTGTGGGTGTTTCTTTAATTGCAGTGTAGATTGAGTACACTCAATAGACTTCTTTTCTGGATGTTTTCATCAGGCCAGGACTTTGTGTAGGGTCTTTATTTGAAGCTGACTTCTTGTCTCTGGTTTTAGAGGGGGATATGTTAGTGAGGTATTTTTGGTGTTAAGGCTTTGGGGTGTGATCCAGCAGGTGACACTTAGGCTTATTGGTCAGTTGGTTGATTCTTGCTTGGTTGTGTGGCTTCCCTATGTTTCCTCACAGTTGTAGCCATGTTCCCTCTCAGTGCTTTGAAAGTATGGGCTCCTCTCCCACTTGAGTACTGGCTGTAGTTCATGACTTGGTACTCCTGGGCTGCCCACTGCAACTTTGGGGCAATCTCTGTGTTTATGTTCCTTCCTCAGCTTAGAGGCAGCAGAGGAAGAAATCTTAGTAGTGGTTGTGGCCAAGGGTCATTTGCTTGACTCCTGGAGGCTCCACCCCAGAGAGATGCAGGTCAGCAATCACTCAGTGCAATCATCCCAGGATAGAGAGTTTGCGCTGTGGGCCCAAGCCAGGGGTTCCCTGTCTGATGACAAGATATGGGGGGTTTGTGGGACCCATGGGAGAAAGACTGGCCTCCTCTCCTTGGGTCAGCTGCCACTTGTTGGAGGTGTGGATAAGGTACTTAGGGTCTTTGCTCCTTTGTTAGTCCAAGGGTGACAAGGGCAGTTACATTGCAGAGGTAGTGGCAGAGAGGCTGTGTCCAGGGTGTTGCTGAGTTGGTACTGGCTTGATAGTTCTGGCAGGGGGTGGCTGGAGGCTCAGGCCTGGAGGACCTGCACAGTGAGGAGATATGGGAACAGGCACCCATGTAACAGTCTGGCCACTTTTCCATAGGGCTGCTACAGTATGCTTGGGGCCCGCTGCAGTCTCTAGTCACCTCAGATTTTCCAGAACCTAGAAGTGTCACCAGTGAAGGCTGTGAAACAGCAAAGATGGGAGCGTGTTTCTCCCTCTGGGAGCTTTGTCCCAGGGAGGTACAGACCTGTTGCTGGCCCAAAGGCACCTGTAGGAAGTTGCTGGAGACCCTTTTTGGGAGGTCCCACCCAGTGAGGAGGAACGGGATTGGAACTGCTTAAAAAAACAGTCTGGCCACATTTTAATAGAGCAGTTGTGCTGTGCTGGGGTCCATTTCAGCCCCCAGTTGCCTCAGACACTCCAAAGCCCAAAGACTAGAACGGTTAAGTCACCCAAACAGCAAAGATGGTGGCCAGCCCCTCCCTCTGGAGCACCATCCCAGGGGAAATTCAGTTCTCTGTTGGCTGGAAACCTCAGGCGAGGGTGGCTGGAGGCCCTGGTTGGGAGGTCCTGCTCAGTGATGAGGAACAGGATTACCCACTCATGTAAAGCAGCAGTGTGGCCACTTTTTGTTAGAACTGCTTCTTCAGCTAATAAACATCTTCAGCAAAGTTGCAGGATACAAAATCAATATACGAAAATCACTAGGATTCCTATACACCAACAACAACCAAACTGAGAGCCAAATCAGAAAGGCAACCCCATTCACAACTGTGACACACAAAAATAATTACCTAGGAATACAGCTAACCAGGAAGGTGAAAGATCTCTACAATGAGAATTACAAATCACTGCTCAAAGAAATCAGAGAAGACACAAATGAATGGAAAGACATCCCATGCTCATATATAGGAAGAATCAGTATCATTAAAATGGCTACACTGCCCAAAGCAATGTACAGATTCAATGCTATTCCTAACAAACTACCAACGACATTCTTCACAGGACTAGAAAAAATTATTTTAAAATTTATATGGAACCAAAAAGGAACTTGAATAGCCAAGGCAAACCTCAGCAAAAAGAGCAAAGCTGGAAAAATCATGTTACCTGACTTCAAACTATAGTGCAAGGCTACAGTGACCAAAACAGCATGGCATTGGTACAAAAACTTTTCTTCTGTGGTCTTCATCTTGGAATTATTTTAAACTTATAATTAGTTTGCAGGGTATTTTTTCTGTTTTGTTTTTTCAAAACTTGAATGTTCAAAACTATTCCAAGTGTTTATTTTTCTCTTTAATTTTCTTCTTGAAATTTTTATATTTACTTCATTTTAAATTTTTTTATTTCAATAACTTTAGTGGGGTATAAGTGGTTTTTGGTTACATGGAAAGATTATATCATGGTAAAGTCTGGGATTTTAGTATACCCATTACCAAGATAGTGTACTATGTACCCAATAGGTAGTTTTTCATTTCTTACCCCATCTACCTTCCCCATTTCCCCACTTCTGGGACTCTATTGTCCGTTATACCACTGTATGCCCTTGCATAATCATAGCTTAGCTCTTACTTAAAAGTAAAAAATGTGGTATTTGGTTTTCCATTCCTGAGTTGTTTTTCTTAGGTAATAACCCTCCAGTTTAATCCAAGTTGCTGCAAAAAACATTATTTTGTTCTTTTTTATGAGTTAGTAGTATTCCATGGTGTGTGTGTGTGTGTGTGTGTGTGTGTGTGTGTGTGTGTGTGTGTGTATCATTTTCTTTATTTACTCATCTGTTGGTGGGCACTTAAGTTGATTCTTTATCTTTGCAATTGTGAATTGTGCTGTGATAAACATAATTCATGCAGGTGTCTTTTTCATATACTGAATTCTTTTCCTTTTGGTAAGACACCCAGTAGTGGGATTGCTGGATCAAATGGTAGATCTACTTTTAGTTCTTAGAGAAATTTCTTTACTGTTTACTCTAGAGGCAATTCTAATTTACATTCCCAGCAGCAGCATATAAGTGTTCCCTTTTTACCACATCCATGCCAACATCTTTTGTTTTTTTGACTTTTTAATAATAGCCATTCTGACCGGGCTTGGTGGCTCACACCTGTAATCTCAGCACTTGGGGAGGCTGAGGTGGGTGGATCACCTGAGGTCAGGAGTTCCAGACCAGCCTGGCCAGCATGGTAAAACCCCGTCTTTACTAAAAATACGAAAATTAACCAGGCATGGTGGTGCACGCCTATAGTTCCAGGAGACTGAGGCAAGATAATTGCTTGAACCTGGGAGGTGGAGGTTGCAGTGAGCCGAGATCTTGCCACCGCACTCCAGCTTGGGTGACAGGGCAAGACTGTCTCAAAACAAACAACAAACAAAAAAACAAAAAAAAAACATGCAAACAAATAAAAATAATGGGCATTCTCATGGTGGTATCTCGTTGTGGTTTTAGTTTGCATTTTCCTAATGATTAGTGATGTTGAGCATTTTTTCATGTTTCCTGGCCGTTTGTATATCTTCTTTTAAGAAATATCTGTTCATGTCATTTGTCCACTTTTTAATACGATTATTTGTTTTCTTCTTGCTGATTTAAGTTTCTTATAGATTTTGGATATTAGTCCTTGTCAGATCCATAGTTTAACAATATTTTCCTCCCATTCTATAAGTTGTCTGTTCACTCCGTTGATTATTTCTTTTGTTTTGCAGAAGCTTTTTTAGTTCAATTAGGTCTGCTTCATTTATTTTTGTTTTTGTTGCATTTACTTTCGGGGCCTTAGTCATGAAATTTTTAAATGTAAAGCCTTAATCTGTTCATGAGACTGATATACCAAAATATTCAAAACTTAGAAGTTAGGTTAGCTTATCCTTTGTCTTTGAGAACATATTAAGATTACAAATAGGATCTTTTTTCTAATTGCTTATTGCTGATGTCAAAGAAAACTTTTGATTTGTGTATGTTTGTATATCTGCCTACCTAAGTAAACTCTTACTAGTTGAAACAGTGTTTAGTCAGTTTGTATGTATTCTCTAGGCAGACAATCATATTATCTTACACGTAATGAAAGTTTTATTGTGGTGAGGACAATGCAAATGTTGTATAGTAGTAATAAAATATCTGGATGTAAATTTTTACCAAAAGCAATATAGGTGACCCATTTCAGTTAAGTTTCCATTTTAAGCAAATAATTTTGGATAGTCCCTTTTAAGTATATACTTTATCAAAAGCTGCTTATTAAAATTGGGCCTATATGTGACATGCATTATTCTGTAAAAACAAAATGTTTGAGATGTCACAAACTCTTAAATTGACTTCTCTTCCAAAGTCTTCTGCCCACTATATTTTCTCTGAACTTTTTTTTTTTTTGGTGGAAGAACAGAATCTCACTCTGTCACCCAGGCTCAAGTGCAGTGTCATGATCACAGCTCTCTGCACCCTCAACCTCCCAGGCTCAAGCAATCCTCCTACCCCAGCCTTCTGAGTAGTTGGTACTACAGGTGCATGCCACTACTCTTGGTTAATTTTTTTTTTTTTTTCCGAGACAAGGTCTCACTCTTCACCAAGGCTGAAGTGTGGTGGTGCGATCTCAGCTCATTGCAGCCTCTTATGCCTAGGCTCAAGTGGTCCTCTGGCCTCAGCCTCCCAAATTGCTGGGATTACAGGCATGAGCCACCAGGCTGGGTCTTTTTTCAAACTTTTGAAGAATATCTATATAATGTTCAGAGCACACATCTGACACTGCCCTGGCCTGGCTTGGCACAGACTTCAGTCTCCTAAAGCTTCTGTTACTTTATTCACAAATCAGTTCTTCTTTGGTCAGAATATAGTTTATAATAACAGTTCTTTGTTATCACTTCTTTTCTGTCCTCTTTAGAAATGTATCAGGAAAAACAAAACAATTTTGGGGTTGCTTAACCTTTAAAAAGGAATTCAAGGATAATTAAACATTTTTGTGCTCAACTTGTGCATGCTCTAGAAAACCAGTTCTATTTCCCTGAGAAAATAAAAAGACATATCTGGAAATATTTATATAGTACTATGCTTATTTCAGCATTAATTATAAAAAATTATAAACATCTTAACCAACAATAGGGAATTGGTTATGATATTTTATCTATATCTACATGATGGTATAATATTCAGTTATTAAAAATAATTATGTTAAAAATATATAAATACATGGGAAAATACATGTTATAGGAAGGGGAGAAAAACAGGATTCATAACTATATATACAATATGCCCTCCTTTGGATAAATACACACACACACATACATACATACATGCATACCTTCAGAGATAAATGGTTGCTAGGAAATGTTACATGTTACAAAATTTATTTCACTTTCATTTTATTTCTTAAGTTTTTCTGCCATGTATTTATATTAGCATAAAACAATATGCATAAGGTGATTTATGAAGGTAATTTAGAAGTGAAAGAACACGGTTTATAGAAATGCAGAGACTTGGATTCTAGTCCTGCCAGTGCCACAAACTCTTTATGACCTTAATGTCTAACAGTCTTGGTTTCATTGTTTGTAGAATGAGTCTTGTGAGATATGGTTATATATAAAATATCTTACAAACCTGAGAGATTATTATATTAGCACGTACCTTTTATTTGCAGATGGATGGCCTATTTGCAAGTTATCTACTTCATACATTTGGGCAATTAAACAAACAAGCAAGTAAACAAAGCGGGTGTTTGTAATGCATTAACATATAGAGTTTAGCAATGTCTAACAATTCCAGCCTTGCAAACTTGAAGTATAATTTGCTTATAGGTTATACTAAGTTCTTAAAGAAAACTAGAGATAAACAAAGACAGAAGAACATCCTGAAAAGGATTCCCACATTGCCTGTTCCCAGATACGTTGTTAACATTTTTATGGGCATGGTATGTGTGAAATGGTGAAGTCAAGGTAGAAGGGAGTTGTCAAAAACAAGTCGTTGCTCATACACTCATGCAGGTATCAAAACGGTATTGTGAGATTATGTGGTATGTTTTGCCATTACAAATATATGTGTTTTCTCAGTGACTTGAAAAAAGGAGGGCACAGTGTTAGGTCAGTCTGTTATGACAGTCGATTCTAAACATTTTGGGTTTTGCACCTGTGATAGCTTTTTTTTTTTCCTGTTTGCCTATAAAGACACTGGGGAGAGAAAAATCCTGATTTTTATCCTGTTTGTATAATGCTTATCATCCTGCTTACTATCTTTTAGTGACTACTCTCCAGCTGTCTAAACATTTTCCTCACATTCCTGTCAGAAGTGTGACTTAAACCCAGGTTCAAGAATTGTAATGTCCACATCCTCATTGTTTATTTCTCTAACACATTTTTAGTTAAGAATGGAAAAGACTAAACCAGCTAGCATTGTTATATTTGAAATCCAAATTCTATGAGGAGTACTTCTCATTAAATTGTGAGTTTGTATTCTGATACTCCCAAATCTATTATTGCTTAATCTTATGATACAGTGAATTTGAAAAAGACTCATTTAACTGCAGGTTAGGGTCATTTCTTTTCATCCTTTGAGAAAGAATTTTTGTAAACTGTGTAACATAGACTATGTCTATGTTACTGTATTTTATTTGAGAATATAGAATTCAAAATTTCCTATAAACTATGATTCTAATGGTATTTTTAAATGCACAATATATTTAATGTCATTTACGTGTGAAATAGAGGATCTCATACGTAACCAGTGTCTAGTTAACTATCTTAACAACCTCTTTGTGAAAAATTTAGTAAAAAAAATCTGACCAGGCCAACCATTAATTACTATACTATTTGAGCTGTGGTCACATTAAGCTGAGTTTTGAAGAAGTCTATTGGATTTGAAAATTGATCCTTGGAATTTCCCAAAAGTTTTAAGGGTAATACTTTTTTAATCACAGAATTATTCTTATAGTGTAAACTAACATATTTATGAGGCTATTTAAGTAACTAAGGTGGTCTTACTATCTAAACTCTCACATTCTTTTTCTCGATGTTATATGTTTATTATTTTCTATTAGGAGAAGGAATTTTCTTACAGGCTTTTTAAAAAGAGACACATTTAATTTAAATGTTATACATTAAAACATGGCTCAATAGCTAAACATTTATGGATGCAGATGAAGGTCTTGGGAAATATTGAAACCTATAATATTTCACCTTCAAGAGATCATTCAATTTAATCACAGTGCTATGGACATTTTTGTTATTCTGGTATATTTCTCTTATATTGTCTATATGTGCAAAGCATTTGAGAAAAATGGGCACATTAATAGTTATTTTTTCTAGTTTCAGGCAGCAAAATATCTGACTGCTCATTTAATAGATCTGCTGTAGTTTCCCCCTTACCCATGGTTTTGCTTTCTGTGGTTTTATTTACCCATGGTCAACTGAGGTCCAAAAATATTAAATGGAAAATTCCAGAAACAATTCATTGGTTTTAAATTATGCACCATCTGAGTAGTATGATGAAATCTCACACCATCCCACCTGGGATATGCATCATCCCTTTGTCCAGCTTATCCACACTGTATACACTATGCACCCATTAGTCACTTAGTAGCCATCTTATCTGATTTACCATCAGAAGGTCAATAGTAGCCTATAGCTATGTCACAATGTTTATGTCATTCACCTTTCATCTCATCACAGAGGCATTAAATCATCTCACATTATCATAAGAAGGGCAAGTATAATACAATAATACATTTTGAGAGAGACCCCATTCATATAACTTTTATTATAGTCTAATATCATAATTGTTATATTTTATTATTAGTTATTGTTCATCTCTTACTATGTATAACTTATAAACTAAACATCATTGTTATGTATGTATAGGAAAAAACATAGTACATATAGGGTTCCATATACATACATACATAGTACATACAGGGTTCGGTATTATCCACAGTTTTAGGTAACCACTGTGGGATCTTGAACATATCCTCCATGGATAAGAGGGGACTTATATGCCTATATGTATATGGTTATAAAAAGTTGCATTGTTATTTCTGTTAGGTAACTTCAATTTGAGAAGTCAAATATATTTGGTAGAATTAGAACTAAAATGAAGGGATTTTGTTTGTCCTTATTGAAAACCTGTAGTTTCTTTAAAGATGTGAAAATATGCAGTCATCATTCTCTAGTGTATGTTTTTTAGTACCATTTACCAAGCCTAGTGATTAGCTAATGATATGAATGACAGACTTCTATGAGAATGGGATTATTTGCTGTTAATTCACAGAACTGATTCACTTTTTATCAGAGGGGCAGTTTGTGGTGGTGGTAGAACTGATGATGCAGGCTGTATCGTTACATTATGTTATAACCTAAGCTCACATACTTCCTTCCTGATTCTGAGGCTCATTTTAGAAAATGATGTACCTTATTCACGAAAGAAGTTTGTTGAGAGAAAGTAAAAGGATTTTGAAAGATATTTTTGGCTTTTATTGTAGCCTGATAAAACTTTCCAGTTCTACCAAGGATTATACCGTTCTGCTACCCAAGTAGTTTAAGCCAAGGATAGTTACATGTTAACACCCATTCTCATTAAAATAGCAGTTCCCATACTTTTAGTCTCAGTACCCTTTATACTGTCACAAATTATTGAGAATTCTAAAAGAGTTTTATGTGGTTTTATCAATTCATTTATATATTAGAAATTACAACTAATTTTTTTTTTTAAGATGGAGTCTCTCTCTTGTTGCCCAGGCTGGAGTGCAATAGCGCGATCTTTGCTCACTGCAACATCCGCCTCCCAGGTTCAAGCGATTCTTCTGTCTCAGCCTCCCAAGTAGCTGACATTGCAGATATGTGCCACCACACCCAGCTAATTTTTATATTTTCAGTAGAAGTGGGGTTTCACCATGTTGGCCAGGCTGGTCTCAAACTTCTGACCTCAAGTGATCCACTCACTTCAGCCTCCCAAAGTGCTGGGGTTACAGGCGTGAGCCATCGCACCCAGCCACAACTAAAATAAAATTTTTTTTTAAATTTACCCACTTTTAAATAACAAAATCCCATTCCATGTTAACAAAAATACCATGTTTTTATGAAAAATAACCATCTTTTCCAAAACAAAAAAATACAGAAAAGAGTGATACTGTGTTACATTTTTGTAAATGTCTTTGATATTTGGCTTCATAGAAGCAGCTGGATTCTCATACCTGCTTTTGCATTCAAGCTCTTGTGATTTGATTTTTTTGGTTGAAGTATATGAAGAAAATCAAATCTCAAAAATATGTCATTGGAAGAGGAAGGAGTATTTAGTAGCTTTTTCAGATAATTACGGATACTTTTCTTTATATACTGCTCCAATATCCAATGAATAGTAGTTTCTTAAAGGTTAGTTACAGTGTGGAATTTGTAACCACATCTGTGAACTTTTCTTATGGTTACATTAAAATCTGTTGGTCTACTGGGCACTTTGAATGGATCTTTCACATGCATGATTTTATAATATCATGCACTGGTCATTTGACAAATATGGGTTTAGTGAGTTATATACAGCTTCCAAATATTGACACATGTCACTATATAATACTTAAAATATAAATTAACTAATAGTATGATAATATTTGTCATAGAAGTCTTAAAATATTACAAAACTCTCAGGTGCTTGAAAGCTCATATTTTATCATTGATAACAAATTGTCTTAGATCTTTATCTTGAAGTGACAGGCCCAGTTGATTTATGTTGAGAAAATGTCTGCCAAATACATGTCTGCCAAAATATGTTTGGCATATATAATGCCAGTTATAATGAAATTAAAATGTTTATTGCCTCATCAAGGGCCTTTTCAATTAAAACTGACTTTTTTATTGCAAATGTGCAGCTATAAAGAATACAGCAATTACTAGTATAGTTTGGTGCCACTGCTTTGATTCCTATTAAGACACAAGCAGTTTTACTCACAGTAAAGAAACAACCAATATCTTAGGTTTATTATGAAAATAATTTTGACATTGGGGACTCTTTTGATAGCTGCTATTCTAGAATAAAAAGGCTTATTGCAGTCACAAATAAGCCTGAGATATAGGGTTATGGAATTTAGTATAGATGGGTTGTTGAGAGAAAAATATGTGGATATCAAGGGCCAGTTTTTCATATCTGCAGCTTCCTGAGGGCTGACTGTGGGACTTGATTATCTGCAGATTTTGATATTAGTGAGGGGACCTGGAACCAATCCTCCACAGATACCAAGGGACACATAAAGATAATGATGTCGGCTTTTCTTTACCAGATTAGTATTAATAGATAAAAAGTTCTAGGGAAATATAGAGGAGGATAGGTTATTATTGTTGTTGTTATTCATAATAAAGATGGTTTTGGAGTATAGTAGAGGAACAGCGTGGCCTGATTCTTTGGTTTGGAGAGGGCGAGAGAAGCTAGGAAGTTTCAAAGAAGACTTCATAGAATAAATGATTCTTAAGTTATCAATAATATTTTGAATAAATTGCTATTTTAAACTAAATATGTAATAGAAATGTTTTTACTGATTTGCTAATTAAGGTACAGTTAAGCCTTTCTCTAGAGAAACTGTGAACATGATTAACATCCCTCTCCAAATGTAGGAAATCATGTCGATCTTACTTTTCTGATATCTCTAGACTCATACAAGGTAGGCAATGAGACAGTGAAAGGAGGAGCTAGTTTTGGAAAACGTCTGTACAAAAGAGGAAAATGTCAAAGAGATGGGGATAGAAACATGGGTTGGATCAAAGGGGGTAATGGTCATAATACCTAACATTTACGTCCACTGGATTATATGCCAGGGGCTTCTCTGAGCACTTTGCATGTGTATATAAGATCAGTTGAAGGTATTTGTGTAGTCTACTTCGGGCTCTCTATTCTGTTTTGTTGATCTCTTTGCCTATTCTTTTGCCAGTATCACACTGTCTTGTCTACTATAGCTTCCTGGTAGGTCTCAAAGTTTGGTAGTGTCAGTCCTCCAGCTGTTTTTCTCCAATATTGTATTGGCTATCCTGGATCTTTTGCCTCTCTTTATAAACTTTAGGATCATTTTGTTAATATCCATAAAATAACTTGCTGGGATTTTTGTTGGAATTATGTTGAATCCTTGGGTCAAAGTGGGACAAACTGACATTTTGTCAGTATTGAGTCTTCCTATCCATGAACATAGAATCTCTCTTCATTTATTTAGTTCTTTGATTTCTTTCATCAGAGTGTTATAGTTTTCCTTATATAGATCTTTTGCGTATCTTGTTAGATTTATACCTAATTATTTGGTTTAGTGGAGTGCTAATGTAAATGGTATTATATTTTTGCCTCAAATTCCACTTACTTCTGACATAAAGGAAAAGTGGTTGATTTTTGTATATTAACTTTGTATCTTAGAACTTGTTTTTAATTGCTTATTAGTTCCAGGGATGGGTTTTTTTTTTTTTTTTGTCCTTTCAGATTATCTGTTTACACAATCATGTCATCTGTGAACAAAAGCAGTTTTGTTTCTTTCCTCCCAATATATATACTTTTTATTTTTTTCATTTTATTGCGTTAACTAGGACTTGTAGGATAATATTGAGAAGCAGTGGTGAAAGGGGCATCCTTACTTTATTCCCCTGATCATTCTTGGAAAGCTTTGAGTTTTTCAGCATTAAGTATGGTACTAGCCATAGGAGTTTTTTTTTTTTAAAAGATATTCTTTATCAAGTTGAGGAAGTTTCCCTCTACTTCTAGTGTACTGAGGCTGTTTATCATCAATAGGTATTGGATTTTGTCAAATGCATTTTCTGCATCTATTGGTATGATCACATGATTATTATTCTTTAGCCTGTTGATACGATATAATGCTTTAATTGATTTTTGAATGGTTAACCAGCCTTGCATGCCTGGGATGAATTCCACTTGGTCATGATATTATTTTTATTCATTGTTGAATTCAACTTGCTAATATTTTTGCTTTTATGTTTATGAGCAATATTGGTCAATAATTTTTATTTCTGTAAATGTCTTTATCTGGTTTTGGTATTAGTATAGTGCTGGCCTCATAGAATGAAGAAGGTATTCCCTTTGCTTCTGTTTTCTGAAAGAGGTTGCAGATAATTGGTATACAGTTGTCCTTTGGAATCTGCAGGGGATTGGTTCCAAGAATCCCCCACACATACCAAAATCCGAGGATGTTCAAATGTTTTATGTTAAATGGTGTGGTATGTGCATATAACCCATGCATATCCTCCTGTATATTGTAAATCATCTCTAGATTACTTATACCTAAGACAATGTAAATGTTATGTAAATAGCTACTATCCTGGATTTTTATATATGCTATTTTTATAGTTGTATTGTTATTTTTCTTTTTTTTTCAAATATTTTTGATCCGTGGTTGGTTGAATCCACAGATGTAGAACCCACAGATACAGAGGGCTGACTGTAACTTCTTCCTTAAATGTTTAAAAGAATCCACCAGTCAATCCATCTGGGCCTGGTGCTTTCTGTTTTGGAAAGTTATTAATTATTGATTCAGTTTCTTTAACAATATAGGACTATGCTGATTGTCCATTTCTTGTGTGAGTTTTGGTAGATTGTGTCTTTCAAGAAATTGGTACATTTCTCTACATTGTCAAAGCTGTGGGCATAGACTTGTGCATAATATTCATTGATTATCCTTTAAAAGTTCATGGGAACTTTTGTGTGGAGGAAAAGTTAAATATTAAATTTGAACTCAATTGAACGTGGACACAAACAATGGTCACCAAGTCCTGGCACAGGTTGTGTGAGCCCCTTCAGGCGTTCGTCCAGCACTGTTTCAGAGAAATCTCTATTTCAATCTATTCCTATACCTTGGTTTTTGAAAAGCAATAGGCCGGGTGCAGTGGCTCATGCCTGTAATCCCACCACTTTGGGAGGCCAAGGCGGGTGGATCACTTGAAGTCAGGAGTTCAAGACCAGCCTGGCCAACATTGCAAAACCCCATCGCTACTAAAATACATGAATTACCTGGGCATGATGGCGGGCACCTGTAATCCCAGCTACTCAGGAGGCTGAAGCAGGAGAATCACTTGAACCCAGGAGGCGGAGGTTGCAGTGAGCCAAGATCGTGCCACTGCACTCCAGCCTGGGCGACAGAGCAGGACTCATCTCAAAAAAAAAAAAAAAGAAAAGCAATAGATAGTCACAAAAACAAGTTGACCTTTTTGTGTTCCTTGAGTCCAGTCACGAAGGGCCTTCATGACTGGACCTCCTGCCAAACAACTCGTTACAAAAACAGCTAGGGTCCCACACTGTGCTGAAGCTTCATGAGACCTCTCTTTGTCTGTGCACAGACAAGTGGCTGACTATAGAGCCCAGGCTGTTGCTTCCCAGTCTAGTGGTTGTTAGAAACAAGTGCTTGGTGCTGCAAAGTGAAACCAGCACTCAGGCAAAAAGCGTTCTCAGCAAGGCAATTTACTTCTGCAGAAGGGTGCTCCCTGCATCAGCCACGATCACAAGAGCACACTGAACAAATAGGGTAGATGCACAATTCGCAAGGGAGCGGGTAGAAGTGGTTCTTCTGCTATGGCACAAGACGTGTCTGGACATGTCTGGGCAAGTTAGGGCACAGCAAGAGCAGGAGGGCTGCTTGCAGGCTAAAAATGAGAAAGTACAAGAAGGTGGGGCCTTTGAACCAAGGACATTACACAATTAAACCCTTTGAAGAGGAATTCACCACCTCTGGCATGGTGAATCCTCCATAGTCTGGTGAGTGCAGTGTCCAACTCTGGAGCCCAGACTGTTGCTTCCCAGTCTGGTGGTGAATCCTCCATAGTCTGGTGAGTGTAGAGACATTTATCTCTTTTCCCTTCTCCCCTTTGCGTTGCAATTTGCTTATTATATCATTTGCTTATTTTATTACTTTGCTTATTATATAATTTGCTTATTATATCTACATTGCCATTTACATGGGATAAAGCTTGTTTACCTTTAAAGGTATTGTGTGTGTGCCTTTTCTTCTCCTCTTGCGGGTCTCCCGCCCAGAACAATCTGTACTGATATCCCGTCTTTCATTTCATTTGTTAGTAATTTGTGCCTTTTTTTTTTTTTCTTAATTAGCCTGGCTAGAGGCTTATTGAGCTTTTCAAAGAAGCAGCCTTTTATTTTATTGATTTTTCTCTACTGATTTTCTGTTTTCAGTATCATTGATTTCAATTCTAACTTTTATTTTCTTTATTTGCTTACTCTGGATGTAATTTGCTCTTCTTTTCTAGTTTCCAAAGGTCAAAGCTTAGTTTACTGACTTTAGATCTTTCTTCTTTTCTAATATGTGCATTCAATGATAGAAATTTTTCTATAAGCACTGCTTTCATCACATCACACAAATTTTGATGTTTTATTTTCATTTTCAGTTAGCTCAAAATATTTTTTAAATTTCTCTTGAGATTTCATCTTTGACTCATGTTATTTAAAAAGTATTGTTTGGCTGGGTGCAGTAGCTTATGCCTATAATCCTGGCACTTTGGGAGACTGACACAGGAGAATTGCTTGAGCCCAGGAGTTCGAGACCAGCCTGGACAACATGGAAAGACCCTTTCTCTACAAAATAAAAAATATTAGCCAGATATACTGGTAGGCACCTGTAGTCCCAGCTACTCAGGAGGCTGAGATGGGAGAATCGCCTGAGCCCAGGGGGTTGGGGTTAAAGTGAGCTGTGATCATGCCACTGCACTGCAGCCTGGGTGATGAAACAAGACCCTATCTCAAAAAAAAAAGAAAGTGTTGTTTAACCTGCAAGTATTTCTGGATTTTCCAGCTATCTGCCTGTTATTGATTTCTAGTTTAATTCTGTCATGGTCTAACAGCAGACATTCTATGATTCCTCTTTTTTAAATTTGTTGAAGTATGTTTTATGGACAAGAATGTGGTCTGTCTTGCTGAACAAGATATCTCTTTTTTTGTAATGAATTGAAGACTCTCAGATTCATATGGAAATTTAAAAATAATTCTATTTTCCCTCAATGATACATATTTTGCCCTTGATTTCTAATGTATTCCATGATTTGTTCTCATAGTTGGGGGATGTCTTTAATTTTGATGCGGTATTCCTACATAGGCCTACCTGGGTCTCAGAAATGGCACCCAGAGTGGCAACTGTGGGAAATCGAGGCTATCTTCATGAAATATATATGCACATTGGTGAAAGTTTTCACCATTATGAATCTGTACATTAACTTTTTTTTAAATGTTGGCTTTAGACTCATACCACATCAGGTAGGAATTTGTTAAAATGGGCAAACATTTAAAATTTCTCAGAGATTAATAATTAACTTTTATTGTTTTTAAATGTTACATTTTTTTTTCTATTTCATTTAGTTTTGTCAGCCTGGCGGGTGGCAGCTGTCCAGAGAGAGGAAGCAGCCAACGTTCTTTGTGGTTGTCCTGACAGACATTGACTCAGATCGACATTACTGCTCATGCCTAACCTTCTATGAGGCAGAGATCAATCTTCAGGTACAAAAACCTTTACTAGCTAAAGTACAGTCGAAGGTACAACATTTAGGAATGTTTTTTATATGCCATATTTTTGTTACAACTGCAAGTTTGAGTTTTATGGGCTAGCATAAGAAGCATGAAGAAATTTTTATGTTTAAGGTTGGAGAGGAGAGCAACATGTTAAAATTACTTTCCAGATTTAATTGTCCTTTTTCAAAACATTGATCATAATCTGAATATTTCTAAAAATAGTGCATCCTTGAATTGGTTTATTAAGAATATTAATTTCTTCTCTTGGTGAACCTGTGATTTTCCCTGCCAGCCCTTCTCCTGGGAGGTCTTTCATAGAATGTGGAACATTTACTCACAATGTTTGCAAATCATTATTACAATGCTTGACATTATTGTTTAAGCACCCAAATGTTAACTCATTCTTCTTAGGGGTGGTATTATCAACATGATCAGGCAGAAATTCATAAGCTAGAACTATGAAGACATATAAAATAATTGCTCTTTCAGACTATTGGTTGAGGTTCTTAGTTTCACATTACTGGCTCTACTTTCTCTAAGCAGAAAGGAGTCATAACAAAGTATTTGGCAACTTGTGAAATTTTAGGGGTGAGGGACAAGCAGGGAACCAATTCTGGGTACTAGGAACAGCCCAGCTTGGTGCTATTCTCATAGAAACCATATTCCTTCCACCTTTTACCACTTGGCACTTACAATGCTGGGTATATATCAGACATTATAACCTTCACCATAGTTGTGCTAGAATATCCATTCTCCTGCAGATATTCACACTGCTGACTTCTGCTTTAGTCTCATACTGCTGACTTCTGCTTTTAAGTTTTACATGAGTTGTTTCTTTGGTGGAAGTTAAGATTGTATACAGAGCCCATTTTGCCCCAAAAAGTGTAGGGTTTTTTTTGTTGGTGCTGGTGGTGGTGGTTTTTCTTTCCAGGCTCTATAATACAAGAAGGAAACCATAAAGGGGACTTCGAAGATATTGAGTAAGCCAGTTTGCATAATCTACTGTAGTTTCTGCTACGTATAGAGTATCATCACTTGGGGGAAAAGATTGGCCTGCTTTCTGAAATGGCTTAACAAAGGAGTATTTGGTAGTTTTGATTATGTTTATTAAACTCTAAGATCTGAATTTTCTGGATGCAGAAATCTGATTTTTGAGTACAAGAAGAGACAAATTACCTTTCATGATGCAGACTCATTATTCAAGTTCATTAGACTGATGTGTTAAAACTAACATGCTAGACTACTAATTTATAGGAAATGTGAAAAGTGCTGAAAATGCATATAGAACAAAACATGCATTATCAGCACATTGTCTTCCTGTCACCAGATCTTAGTAGAAAGCCATATCAAAGTCCGGAGTTTTGATTATGGAATCAAACCGATATTTGATGTTAAATACTTAAAGACTATCAGACTAACATAGCCTGTTGCTTCTATTTGAAGTTAGAGATTACTGTATGTTATCAATGGGGACAGAAAACTTTCAGTCTGTGACTTTAAGTCTCCTCTCCCCTGGATAATGTTTGGATATATGTTGCCAACAAATAGCTAATCAAATTCTCATTTTTATCAGTTCAATCTGAATAAGTTAGAGAGTGTTCTCTAGCCCAAGAACCACTCTGTCTCTTTTATTGGCCTTTCGTTTCTCTGTTGATCTTTAGCATTTAAGTTAATGCTGAGAATTCAGTATATTCTGTTATTTCCATATTCTTGAGGGTATCGCTTCACAACTCTTTGGAATTATCTAATGAAACTAACTATAATTATTTAGATTCTCCCTCTTCACTATTCACCCCTCTTCTTCTAGACAAACTGACAGAAAGGCAATATATTGACATTATATTAATGGCAGATGTTTATAAATAGGTTCTAGGAATTCTTGGGTATTTTTCAAACTTTTAATTTGGAAATAATTTTAAACTTACAGAAAAGTTGCAAGAATAATGCAAACATGTATATAGCCTTTACCCATATTCACCTGTTGTTAATATTTTGCCCCATCGTTTTATTTGAGGTCTTTCTTCCCTACCCTTCTTTCCTCTCTTTATCCCTTCTTCCCTCTTCCCCTCTCTCCTCTCCCCATCTCCCCCATACACACACACACCTAAATTCTTTAGTATATGCTTCAGAGGTACATGAACAGTACGTAAACAGTACAGTTATCAACCTCAGGAAATTTAACATCAATATAATAAAACCTACTATCCATATTCCAGTTTTGTCATTTGATCTAATAGTGTCCTTTATAGCACCCCCCCATCCCTTTTTTCTTCCAGTACAGGATCTAGTACATACTACATATATTGCATTTAGTTTTTATTTCTCTTTCGTCTCTTTTCATCTGGAATACTTGTGCTGCCTTTGTCTATAATGTTGACATTTTTAAATAATGTAACTTCTCACCCCCCATTTTTAATACAATGTTTCTTATTTTCTGTTTTCCAGTATCTCTCATTGTTAGTTTCAGGCTGTGTCAACAGTTGGAATATTACCTGTGTTCCTTCTAAGGGCATCCTTCTAAGAGTACACATCCGGAAGTCCACAATGCCTGTCTGTCCCTCACTGATGATGTTAATTTTGGTAACTTGGTCAGATGATTGTCAGATTTCTCCACTTCATAGTGGCGATTTTTATGTTTGCAATTAATAATCAGTCTACTAGAAGACACTCTAACACTATGCAAATATCCTACTGTTCATCAATCATGTTCCCCTAGATTTCAGCATTTACTAATGATTCTTGCCTATAGCAATTTTGATTCTGATAACAAAAAATGATTATTTTCTAACTCCATACTCCCTCTATTTTTAGCAGTCAGCAGTCGACCTTTTACTATAAGCAGGAACTCTCTCTTCCTGTCTGTTTGAGCTACAGATACATGGATTCAGGTTTTTTTTTTGTCAATAATATGTAAATCATTAATGGTTTTTATTATTTTAATGCACAAATTATCCCATATTTGACCAGCGTGCACCACTCAGACAGATTCCTGTGTTCTTTTCACAGATCTCCTTTTAGAAAAAGTACTTTTTAACTTTTCATCATAACAAGTTGATCTAGGATCATTTTATTCCTTCCCTGCCTCTGCCTTGAAATCAGCCATTTCTTCAAGGAGTCTGACTCCTTTGAATAGGGAATAATATTAGAAGCTAAGATCTGGGTTCTTGTATAGTTTGAATCCATATGTCAAGAAGTTATTTCTCTTTTTAGCTTAGATATTTTCCTACTTGCCATTTTAAGTGGGCCCAGAAATCATAATTTATTTGTTACGATCACCTTACAAAAGGTTACAGTCTGCTTCATATCAGTTTTTCCAAGATTTTGAAAATGCGGATAGGTTGTGAGAATTCCGGATTCTATATAATTGTACTTAGGTACTAGCCAGAATTGTAAGACCACTTTTCTGGAAACATAAGTTAATGTCTTTTGGGCTTGGTGGAAAAGAGGGATAAACAATGAAGCAGAATTTGAAAAAAAAATAGAACCCAGAAGATGTTTCTTTCTTGTCATCAGTAAAGTTGTTTTCATTTTTGGCATGAACTGTTTATGTCCCTTTAAAAATGTGTTTTTCTTTTCTTTTTGGATCATATCATCAGTTCAAAATAGATCTTTTAATTCTTTTTTGGTGTGAATTACTTCATACCAAATATACTATGACACATTATTTGGAAGCCTAAAGAGGGGGAACTTAGGGACATACACCATCCAGAATGTGATTGTGCAACTTTAAAAATGTTAGCTCTGTTATCTTTCCAAGATACAGTAACACTGTCAGTAATCATAAGCAAAACTTGGCATTAAACTTTTGATAATATGTTCCCAAAATTACTCAACTAGGTAATGTGATCCTAAATTTTTTTAAGTAATCAGCAAAATATGATAGATTTACATTGACTTTTATTACTTATCTAAATAATCATTTGATTATCTTAAAATATGTTAAAAGTATAAAATTTTAAATATCTAAAATTTAAATTTAGTTCTATATCTTTTTAAAGTTATTTCATATGTTTATATACTTGTCTCTGAATCAGTGGTAATTATGCAGTTCTCAGTGAGAACATTTGGTGTGTCATCAAATTGTCATCAAAGAAAGAGAGAGGGAATGAATTTTGTAATTTCGAGAGATAAGAGGAGGAAAAAAGAGGGAGAGACATAGAAGACATAAGATACGTTTCTCCATCACAGTGGGCTTCAAATCTAGCTTGGGAAGCAGAACCAAAACTTAAGTACAAAACCATTCCAAAGTATCATATGCTAAGTATCATTCAGTGAAACAGATAATAATTGCAGACTAGGCAACTGGAATAAATCATACAGAGTTTAAAAGACTCAGTGGACATTTTAATAAGAGCTAACACCTAGAGTAAGGGAAAGAAAAAGGACAATTCAAACAAAAAGCTTGTGCAAAGGAAAAAAGATTGTAGTGCTTATGATAAATTAAAGTCTTATGTTCTGGGTACTGTGCTAAAAGTTTTACAACACTTTATTTCATTCTATTTTATTTAACTCACATATAGTTTATTCTCACAAAACACCATTTGATAGGTTTTAACATTTCCATTTTACAGATGAGGCTTACTTAGGGACATTCAGTACCAAGTTAAAGTGCTTGATTGATTCTGTCTCCAAGGACCAAATAATAACCACATATACTACAAAGCTGCAAAAATTGTATCAGTGTGCTATAGGTTCAAGAATTAAGTGTCAAGGGTAAAAACAATTATGGGAACAAAACCAATACTCCAGAAGCAGACCCTATTGTGTATAGGAGATCAGTGTCCAACAATAGAAGCTTTATAAATCAATGGAATGTGTGTATTTCAACAAATATTATTTAAACAGTTGATGAGCTATTTGAGAAAAGAAAAAAATTTAAACATAGTATCATATAATTAATTCCAAGCAGTTAAGTAATTACCTGGAAAATGGAGTAATAAAAAGGAATTTATAAATTCGTCTCTAGATGGTATAAAACAGTGGAGAAAACCACACACAAAACAGTGTATAGATTTAGCTGAAGTACTACAACCCAATCATTTTTGGTACTCCCCCACCCCCACCATCCCGCTCTTTATCATAGTAAACTATGCTCATTGTAGAAGACATAGAGAGAACATGCAGGAAAAAATTTGAGAGAACAGAAAAAGATGGTTTGACATATTTTCTTCCAATAATAAGGATTTTTTTTTTTTAACAAAAGTTGCTGTACACTAGTTGACCATATAGGTAGGTTTAATTAATCCCCTGATGGACATGTATTTCCTGTTTTGTCAATATTATGAATAACTGTGATGAATATCTCATTGGAAAAACCTTAGTTCCTTCAAGAAGGGTTTAGTCCCAGGTAATCCAACTCTTTGAACTAAAAATTCGAAATAGCAGTATTTGGGAATTGGGCTTGCTGATATTGTAATCAACTTTACACTTGGTAGCATTCTAGAGACTAATTCTTAGGTCTTATTCAACAAGACTAGACTTTGTTAGAGTCTGGTGAAAACTAGCATGCGTAACATAATTCACACAGAGAAAAAATTGGGAGACTTGTGTATTCTGAGTTTATTCTATAGTTTGATAATTTACAACTTTGCAAGTATCCACATGGGATTCTCCTTAGAGTATCGATGCTGAAGATTATGTCTTTTACCAAAGAATCTGTCTTCTCCTCCCCTTTTGAAAATGAGAATTGGCAAATGGACAGAATGCTGAATCTTAACAGTCCCCTTGATGTCCCTCACAGATGTATTTTGTAGGGAAAAACTGTCACTGGATTAACTATGATTAATTGGTGCAACATGCTTAAAATGATATAAGACTTTAAAACAACAGGAGAAACTTTTGGGATTAAGTTTCCAGAATCCTTCAACATCAAATACCTTTTCTTAAATTTTGACAACTATTTCAGGCTAGGAAGGGCTGCAGTGAGAACTGTGTATTGTTACTATTTCATTTTAAAACAAAAATTACTACATTCAAATATAATTAAAGGAAAACAAACCTGAACATCTTTTCAAATTGACAGTTTGGCGTCTCAGATGTTATCTTTCCTAAACAGCTTATTTTAACTAATATGTTATTTCTTATAAAGGTTACATATAAGAGTATAGGATACTGGAAAGAGAAGTAGCTTAAGAGAAGACTTGGCTTGTTAATCCCACTTATGCCTTTAATGATCTGTATGACCTTGGCAAGTCATTTCATCCCTCTGGGCATGTGATTACTGATTTATAAAATGAAGTAGGTAGCATAGATTTTAAATATCTTCCACTACTGTATTATTTTTCTTATTCTGTCATGTTAACTATATCTGATTTTAAAGATATATTTTAATATTGTTCATAGCAGATATACTTTAAATTATGTCCCGCAGAATACTATTGCAAGTCATCTTCTGAATAAAGTATACTTTTATTTTTTTTAAGTATACTTTAAGTTCTGGGGTACATGTGCAGAACATGCAGTTTTGTTACATAGGTATACATGTGCCATGGTGGTTTGCTGCACCCATCAACCTGTCATCTACATTAAATATTTCTCCTAATGCTATCGCTCCCCTAACCCCACTACCCACTGACAGGCCCCAGTGTGTGATGTTCCCCGCCCTGTGTCCATGTGTTCTCATTGTTCAACTCCCACTTATGAGTGAGAACATGCGGTGTTTGGTTTTCTGTTCTTGTGTTAGTTTGCCGAGAATTATGGTTTCCAGCTTCATCCATGTCCCTACAAAGGACATGAACTCATCCTTTTTTATGGCTGCATAGTATTCCATGGTGTATATGTGCCACATTTGCTTAATCCGATCTATTATTGGTGGACATATGGGTTCATTCTAAGTCTTTCCTATTGTGAATAGTGTCACAATAAGCATACGTGTGCATGTGTCTTTATAGTAGAATGATTTATAATCCTTTGGGTATACACCCAGTAATGTGGTGGCTGGGTGAAATGGCATTTCTAGTTCTAGATCCTCAAGGAATCGCCACACTGTCTACCACAATGGTTGAACTAGTTTTCACTCCCAACAGTGTAAAAGCATTCCTGTTTCTCCACATCCTCTCCAGCATCTGTTGTTTCCTGACTTTTTAATGATCACCATTCTAACTGGTGTGAGATGGTATCTCATTGTGATTTTGATTTGCATTTCTCTGATGACCAGTGATGATGAGCATTTTTTTCATGTCTTTTGGCTGCATAAATGTCTTCTTTTGAGAAGTGTCTGTTCATATCCTGTGCCCACTTGTTGATGGGGTTGTTTGTTTTTTTCTTTTAAATTTGTTTAAGTCCTTTGTAGATTCTGGATATTAGCCCTTTGTCAGATGGGTAGATTGCAAAATTTTTCTCCCATTCTGTAGGTTGCCTGTTCACTCTGCTGATAGTTTCTTTTGCTGTGCAGAAGCTCTTTAGTTTAATTAGATCCCATTTGTCAATTTTGGCTTTTGTTGCCATTGCTTTTGGTGTTTTAGACGTGAAGTCTTTGCCCATGCTTATGTCTTGAATGGTATTGGCTAGGTTTTCTTCTAGGGTTTTTATGGTTTTAGGTCTTACGTTTAAGACTTTAGGCTGGGCGTGGTGGCTCATACCTGTAATCCCAGCACTTTGGGAGGCCGAGGTGGGCAGATCACGAGGTCAGGAGATCGAGACTATCCTGGCTAACACGGTGAAACCCCATCTCTACTAAAAATACAAAAAAAAAGAAAAAATTAGCCAGGCGTGGTGGCGGGTGCCTCTAGTCCCAGCCTCTCAGGAGGCTGAGGCAGGAGAATGGCATGAACCCAGGAGGTGGAGCTTGCAGCGAGCGGAGATTCTGAACTGAAGACTAGAGGCCTAGTTTGTTTGAAGGCTTGTTATCCTAAAATGTGTATTTCTTATGCATTCATTATTTCCCAGACCAATGAAAGGGCAAACCTGGTTTGATCATGTAGACATGTCAACTTGATTAAAAGATTATTTGGCAAGAAATGAAGGGTTCAGGAGGAATTTTAGAACTTACAGAATTTTGCAACTACTTAGGCTCCATTATTTCCAATTCTGGAAAATTTTTAAGTTCTTAAATTGCTTTACTGAGACAATTCTATATAATGGTATACTTGCTATATATTACATTTCAGAAAGGAAATTTAGGACTGAAAATTTTTTACTTGTGGAATTAATTTTATCCTCCTTTTATAACTGATTATTTAAGAAATGCTGCGGGAAGATTTTTAGTGTGATACAGTATTGTTAAAAATGAACATAGCACAGAGAAGATGTTGGATGCAACAGTTCTTTAAGGATAAAAGGGTCAGGACTTGACAGTTATTTTGATATTAAAATTAAGCATCAAGATACAACAAAGATGAGGCTGAAGTGTTCAACCTGAATGGTAGGATAAACTTCCTTAAAGCTTGTGCTGATCTGCTACATCAAGTTATTGCGTGCAATCAGCAATCTAGTACTTTTTGTCTCAGGATATGTTTTAAGAGCAGTAGCACTTTTAGGCCAGATTGATATGGTGAGTACTAATTTATCCCATATTATTGAAGCACAGAGATGATGAACTACACATAAGTTACACAGAAGCTGGGAATCACTAGCAGATGTAATCCATAGTAGTAATTGGTAGGCAAAGATATCTACAAATGGGCAAGTTGTGGCATGTGATTATTATATGTATTGACCTTGTAAGTCAATGTGAGATATTTAGTAAACAGTGTTTAAGATAAATTTGTATCTTTAATGAGACCTACTAAAAGCAAGGAATAATCTTTAAGTGGCCAATTTAATGAGAAGAAATAATCTTAAGTTGGCAAAGCCTTTAAAATATTGTTCAGCTGGATAAAATATGTGAAACTTTTGTAGTATAAAATATTAAATTTAGCATTATTAGAATATCTCATATTCATAGACTATGTTTTGAATTTCCTGCTTATTTTTAAGTTTTTCACATCTTTCCAATGGGTGAAAATCTGTCATTGTAAAACACACACCAAATAAAACTAGTGTCATTTTATAATTATTACATAGAATACATCTAGCAGCTATATAGAAGAGGGAGTATTCCTCTGACATGATAAATTATTTCTAGAAAAATTTTATCAAAAATGTCACATTACCATTCTAGAACAAACTTTATTTTACCTAATAAATTTGGGGTTTATTTGTTGTGTGTGTGTGTGTGTGTGTGTGTGTTTAATCACAGCAGTACATTTTGCTTTAAAAGCAGAAATAAGAATTTTTTCTCTAAACTTAGGACATTGCATTCTTATAGGAGAGATATTGAAATTAAGAACTAAGAATATTTTAGGATTTGTAGCACATTTACAAAGGAAAAGTCAACATCGTAATAAAAAGTGATATAAATTAAAATTATTTTTTACTTAATACTGATTTTCACTCTATTGGACCTTTTTCTTTCTCGTTAATAACTATTCCTTTTGGTGAGTGTTTAATTGAAGAGCAGCTTTAAGAAATGACCAATGCATTCTATTTTGTGTTTTGGTCAAAGTTAGTAAATGGTCATATATTTGAAATGGTTATCTACTTACTCTAGCTGGCTTCTAATGGTACTCTAGGGCATTTATCACAATCTCATAAAATGTGGATAGCTTTATCTCTTCCAAGAATTTTAGTCATTCTTTTGTCATTTTGAATTAGTTAGTAATCCATGAAGAATATGATTCATTAAGTGTGGAAATCTTTGGTGAATTCATATTCATCACATTTTTATTATTTCTAAGGATTCCAGAAACCAACCAACCTAATTTTTGTTTTTGCTTTGTAATAAATGAAAATCTTTCAAGAGCATATGGACTCTATCATACATACAAAAACTAAACAGATAGTTCCCTTTGGATGTGCACATTCCACAGACATCTAATACTTGGTTATATTGCATTGTACTAGAAACTAAATGAGCTCTAAAGGAAGTAGAAAATATAATTATTGGCCTCTATGAATAGGGGGGAAAAGACTTCCCTTGATAAAATGCTCAAAAAACTATGCCAAGAAAATGTATTCATGCATGTATGCAATGAATAAATATTAAGTATCAGCTATGGGCCTAGCCCTTATTTTAGGAACTGGGAAATCACCGTTGAACAAAACAGAAATCCTGGCCTTTATGGGAGCATGTGCTAGTGCAGTTGACAGACAAACTAAAAAACAAGATAAGTGAAATAGATAAATATGTTGGATAGTAACAAATGCCATGGAGAAAAATAAAGCAGAGAAAGTGGGTAGAGAGTGTTAGGGCATTGCAGTTTTAAATAACATTGTCAGCAAAAGCTTATTAGAGCAGAAGATGCTTGAATGAAAACTTAAAAGTGATGAGGAACTAAGTCATTAGAATATCTGTGGAAAGAGTATTTAGGCAAAGGAATAACACAGAAGCGCATAGAGCAGTGGATGGGAGCATGCCCAGTGTGTTTAAAGAGCAGCAAGGAAGCAAAGTGGGGCTAAAGAAGAATAAAGGAGATGAAGGGAGGCTGTTAGAGTAATCCACACAAGAGATTATAGTAGCTCACAGCGTTATGGTAGCAATAGAGGAGGTAAGAAATCAGGGTTTGTTGACAGTGGGATATAGGTTATTAAAAAGAGGGGAATCACGATTTTGGGTTTGTTAAGCGGGAGAATCATATTTTGTCAAGTTTATTAACCAGTGTTTAGTTATTGAAACTTATGTATTGTTTTAAGCGTTTTTTATTGTGGTAAAATATATATGTATAAGATTTGCCATTTAGCCATTTTTAAGTATTCAGTTCAGTGGCATTAAGTACTTTCTGAAATTCAGTTTTGTATGTAAAAATGTTCTCTCAGCCAAGCATGATGGCTCACACCTATAATCCAGCACTTTGGAAGCATAAGGCAGGAGCATCACTTGAGCTCAGTAGTTTGAAACCAGCTGGGCAACATAGGGAGACCCTGCCTCTACAAAAAACAAAAAATTAACCTGGCGTGGTGGAGTGTGCCTATGATTCCAACCACTTGGGAGGCTGAGGTGGGAGGATCCCTAACGCCCAGAAAGTTGAGGCTGCAGTGCACTGTGATTGTGCCACTGCCCTCCAGCCTGGGCAACAGAGCAAGACCTTGTTTCAAAAACGGAAACAGAGTTCTCTTTTCTCAAAATATCAGCATTGTTGCTTATGAACAAAAGCAATTTAGAGCCGATTGTGCTTTACTGCCAAGAGCATTGAGCACCAAGCATTCTGCAAGCCTTAGAATCCTTGTTTGAGACATTGAGACAAGTAGAAAAACCAACATGAAAATTAGTGTCATATTTGCAAAACATCTTCTTTTGAAAACTGACTTCATTTAAATATCATTTTTTAACTTTTCATCTAAGTGAGTATAATTTTTAATTGGGTCACTATTTAAAATAATTTGAGCATGTCTTATTTGCCCTTGATTCACTCAGAAAGGAAATGCTCAAATAAAGTTGTGTTATATGTCTGGAGCTTAAGGAGCTTTTCAAAAATGAAATAAGTATTCCCGGCTTCATAATTTGTCTACTTTACTTTTAGAATGCTCTTAAAGTCTATTCTTTATTTGTAGTTTGATTTTTAAAATTATATTATAATTAATTTTGAATTTGCATAAGTTATATTTAAGGTGATATTCATCTTTTGTGAATTATGAACCTAGGAAATCCCTTCTGTTTGTTGATTTCAGTGTCTCTTTTTCTAGGGAACAAAGAAGGAAGAGATTGAAGGTGAAGCAAAAGTGTCTGGTTTAATTCAGCCTGCAGAAGTGTTTGCTCCCAAAAGCCTGGTGTTGGTATCCAGATTATATTATCCAGAAATTTTTAGGGTAAAGAACACATAGTTATCATTATTAATTTGTATTATTGTGTGAGTCTCTTGAATGAACCATGGTACAAGTTCTTTGGATTGAAAATATTGTTAGATTGATTTAGGAATTCATCTATGAAATACAGTTAGCATGAACAGAAGAAATATTTTCATGTTGGGTGAAATAAATACCTGAATAAGTTAATGTGACTACTAAAACTTCTAAGGATGTAGTGTTTGTTTTAAAATAGGTCCCACATTTATTGAATCCAGAATGTATACATCCTAAAGAAATAATTTGATTACCTGTAGTAAATGTAAATGCATGAGTGATTTAACAAATTCGTGTATGTATATTCACCTTGTGAGGAATCAGGTTCAAGTAAATAGGGTGGGTGTTTGAGATTTCAAACAATTCTGATCATACTTCTGTCAAAATAGTCTTAAAATATTGCTTCCAGGTATTTTCTTGTTTTAGAAACACAGAATTTTCAAACATAAGAGGAAATTTTTATTCATTTGTAAATATTTGTGCTAAGATACAATTTCTGTAAAACTTTTCTAGAAATTGAGATTATTTGTGTTATAAAAGAATTAAATTAGTGTCAAGATTTCAATGACAATGCGTAACTCCAAGCAAATACTAAGTTTTCAGAGTCACAAATTTTGCTATACTGAAAGATTCATAAAGATTGCATTATGTCTGTTTTACCACCTACCTCCTTCTGAACTCAGTGTTAATCTTACAATCTTGTCTCTGTTTTGCAATCCTTTCTTACAATTCACATGTTAAATTTTTCTGTAGAATAAGCATTCCGGATTTATAAGAACCACCAAACAAGATAAAATTTCTAAGTTTTTGTCTTGAGATTTAGAGTTTAACAGACTTAAGTTGAGGCAAAAACAGTATTAGCCCTACAGATTTGCTAGAGTAGTTATCAGAGCACAAACATCTGTTTTACAAATTATGGATTTCTGCTTTCTATAAACTCATCTCAGAAGCTCATTTGGGGGTTCTGGTTCTAAGGAAAATTTAATAAACTTAATTTTTGCTGTTTAAAATGTATTCCATGTTCACTGTATAATATACTTTACTGGGTTCAAAGAGAAATCGTCCTAGAGCAGATGTCATAACAATTTATTTTTAATGCTTTTTCCATGAAATAATTACATGTATTTATCTTTTTGCAGGCTTGCCTGGGTTTGATCTATACCGTGTATGTGGACAGCCTGAATGTCTCCTTGGAAAGTCTAATTGCAAACCTTTGTGCCTGCCTTGTCCCAGCGGCTGGAGGGTCTCAGGTAAATAGAATAGAAAGAGAGGTGGAGAAGGATTGTTCCTCTTCCCCTCTCCTCCAGTTAATTTAATTTATGGAGAAAGGGAAAGAAATAATTCTTTAAATATTTTTGTTTTAAGGAAGATCCTACTTTAGTTAAGCATTGTCCCCATGGTCTGCTTTCTAGACACTCAAGATTCCATTCTTTTCTTAGGTCATGAGGTTAATTTTAACACAGGGTTCATCTTTCACATAGCATAATTAGAAGTCATATTTTGTGTAACTTGAACTGCAGTTTGTATTTTCTTGGAAATATATTAAGTTGAACTTTTAAATGTTCTCTTTTACCTTTCTCACTCCTGTATATAGTTACATCTCATTTTTATTAACCTAAATTGAAACATGTTGGAGTGATAAAAATTAGAAGATGACATTAAGAAAACTCTCAACACAGTTCTTTGTTACATTGTAACTACTTATTAATAGATTCATTTATTCTGTATGTCTTGAGATTTTCATATTTGTCTCTAAAGTAGAAAAATAAGAATCTCTGCTGCTATGATTTATTTATTGTTTCTTGGTCAACCATACTTTTAAAAGGATAGATTTTTTCCTTAAACCTTAAAAATGAATAGGTGATAATTTATTTTGCTTATTCTTATATAATATTGGGAAAGAGGACAGCCTTCTAAAAATCACATTGTCTTCAGTCTGACAAAGATCCTGCTTATAGTGGGATTGGCATTTCTTTTTCTTGCCCTTCGCCTTTTTACTTCTCTTCTATCTTTCTCATTGTCTTTTGTCTTAAATTTTTATCCTCCTTTTTTCTCTGTCTCTCTTGCTCTCTCCTCCTTCATTCTTCTACCTCTGCTCAAAGGGCAGAATATTAAATGTGAGTTTGGTCACAGATGGGTCTAAACTTGAATTGCTTTATGAGCCTTTATTAAAGTTGTTGACTTTAACATTTCATTATTTTTTAGCCAGTTATGATTATCAATGATTTTTGTGTCTTATCTCTACTAGATTTTCAACTTTCAGCCACTGAATTTTCTTATGCCACTTAAGTATACAAAGAACTTAAATGTTTTGGGATATACATTGTTGCCTTTTGTATCTGTTAATTGGATCTTACATGGTCGTTTGCTCTAAAAATGAACATCGAAGGTATTTTTATTTTTTAAAAAATGGCTGAAATCGTGTGTGTGTGTGTTTGTGTTTCTCCCATTCTGCAGAAGCTGTTTTCTTTGGGTGCAGGAGATAGACAGTTGATCCAGACTCCTTTACATGATAGTCTTCCTATCACGGGCACTAGTGTGGCTCTCCTGTTCCAGCAATTGGGTATGTCTTTTCTCCCATTTTCAATGTCATCTTGTAGAAGCCTATGATTAAAGGATTTATTTTAAGTCGACATCACCTCACATGAATCAAGAAAATGTTTTTTAAACCATTAAATATTTTATATATAGGAGATATATAATTTTGTGGGTCCTGATCTTACCTACTGTTCATTCTTTTTAAAAATTTTAACTCAGGCCCCTTTTTTCCTTAGGTCAGTTAGACTTTTAGAAAGTGGATGGGACGGGTGTGGTAGCTCATGCCTGTAATCACAGTACTTTGGGAGGCCGAGGCAGGAGGATTGTTTGAGCCCAGGAATTTGAGATCAACCTGGACAACATAGTGAGACCCCATATCTACAGAAAAAATTTTAAAACATTAGCTGGGCATGTTGGTGCACACCTGAAATCTCAGCTACTAGGGAGGCTGAGGTAGATGTATCACTTGAGCCCAAAAATTCAAGACTGCAATGAGCTATGATGGTGCCACTGTACTCTAACATAGAAGGAAAGTGGACATATTTTCTTTATGCTAAAAGATGAATAGATGATATATTTTGCATTTCCATAGATGAACTGCTTTTGTGGAAGCCTTGTCAGATGGGACTCTGAGTCTCATTCTTCTCATCCCACCATCTATCTGAGGACTTTATCTCCAATTTTTCGGCAATGGTTAGGATGAAAGATTGGGAGGATTCTAGAAAGTGTCCACTGTACCTTGGACAGCTTTTACATTATTTAAGAAATATATAACTTAAAAATGAGGATATTTCAAACCAGGGCTGCCCAAAGATTCCCATTTACGTTACCTCTGACTTGTCCTTTATATATCCTGCCTATGAGTGTCCCACTCTCATTGCTCTCCATCTGTGTTTGTCTTTTCCTAGTTATGCTGAAATCTTCCCTTCCCTAAGGTCCATACCCTGCCTCTTCATGGAATTCTTAATTTCTTGCACAGAAATTCTACCCTCTTGCTTCCCTCCTGTCTCTTGTTGAATTTTGCTTGTAGTTTTGCTCTGTATCTTACCACCCTTTTCATCAGTGTCCCTATCCATATACTTCTGCTTTAACTTCAATCAGTGAAAGTTAGAAAGCCTTAGAGGAGATTAGTATAAATATAAATAGAGTCTTCTAATATCTGAATTAAAATGAGTGGTGATATCAATTTCAAAGTAATTCTTTCCAGCTACATTTGCCTCTTCTCATGCCAACTCTAAAATAATATCTCCCTTTGGTCAAAAGATACAAAATTTCAATTAGGAGAAATAAGTTCAAGATATCTACTATGCAACATGGTGACTACAGTTAATAACAATGTATTGTATACTTGAACATCATTAAGAGAATGGATTTTAAGTGTTCTTACCACAAAAAAAAAGTATGTGAAGTAATGCATGTATTAATTAGTTCAATTTAGCCTATCTGCAATGTGTACATATTTCAAAACATCGTGTTGTACACTGTAAATATATAGTTTTTGTCAATTAAAAAATTACATCTCCCTTCTCTTCTAGTGCAAGTTTTTACTCACTGAGCATAGTTAAGCCTTAAAATATTTAAAGCTATTTTCTTTAATTTCATATTAAATAGATATTTAATGCATATCTATCTAATATGACGTACATAATCCCTTCCTGGTGGCATGTCTCCAAAGAACATCTTGTTGATTACATTCTCCCTCCATAAACTTTTGGAAATTAACAAAAAAAATTTTTTTGGAGACAGGATCTTAGTCATCACCAAGGCTGGAATGCAGTGGCATGAACACAGCTTACTACAGCCCCCAACACCCTGGGCTCAAGCAGTCTTCCCTCCTTAGCCTCTTGAGTAGCTGGGATGATAGGCACATGCAATCATACCCAGTTAATTTTTTTAATTTTTTTGTTTTATAGAGACAGGGTCTCGCCATGTTGCCCAGGCTGTTCTCAGACTCCTGGGCTCAAGCAGTCCTCCTGCTTTGGCCTCCCAAAGAGCTGGGATTATAGGCATGAGCCACTGCATGCAGCCTGGAAGTAAATTTAGTAGATTCATGGACTACCTGCAGCTTGTCTGTGGTCCCTACTAACCATTGACTTAATTGATTTTAGCCAAGAACCATTCACCTGACCTTTTTTACTTTAAAAAAGGTTGTATACCTCTAAAGGGTCAATCAGAGCAGAGGTTTACTATGAAAAGGTATAGAAGGATATGACACAAATGAAATTATTTCACATTTCCAAATGTGAACTTAATGAGTACCTTATAAACCTCTGTGGTCTTAGTTTTACCATGAGTTGTGAGGGGGGAGGAGAGGAGGAGGTTGTAACCAGCATTTAGCGTCAAGGACCAGGGATATTAAACATCCTGCAGTTTGTGTGATGTTTAGGTGCCAGAAGCATTTTTACCCCCAATACAATTAGCATTCCCACTGGAAAAAAAAAAAAAACTACTGTAGATAAAGTATAAATTTCTAAAACCCAAAGCTCTCTTCCAGTAATGGTGGCCTGTGTAATTCAGAATAATCCTCTTAACAATGACAACTTGAAAAGATACACAAATATAAAGAACATCCGCTAGACCAGGCACAGTGGCTCATGCCTGTAATCCCAGCACTTTAGGAGGCCAAGGCAGGTGGATCACTTTAGGGCAGGTGTTCGAGACCAGCCTGGCCAACACGCTGACACCCCATCTCTACTAAAAATAGAAAACAGTAGCGGAGCATGGTGGCAGGTGCCTGTAGTGCCAGCTACTCAGGAGGCTGAGGCATGAGAATCGCTTGAACCCGGGAGGAGGAGGTTGCAGTGAGCCAAGATCATGCCACTTCACTCCAGCCTGGGCGACAGAGTGAAACCCTGTCCCAAAATAAACAAATAAAATAAAAATAACATCTGCTTGAAGGCATCAGAGCCAGTAAATAATTGCCAAGCCATGATCCAGGAGAAAATGAAGTGAGCCAGACATTTGGGACCATTTTTTCCTAAGGGCCCTTGTTGATTTTGGAAGAAATGGCTGAGAAGCTGATCAGTACTATCGATATCTTATGGGGAAGAGGGAAAATTGGAATTTAAGTTTTACCAAGGTGGATTTTTTTTTTATATAAAGCTCTCATAATTTGAGTTGAGACCATAAAAGGCCACAGCCTGGGAGTGGGTAAATCAGAAGTAGACTGGCTCCCTCGGGAATTACAATACAGCTTGAAATCATTTCAGTTTCTTGAGTTGGATTAAGGTAATTCTTGATGCTACTGTCTATCCATCTCATAGAAGTAAAAGTATATCCTCTCTGAAACAAGATAACTACATTCTAGACCTCCAATTTGTCTATGAATTTTTATATACCTGCCCTGTACTCAATCAAAAATAACCAGAAACGTGAGGACCAAAACTATATGAAAGAAATGCAAAAGAAACCATAGACAATATGAAAGAACCACAGGGGCTCTAGCAAATAGAGTTATCAGATGCAGTTATTAAAATAACTATATTTGAAATAGTGAAGGAAATAAATAGTCAAGACTGAGAATTTGGGAGTGACATTAATCAGATAGAGGAATAGGAAATTCCAGCCCTCCCTCCGTGACAGAAACACTGATTTAACAAAGATTTACTGACAAAAATCCCTGCATGACAATTCCAGATTCTAGTCAAGAAATTACAGTACCTCAGACTTGCACAAAGCAGAGAATAGCAGCATTGAAATGTGTAAATAGAGCAATTTTATGTTACCTGTATCAGCCCCTTCCTCAACTCTCTCAGGCTTGGGGGTACAGGGAGGAGGGAAGAGTGGAGCTTGCATCCCAAATTCTGGCTGTTGAGGAAGCTGCCTAAGGGACTTGTTTCTGTGTTGCCTCTTTGGAAGCACAAGCAGGAGCTGACATAGTTTGGATGTCTGGGGGGCTGAGAACAAAGAAGGGGTTTGGGGAGATGCTTGCTGTGACCTGCACAGCTTGGTGTGATTGGAAGAAGGCACACAACTTGAGGCTTATCAACCTTGGCGAGAAGTGGGAGGAGCATTTTGTGTTGAGACTTCAGAGTGCTTCCCTGAGTACTGGTAAAAATGTGAATGAATTAGACCTCTTATTCATGGCTAATAGGAATATGAAATGGTACCACTATCTTGGAACACAGTTTGACTATTTTAAGTTTAAAAATGTTCATAAAAATATTTGTATATGAATGTTCATAGCCATTTTATTTATGGTAGTGAAAAACTGGAGACAAACTCAGTGTCCACCAGTGGTAAAGGATAATTGATTATGGAAATGGATAAAGCATCTGTGGTATGTTCATACAATGTAATACTACTAAGCTAAATGAAAAATGAATGGCTGATACACGCAACATAGATTAACCTGAAAATAATTATTTTGAATGAAAAATGTCAGAAAAATTATATACGGCATGATTCGGTTTCTCTAAAGTTCTAAAAAATGTGGTCTAATCTATGGTGATGGAAACAGGTCACTGGTTGTTTCATGGATAGGAAGAGCGAGATTACAAAGGGACATGAGGAAACTTTCTGGATGATATTTGTGTATACAGTCTTGATTGTGGTGATGGTTTTATAAGTATGTACATAAGTCAAAATGTATCAGATTCTTAAAAAAAAAGAAAAACATATATTCACACCAAAACTTGTATGTGAATGTTCATAGCAGCATTATTTATAAGAGTCAGAAAGTGGAAGCAATCCAAATGTCATTCAGCTGATGAATGGATAAACAAATTTTGATATATCCGCACAATGGAAAATTATTCAGCCGTAAAATGGAATGAAGTATTGATACGTGCTACAACCTGGGTGAATCTTGGAAACATGCTAAGTAAAAGAAACCAGGCACAAAAACCGTATATTATATGATTGTGTTTATGTGGAATGTCCAAAATAGGCAAACACATAGGGGCAAAACAGATTAGTGATTATAAGGGGCTCGAGGGATAGGGCCGTGAGAAATAACTGCCAGTGGGTGTGGGGTTTCTTTTGAGGAATGAAATTCTTCTGCAATTGGATACTAATGATGCTTGTACAACCTCGTGACTACACTAAAAACCACTGAATTGTATACTTTAAAATGGGGAATTTATGGTATGAGAATTAAGAAAAAATGTTACTGTTAGAGGCTTGTTAAAAGAACTCAGGAGCCATCTTGAAGAGGCTCACAACTGATCTAAGATGATAGAATTTGAGCTTCAAAAATTACAATAATTGCAGTTGGTTGAAACCCAGCAAATATTTTAAGATCCATGAATTCATAATATTAAAAAGGGATTGTCACCTACCTCAGAATATGATAAAGAACAATTTATCTTGAAAATTTATCAATAAAGAAAAAAATGATAACCAATAGTAGTTGAGGGCAATTATCTTTTTTAGAAAGTCTTCTAATTAATAAAGATGAAAGAAATGATGGAAATAGAGTATCATTTTGCAATCCTCAATGAACCAAGATCTAAGTATCAACAGCTGTTACCACAGAAAGAAAAACAAGCAAGTATTATGTGCCGTTATAACCTTACCAAACACTACTTATTGTTTTGCCAAAGGGATTAAACCTGAGTCTGATCACAGAAAATGTAGAAAATAGAGGAACACATTAAACTGCACCAAGAGAATGTAATTACCAAAATGCAGGCTGTTGGAAACTCTCTTAGTCAAATGTCCCAGGTTCTTTAACAATCTAGAGGTTCCTCAACCTCGAGATTGAAAGAGATTTAAAAGACATCCAACTTTTTAATAGAGTGAGACTAAACTATAGTGTCTACGGATGTACTTTTGGGTGATAAAAACTGCCTATAGAAAAAAATCAGGAAAGTGGATAAATATTAAATAAAAGCATGGTTACTCTTGGCAGTAGAGAGGAGATTATGATGGGGGGGTGGGTACATAAAAGGGGCTTCCAGGGGCTTTTACTTTTGCTGGGAAAGTTCTCTTTCTTGATGTGGGTGGTATTTTTAAGATAATTTATTAAGCCATACATTTGATTTGTGTGGTTTTCTATATCTGTGTTTTATAATAAAAAGATTTTTTTAACTTGTAAAATTATTTATGTCCTTTATGTGCATAACTAATATATTTTTAAAACCTTAAAAATATGTATTTAAGCAAAATACAGATTTTATCCTTCTCACATAACAAAAAGTCTACATACAGGTAGGCAGTCCAGGGCTGATGTGTATTGATTCTGGAATATCTTCAGGGACGTTACAGAAATTCTATCCTATGCTTTTTTCCCCTGTTTGTTTATAAGAAGTTTTTCCTAAAACTTACATGTCTTATTATTCTTGTGTACTCTATATCTGGCATAATGCCTCAGGTACAAAAGGCATCAATGTTTATTGAATAAATGAAAGAATGCACTAGCTATGAGGAAGTGGTAACCATATTGTAGATTTTTCTGTGTACTGATGAAGTGTGCCGGAATACATAATAATTGGTCATTTGAAGATCAAATTTTATTATTTTATTTTACTCTAGTATTTTCAGCTTCATTATCTTTTGCTTGCATGTTCTAAATTCACTTTTTTCTGGGAAAGAATGGGGAAAAGATAAGGAAGCAAAGCAGAAAGAAAGATGCAGTGCAGTGTGCAGAGTTGTTGTTTCCAAAGCACATGGTGGTGATAATTCTATATAAAGGCATTCTCTTATCACCTGTCATTTTGTTTGGACTTTGTCAAAGGCCAATATTAGGCCATTATCAGAGTTCACGAGCTGGGTTGGGGGTAGTGGTGGTAGCGGATTTTACAAAGCACAGACAGGAAGCAGATAAGACTATAAGATCCTTTTGTAACCTTGACTAGTTTTCCTGTGAAAGGTCTAAATGTAATGATAGCATTTCCTTTGTTCTTCTCTCTAAGAATTGTTATGATAATGAATTTGTTTTTCACAGTTTAAAAGGTCTCTGTGTTTTTCTGAAATAATTATATGGACTCTGCCATTCCAAGCTTCACTCCCTACAATTTCCTCTTGATCGCCTTCATCTCTTGTTTACTGTCTTGTGTTTATTTGGTTTTTGGTTTTTTTGTTTTTTTTGTTTTTTTGGCAGCCTATGTGAACTATTTTTGTTTACCTGAGGATTAGTGTTTTAAGTGTACTAACAATGCTGGGATTTTTAATGTTAATAAGTTTGTATTCACAGGAACTGGTTTTTATAGACCCTGTGATATTTTAATCTAATCCATACCCGTTTAAACTTGGGTGTCCCTCCCTGCCCCAAATAATCTTGTAAAATGCTCTTGACATCTTTTGTCATGTCTGTTCACCTGTAATTTGGATTTTACTAGAACATGTACTAGTTTTAGAAAATGTATCCAACAGTTTTCACAGTATACTCTTTAATAGGCATTTTTGAAAACTGACTAAAATGATCCTGGGCCATCAGCTATCAACACTTTGTTTCCACAGTTAAACCACATTAATCTTGTATCATTTGTGTTTGTACCTTTTTCTATGCATGCTTTCTTTTTACTTGTCCATGGTTAACTTTGGCCAGTTTTTTATTAGCTATTGATGGGTCAGTATGTCTCCATCGATGATCTCTGATATTAAATATAGGGTTTTTTTTTAAAGTTCTTAAAAAAGTTTTTGTTCAGTTTGTCTTACAAATATTATTCTTACTTTGTACATAAAAGTTATTAAAATGTTGACTGTAGCCATTCCTTGCTATTCAGCAAGTTGTTTCAGTTTTAAAATGCTTTAATGGAAAACCTTTGGTAGTCTCACTTTTGTCTTTCCCTGGAAAAACTTCTCTCTGTGATACTATGTGATTATTTTTGAAGTGATAATGTTACTGGCAGTGAACCCATAGGAGTCTGCAGCAAAAATTGTTGCCTCCTCAGAAGAAAAAATTCAGCCAAGGGGCCTAAGGCAGAGTGAGAGACCAAGGCAAGTTTTAGAGCAGGAGTGAAAGTTTATTAAAAAGCTTTAGAGCTAGAACAAAAGGAAGTAAAGTACACTTGGAATTGGGCCAAGCGGGCAACTTGAGAGAGCAAGTGCACAGTTTGGCTTTTCGACTTGGGATTTTATAGGTTGGCATGCTTCTGGGTGGTTGCATTTCTCCTCCCCTGATTCTTCCCTTGAGGTAGGCTCTCTGCATACACAGTGGCCTGCTAGCACCTGGGAGGGGCTTCACGTGCAGTGTGTTTACTGGAGTTGTACACATGCTCACTTTAGGCATTTTTTCTTTACCAATCCAGTGTTCCTAGAGGAAGGTCATATAGCAGTTAAACTCTGCCATTTTGCCTCTTACTGCACCTGCGTGAGCTCACTCACCCAACTCCTGAGCTCTTATCAGGAAGCTGCCGATCACCAATTTCAGGTATTTCTATCTTGGGAAACTGCCCTTCCCTGGCACCACTGTGACCAATTATTATTTTAGAGAGAGAGTTTAACAACTTACCTGACCATCACCTGATGGTCGCCTGACATTCCTGGTTGGGGTTGGGCAGGGGAAGGAGGTTCTCCTGCTCTGCTTATGTCTGTCTGAATATCTACTATAACAATAAGAACATTTGTAGGAGCCTTAAAAATAACTTACGTTCCTAAAACATAAAGATGAAAAGATGCCAGAGGTAAAAATGAAAGCTTAGGATGTGTAAAAATGTTTTCTTTAAAAGAAAATACTGATTGGTAAATTGCTGAACCATCCAATTAATGCATCAATTGTAGGATGATTTTTATCCTTTTTACTGAAATGATCAGCATCTAGGGCCTCAGATCATGTTTCTGTCTTAGTTTTCTCAGCTTATTCATATAGCATTATTACTTGTTTTAATCTTATTCTCACTTATAAGGGGAAAAAATGAAGTCGTCTTTTTTTTTTCAATGTTTGACCTTGAAGGAAGCTTGCTTAGTTTTCTCATATTAATCTGTCTTTTGTCATAAGGGTCTGTCCCAACAACAAACTTATCAGGGTTAAAAAAAAATTTAAAGAAAATATATTTCCTCTCCTATCATAAAAACATAGTTTGCAAATTTGAGTACACAAGATTTTAAACTATTACTAATAATGGCATCTTGTGCCCTATTTTACTGTATCTATGATTAATTATTTTTTGACAGTTGAATATCAGCTATGTTCTTTGGGGATTTGAAGCAAATTAAATCTCCTTGCTAGCCCACTCTGGGGCACTTTTCTGAAGGAACTGCTTACCACGTGTACCATGTGCTTACCTTCAGAGGCCTAAGGATCTCTAACGAAAACTGTTCCAATGTAATTTCTTTCTAATAAATGGCATGGGAGTCTATAAGAAAGTTCCCGTAATGCCCTTCTGCTTATATGATGGTAGAAGTATGTTTTTTTTCACAAAATGTTTACAAAGCCATTATTATGTGCCAGCTCCTGAGTTAGTCACTGGGGATATAAAGATGAACAAATCACAGCTCTTACCCCAGATGTACTTTTAGCCTAATGGAAAAACAGGTATCGTTTTAAAACTATAGTAGAATATAATTAGCACAATAATAGAGATACCAAGAGCAAACTCTTACTTGCTAGAAAAGTAAAATAAGGGCATTCTAGAAGAAGAAGCATATTTAGCATTATAGGAAATTATGAAAGGCCCTCATGGAATAGTAAGATGTTTGGTGAAGCCTGAGAACAGGGTTTTAGGAAATAGTCAGAATGTTATTAAGAAACTGATTGCTTTTCATTTCAAAATTAAAAATTAAATATTTATGCTAGTTCTATAAAGAAACCGTTGTAAAAATATCAAAGACTGACAGTCATTGACCAATTGAGTCCTTGTTGACTGGTGTACTATGCTTGCTCAAATCACATGTGAAGAAAGTAGTTGCTACATGATATAATCTGAGGAAAGTTCAGAAGGATCCTGGTTCAAAACTGTCCTGCCCATTGTCCTTTTTTGGCACGTAGATGCTAATATTAAATAGCTCTATCTTTGCATTGAATTATCTATAAAGAATGTAAATGCTCTAAGGCAAGAGAGTCATTAGGTATCGTTCTTCCTTGTCACAAAGTTCTCTTGTCTAAAATTTCTGTTTGCTCTTTCAGCATTTTAGTGGTTAATATTTTTATAAAATATGGCTACTCCAACATTTAAGTACATAGCTTCCAAATGGTGGCAGGATGAAGTACCTTTTTTTTTCCTGTGCTCTGTAACATTTGATACATAGCTCTATTATTTTATGTTTTAACCGTTTATTTACCAGTCTTTCGTCTTCACTGAACTGTGAGCTCCTAAGAGCCTGTCTCATATTTCTTTATATCCATCCCTAGAATTTTATGATTGATGATATATCTCAGTAGTTCAGTAATAATGTAATAGTGGCAGAAGGGAAGAAAGGGGAAAAGAAAGGAGGAAGTTTGAATTAAAAGAGTTGTTTCTGCCAGGACAGTTCCCTCTTATTTGTTCCTTGCATAATTCTCCAGTTATTCTCTGTTCTTCTTCCCCACTGCTTGCTGCTCTACTCACAAGGCTCCTTTTGCTTCCTAATTCTTAAATTTAGAATTAAAAGTAGATAAAAACCAAGTCAAGCAGAACAGACATAGTCTAGGAATTTGGGTCATTGAAGGTTGGAAAAATCTGATGTTATTACCTCAGAGCTAGAAAAACAATTAGAATGTTCAAGAAGGAAGTAAAGATGCTGCACCTTTTTACACAGTTTTGGTTGAATTGGCCTTTTATGTATTTGAATTATTTTTAGTCATATGTGTTTGGTAATTGACTTCTTATATTTAGTCTCCCACATTGCTAAGCTCTATTTGTGTGTGTAAAATATATTTAATTCATGTCATACTCAGGGGGTTGAGTCTGTGTTCATAAGGACTAAACTACACCTCCTTTCAGATGCCCAATTTACCACACTTTTTACTTTTTTACTTAGAATACTTGCCATATCTATCATATGTGGAAATAATGCTAAATTTGTAACAGATAGTAAACATTACCTCTCAGTGATAAATTTGAAACTTTATATAAAGTTTTAGTTAATCCATGAAGTTAAGGATATTGTCTTTATTCACTGCTATATTCTAGTGTCTGGAGTATAGTACACAATAAATACTGGTTCAGTGAATGAGAAACCTCCTTTTTCATGACTTACATTAAGCTGTGACCAGAACTATACTGTTTTCCCCGTTGTGGGTTGGCCAGAAAGAACTATAATAAATTGTGCAGGGCTTTTTGAACTATATTCTGTTTTGAAACATGGTCTTCAGTTCCACTGTTTATCCATTTGAAAGCTGAGACATAGTCTTCTATTTGTGTAACATATCATTATTATTCAGAGAATGCAGGAGTCTGGAGAAAGTTCTTTTTTTCTTTCCCCAAAAAAGAAACAAATACATTTGTTAACATGTGGTGCAATGAATTTTAGAACTCTAACCTTTCAAGAAAATTGAGATCAGGAAGCCATCTTTCAGAATGTTTTACTCTTTGAATAATCAACAGGATGTATATGTATCATTGTAGTGAAATCGCTAGTAATTATCACTGGCATGTCTGTTTTTCATATTTTCTTCTCCCGTGTTATTGTGCAGCTTTGAATGGATGTTGGGCTACAGAAGGTGAGACAATTCAGTTATATAGAAAACTGATTTTGACTTACAAAATTAAAAGAAACTGGATTTCTCAATAGCTATGTAACTGTGAACACAGCAACAAACACTGCTACATAGGAATAAAAATCATTAATGTAATTTAAAATATTTGAGATTATTAATTATGTAAAACTTGCCAGGCACGGTGGCTCACGCCTGTAATCTCAGCACTTTGGGAGGCCGAGGCGGGCAGCTCACGAGGTCAGGAGATCGAGACCATCCTGGCTAACACGGTGAAATCCCATCTCTACTAAAAATACAAAAAATTAGCCGGGCATGGTGGCCCGTGTCTGCAGTCCCAGCTACTCGGGAGGCTGAGGCAGGAGAATGGCGTGAACCCAAGAGGCGGAGCTTGCAGTGAGCTGAGATCGCACCACTACACTCCAGACTGGGCGACAGAGCGAGACTCCATCTCAAAAACAATAATAATAATAATAATAATGTAAAACTTAAGAAAGCATGTGACATTTAAGAATAAAGAATTTAAGTAGTATTTCAATTAGGCTTGGGTAAATTGTTTTGTATTATACTATTAATTTTCTGGATAATGAAAAACTTACCCTTTAAGCACTAGAATATTGTTCCTATCTCATTTCTACATTATGAGACATATATCCTCTCAGTAAATATAGTATAGCATTGCCTCCCTTGACAATATCAACTGATTGTTTTTACTAATATGAGTAACGTAAAGTTCCTTACAACTGCAGGCCTCCCTTCTTCACAATTTATCTGATACTAAATGATACTGATTATGAATATTATTTTCTGATGAACTACTTGTAAATCGGTTATCCTTTTTTTGTGGGATAGGGCAGAGTGTTCAGATAAGAGCAAGGTGGGGGCCAGGCATGGTGGCTCATGCCTGTAATCTCAGCACTTTGGGAGGCCGAGGCGGGTCGATCACCTGAGATCAGGAGTTCAAGACCAGCCTGGACAACAAGGTGGGACCCCATCTCTACTAAAAATACAAAAATTAGCTGGAGTGATGGGGGGCACCTGAGGCAGGAGAATTGCTGAACCCGGGAGGCAGAGGTTGCAGTGAGCCGAAATCGTGCCATTGCACTACAGCCTGGTGACAGAGTGAGACTCCGTCTCAAAAAAAAAAGCAAAGAGGGACAAGTTTTTCCCCAGAGTCTTCATTTAAAAAGACTAGACTTGACATGACATACAGATTCTTCATAAATTTGTCTTTGGCCAAATTACTTGTAGGTCTGTTAATGCCATTTGCTTCCTCACTCTTCTGTCAGCTTTGAATGCTATGCTTTTCTTTTCTCCTTAACTAATGCATCTCTGTCAAAATCTACCTCAAGGGTCAGTCCCTTTAGGAAGCTCCCACCCCAGGTGGACCACGATAACCTCAGGAGTCATTAATAGGGTGGCAAAAGATTTACCTTCAGAGTAATATAGTATGACTGCTCATAGTCAACTTTGAAGATAGAAGGAAACCACAAGACAAGGAACGTGAGAAGTCACCAGAAGCTGGAAAATTTGATCACAGGACTTCCACAACAGTAAAATAATAAATTTGTCTTGTTTTAAGCCACCAAATTTGTGGTACTTTGTTATAGCAACCATAGAAAACTAATACATCCACAGACTTTAAAAAGTATCACTCTTTATTTTAAATAGTTTGACTCACAAGAAATAACTAAATTCATCCGGAGTCCCTATGTATGCAGTACCCACCTTCCTATAACAATATTTTACATAATCATAGTACATTATGGATACCAGGAACTGACATTGATACAGTATTATTATTTTATTATTATTATTATTGAGACAGGGTGCGTCTTGCTTTGTTGCCCAGGCTGGAGTGCAGTGGTGCAAACTCAGCTCACTGTAGCCTCGACCTCCTGGGCTCAGGCAGTCCTCCTACGTCAGCGTCCACCCAAGTAGCTGAAACTATGGGCACACACCACCATGCCTGGCTAATTTTTGTATTTTTTAGTAAAGACGGGATTTCACTGTGTTACCCAGGCTGGTCTCAAACTCCTGGGCTCAAGCGATCTACCTACCTCAGCCTCCCAAAGTGCTGGGATTACAGGCATGAGCCACTGCACCAGGCCTGGTACAGTACTATTAATTGAGGGAGGGAATGACACTTCCCTAAGTGTATCTTCTTGTATTATTTTGACTTCTGGTAGCATATTTGTGTCTTACATATATTAAAAAATTCAATTAGGATAAGAAGAAAGGAAAGAAAATATTACCTTAAAATTAAAAGCATATGTAAACAAACTCTACTGTCATTCAAATAATGTAACCACACTGAAGAGGGAAAAAAAACTAAGTTACTTTAGTAACTTATGAGTATTTGACTGTACAAACTCAGCTTTGGACAGTTTTGGGAAGAGAATTGCAAACAAATAGTGAACTCCATTTTCGTTTTTTTTTTTTTTTTTTTTTTTAGTTGAAATGGCTGAAACAATTCTGAAGCTCTTTTATGTGTAATACAGGATTTAGCAAATGAATAAGTATGTTGATGTTATTAGGTTCCAGCATTCTCAGTGGAAGAAGGAACATACAAATATGAATTGGGATAGTGAGGGATACCCTGTGGGGATGGAATGGAATTAAAAGTAATGGCATAGACTCAGGATTTCTCAAATACATATGCATGTATATGTTCTCATGTATGTATGTGTATGTATATATGTACATGCATATATTTCCTAGCTCCATCTATAGGCAAAAGTGGCCTAGAAGCAAAGTCACCCCAGTAGAAATGATCTAACACATGCCCTAACACCTAAAATTTTGGTCTTTGATACCATTTCTCACCAAAGAGAACCAGGACTCTTAGGAGAAATGGTTGGACTAGGGCTAGGACAGGGTAAGTACAATATGAGCCTGGAAAAATAAAAGAGCTCTGTCTCAAGGACACAGGAACTAAGTTAAAGGGCTCCTACTGCATAAATCTAGGACATGTTTAGCACCAGAAAAATTAAGGACAGTAGTGACTTACAGACTGTTAGGAAAAAGTAGATATTTATGAGTCCACACTGATAATGAATGAATGAATGAATGAGCAAGTAAGTAGAGGAAAAGGAGGACTCTGCTATGTAGAATGCCAAGTGCTGACTGGGAAATACAGAGTGAGTGCTGCATTTGGAAAATTATAATCATTATAGTAAAGATCTATTCAGGCAGAAATTATCAGTAGATGCTAAATCTAGCCAGGCATTTTGGTGAGAGATGAGATATTTACGTGGTCTTAAAGTGTCTTGATACAGATTGCTTTTTAGTTGCAGGAAAAATAATAAGTATTCATTGGAGAAATTGGACAGCATTGGACAAAATTTAGGAGACAAAATTAACATCACCAAAGACAGTACAAAGAGTTTAGCAAATCCTTTCCCCCAAAGAACCAGTATAAACTAGACAAAGTTGTTGAATACAACAATTTCAGGGCTCTGGAAATTGACCAAAAGCAAATGACAAATTTGGAAACATTTATTCATGCTAGAACTTTGTGTAAAAACAGCAGGAGTCTGCAGCATTCTTATCTGGTGGTTGCCCCCTCTCCCCTACATCCCAGCTTTGTCAGTGAGACTGGTAGTGGCAGAGTAGGGCTGGGTAGAAAACCAGCTTTGCTACCAGATGGAGTGGAATTTATTTGGGATGGAGGGCTAAAACCCATGGCATCATTATCGGTAAAAGTATTGAAACCAGTAGGAGATGAAAGGAGAAAAACGTCAGATGCCTGTCTGAATTACAGTCATAGTTGGGGCTAGTGGCACATCAGCCAGAAATTTAACAGAGAAATTGTGAAGAGGAGAAAGTCTTAGAAGAACTAGACAATGTCTCTATACATGCCTGGCTGCCTGGGAAACTATGCACATGTCTGAAACTGAAAGCATACTTAAAATCTGGCTAAACTATGAACGTGCTCCAACCCATGCAAAATTGGTCAGCAGTACGTAGAAGCTTTATTGGCTCAAGGTATTTGAGTACAACCTCTGCCCAAATTATGGACTGACCAAGTGAACCATGCAAACACAGGGATAACCCCTAGGAAGCCAAGCTAAACCATAAAAATAAAAAATTTTAAACCAGACATCAGCAGCCTAACATTACAAGCAGATTTTGCAGCTTAAAGCAGTGAGCACCCTCTCAAAGAAAAAAAAAAGCTTTCAGGAAAAAAATATAATTCAAATTTAGTGCAGTATATTATTTATAATGTCCAATTTTTACCAAAAAGCAAGAGGCATTCAAACAGTGAAGTGTAACCCATACTCAGGGGAAAAAAAAATAGTATTAACTGACTTTGAGCGCACATACTGGATTTAGCAGATAAGGACTTTAAATCAGCTGTTATAAATATGCTAAAAGAATTAATGGTAGCCATATTGAAAGAATTAAGACAAAATATAATGACAGTGGTCAAAAACCTAGGCAATTTCAGTAGTGAAGTAAAAACTGAAAAAGAGCCAAATAGATATTATAGATTGAACAGTATGATAACTGAAACAGGCCAGGCATCGTGGCTCATACCTGTAATCCCAGTACTTTGGGAGGCTGAGGCAGGAGGAGCTCTTAAGCCCAGAAGTTCAGGACCGGCCTGAGAAACATAGTGAGAACTCATCTCTACAAAATAAAAAACTAGCCAGGTGTGATGGTGCACCCCTTAGTCCCAGCTATGCAGGAAGCTGAGGTAGGAGGATCGCTTGAGCCCAGAAGGCTGGGGCTGCAGTGAGCTGTGATTATGCCACTGCACTACAGCCTGAGCAACAGAGTAAGACCCTTTCTCAAAATAAATAACTGAAACAAAAAATTCACTAGCTGAGCTTAACAGCACATTTGAGATGTCAGAAATAAAAATCAATAAAATTTGGTGAAAGACCAATAGAAATGATCCAATATAAAAAACATAGAGAAAAAGATTGAAATAAAAATAACAGATTCTCAGAGACCTTTGAGACAATAATACCTTTTAGGTACAGAGCATCTCCATTGGATGCATATGGGGGTGATTAGAAAAACGTATTTGAAGAAATAATGCTCAAAAACTTAGCAAAATTTGTTGAAATCATTAACCTGTAGACCCAAGAAGCACAATGAAGCCCAAGTTAACAGTAAAAAAATCCCCATGTAGACACAGCATGATTGTGAAACTGGTGAAAGGCAAACCCTTGAGAACAGCAAGAGAAAATAATTCATCTATATGAATCAATAGAACTATAATATTATTGCAGCGGGTCTCTCAACAGAAAGAACGGGAGCCAGAAGGCATTGATGTGACATATTAAAAGCACTGAAAGAAAAAAATACCAAACAAGAATTCTGTCACTGGCAAAACTGTCTTTCAGAAACAAAGATAAAATGAAGACATTTCCAAGTAAACAAAAACAGATTTATCGCTAGTAGACCTGCTCTATAAGAAATACAAAAGGAAGGCCAGGCGTGGTGGCTCACGCCTGAAATCCTAACACTTTGGGAGGCTGAGGTGGGTGGATCACTTGAGCCCAGGAGTTCACAACCAACATGGCGAAACCCCATGTTTACAGAGAAATACAAAAATTATCCAGATGTGGTGGTGTACACCTATGGTCCCAGCTACTTGAGAGGCTAAGGTGGAAGGATCATTTAAACCTGGGAGGCAGAGGTTGCAGTGAGCCAAGATCGCACCACTATACTCCAGCCTGGGTGATGGAGTGAGACTATGTCTCAAAAAAACAATAAAAAATAAAAACAAAAGGAAATCCTTAAGACTGCAGGAAAAAGAGACTAGTTAATAATTCGATTTCACACGAACAAACAACACTAGAAATGGGAAATCTGTGGGTAAATAGACTATATGTGTATTTTTTTATTTCTTCTCTTAGTTTTTAAAAAAGCATAAAGGAATCTCAAGCATTCCTATACACCACTAATAGACAAACAGCCAAATCATGAGTGAACTCCCATTCACAATTGTTACAAAGAGAATAAAATACCTAGGAATACAACTTACAAGGGATGTGAAGGACCTCTTCAAGGAGAACTACAAACCACTGCTCAAGGACATAGGAGAGGACAAAAACAAATGGAAAAACATTCCATGCTAATGGATAGGAAGAATCAATATCGTGAAAATGGCCATACTGCCCAAAGTAATTTATAGATTCAATGCTATCCCCATCAAGCTACCATTGACTTTTTTCAGAAAATTAGAAAAAACTACTTTAAATTTCAAATGAAACCAAAGAAGAGCCTGTATAGCCAAGACAGTCCTAAGCAAAAAGAACAAAGCTGGAGACATCATGCTACCTGACCTCAAACTATACTACAAGACTACAGTAACCAAAACAGCATGGTACTGGTACCAAAACAGATACATAGACCAATGGGACAGAACAGAGGCCTCAGAAATAACACCATACATCTACAACCATCTGATCTTTGACAAACCTGACAAAAACAAGCAATGGAGGAAGGATTCCCTATTTAATAAATGGTGTTGGGAAAACTGGCTAGCCATATGCAAAAAACTGAAACTCAACCCCTTTCTTAAACCTTTTAAAAAAATTAACTCAAGATGCCTTAAAAACTTAAATGTAAGACTTAAAACCATTAAAACCCTAGAAGAAGATCTAGGCAATACCAATACATAGGCATGGGCAAAGACTTCATGTCTAAAACACCAAAAGCAATGGCAACAAAAACCAAAATAGACAAATGGGATCTAATTAAACTAAAGAGCTTCTTCACAGCAAAAGAAACTATCAGCAGAGTGACAGGCAACCTACAGAATGCGAGAAAATATTTCCAATCTATCCATCTGACAAAGGGCTAATATCCAGAATCTACAAGGAACTCAAATTTACAAGAAAAAAACAACCTCATCAAAAAGTGGGTGAAAGATATGAACAGACACTTCTCAAAGGAAGGCATTTATGTGTCCAAGAAACATGAAAAAAAGCTCATCATCACTGATCATCAGAGAAACGCAAATCAAAACCACAATGAGATACCATGTCATGCCAGCTACAATGGCAGTCATTAAAAAGGAAACAACAGATGCTGGAGAGGATGTGGAAAAATAGGAATTCTTTTACACTCTTGTTGGGAGTGTAAATTAGTTCAACCATTGTGGAAGACAGTGTGATGATCCTCCAGTATCTAGAACCAGAAATACCATTTGACCCAGCAATCCCATTACTGGGTATATAGCCAAAGGATTATAAATCATTCTGTAAAGACACATGCACACGTATGTTTATTGCAGCACTGTTCACAATAGCAAAGACTTGGAACCCACCCAAATGTCCATCAATGATAGACTGGATAAAGAAAATGTGGCACATATACACCATGGAATACTATGCAGCTATAAAAAAGGATGAGTTCATGTCCTTTGCAGAGACATGGATGAAGCTGGAAACCATCATTCTCAGCAAACTAATACAGGAACAGAAAACCAAACACCGCATGTTCTCACTCATAAGTGGGAGTTGAACAATGAGAACACATGGACACAGGGAGGGGAACATCACACACCAGGGCCTGTCAGGGGGTGGGGAGGGTAGGGAAGGGACAGCATTAGGAGAAATACCTAATGTAGATGACAGGTTGATGGGTGCAGCAAACCACCATGGCACAGGTATACCTATTTGGCAAACCTTCACGTTCTGCACATGTATCCCAGAACTTAAAGTATAATAAATAAAAATATATAGAAAGCAATAAGTTTAACTGTTTTGCCGTTGTAACATATTTAAATGTTATATATGACAATAGGAACATATCCAGACCTCTGGATTAATGAGACAGTCCATGGGCAGTTCACCCTTGTGTGTGGTTTCCTTGAGGCATAAGATCGCAGTTCAAAAAGGGGATGTCTGCCCTGGAGCCTCTAGTCTAAATAAAATATCTCTACCCAAAAGGGCTATGGGACATTCTAGCAACACTAAAAATGAGTGAGAAAAGACAGTTCCCCCAGATAGGCAGCACAAAGGAGGAGTAAACCTCCTGGTTATGTGCACCGCATTTATCCCCATTATCTGGCAGGATTTGGAGGATAATTGCCCAGGAAAAGAGGTAAGCATTGAGAAGGCTGCTCCAGTGTCCAAAAGAAAACTTATAGTCCTACCTGCCACATGCAAAGCATTCCTTGGCTCTGTCCCTTCAATAGTGATGTTTGATCTGGGAGCCAGCTGGACTGTAGGCCCCCCTCAGCTCAAGACAAAGGATTCTCTCCCAGGAGCCCTCCAGCCCTCAGGGCAGTCCTATTTCCAGTTGCCAAGCTTGTGGTGGAGGGGGCAAGCCATGCAAGGCTTTTTCCCATCTGTCCCATTGATGCAGTTGGCCTTCCAGTGGCCTGGCTTCTCATACCAATGCAATTATTTGGGAAGATATTCCTAGGGCAAATTGGAGGGAGCTGGTGGACTTGTAAGACAGCCAATAGTTGGAGCTGCCACTTTTCCGTTTGCCTCTCCTTTTCCTGAGCCCTTTCTTCTTCCTTCTGGTCCTTGATGTAAAAGACCAAGGCAACTGTTTTGAGAACATCAGGCATAGGGGTATTGGGGCCCAGTGCTAGCTTTTGGAGTTTCCTCTGAATATCTGGGGCTGCCTGAGTTAGGAAACGGTCCTGTAGGACCAGTTGCCCTTCTGATGTCTCTGGGTCTAGGTTAGTATGTTTCACTAGGGCCTCTTGTAGCCTCTCTGTGAAAGTGATGGGGTTTTCAAGAGGGCCTTGATCTATTAAGGCCATTGTATTATAGTTCACAGCCTTTGTTCTGCTAGCTTTTATCCCTTCTACCAGAGGAACATGCGGTTTCTTCCCCATATACCTCCCTGGGTATTGTAATCCCAATTGGAGTCAACCGGAGGAACTGTGATGGCTCCTACAGGGTAGCCACCCGGGTCAGTCATATGCATTGGATTTGCAAATTGTTGGGCCACCTCCATAATGGAATCACTTTCTCCCTTAGACAGAATTTGCCCTAGTATGACTGAGAAATCCCTCCAAGTGAGTTCAAATGTTAATCCCAGTTTACAGAACCCTTTGATGTATTTGTCAGGGTCCTCCATAAAGTCCCATAGTTCTGTTGTAATTTGGCTCAGGCCTTACATAGTGAATGGAGTCTGGTTTCTAGTGGGTCCACTGGGGCTACTGACCTCTTGAAGGGGGCGTGACCTAAGAGGGTGGTGTCCAGAGGATAGCCCTGGATATGGAGGGGCTCCGGGCCTGGGAGACTTGAATATAATGAGGTAGAAGGGGCAGTGGGGTTTGAGCCGTCATCTTTTGCTCCTCTGGGGCTTGAAACCAGGGTAAACCCAATAAGGAGTGTCCCGAACCAGCCAGAGGGGGCTGCCTGACTATGGCAGCTATCATCACTAGATCCATTTTACAAGCCCAACAAAGGTCAGGGTTGTTTCATAGGGCTATGAAGGCCTGTACATAGGGGATTTCTATCCATATTCCCTGCTGGCGGCAAAGTAAATCTAGTTGATAGATCATATTAAAATTTTGGTTTTCTGTCCAAGATTCCTGGTCGTGGAGCTTGTATTCAATTCAGTCTGTGTTACAGAAAAATATTAGCCTTTCCCTTTTTAGGGTTTTGGAGTCAAACTTTTCCCAGTTCTTGAGAATGCATCTGAGGGGCGTGTTCTGTGGTATGAAGATGCAGTTACCCATCTGTGAAGAGAGAATAGATGAGAAAAAAAGAAAAAAGAAAGCGTCTTCTCTTCCTATTATCCTGAATAGGGCATCCCCTATTTGTCCTTAGGGTTCTGGAATGAGCTGATCTTACCATGTACCCTTAACTTCGGTACGCCCTTTTCACAGAGGAGATACCAGAGAGAACAGAGAGCCCTCTCCTGTTCATCCGTGCGGTTCCAGAATGAACTGGTCTTACCACGTACCCTTAACCTTGCCTTCATCTCTGTTATAATGATAATCTGTTAACCCGAGACCAGCCTTCATGTCTGTCGTATGGGTCTCTTGTGCCGACGGCCTTGGGCCATCCTATATTCTTGCCTCCATGACCTTCCAGTGACTCTCAACTTGGAGCATTCTTGCAACAAAATGATTATCCCTTTTCTCAGATTCCCATTTCCTTTGTTCTCTAACTAGACAAGAAGCTTGATTTTCAGCTAACTGCTGCAAGGGGGCTGAACTTCCCTCCCTTCAAATATGACCTTGAAGATTTTGATCAATATTGAGAAGGGCATGGAAGTGATTAGAGAAATGGAAGCTCCAGGAGGAAGTGGGAGGAAGCCAGAGGAATAATCATGGAAAGCCTTCTTATGCTTCCAAAAACAGCATCCCTTGGATTTGAGAGGGTAACATTTATTTGTCTTCTTAACATAAAGTGGTAACCTCTGGAGGACTTAGGGCTTGATGTAGGAACTCACAAATGGGAAAGGAAGAATTTCCCCTCCTCCCGAAGGGGTGCTAACTCAAAAAAAGCAAGTAAGTGGGGTCCTTAAAGGGCTAGAATGAGGCCCTATGTGGGTGGAAAACTACTTCAAAAGCCACCGGAAAACTCAGCCCTGGACCGTAACAGGAACAAAAAGCATATGGTAAGTCATAAGGAGCTGACTGGGGATCCAATTAGTGTCTGTCCTGGCAATGTACCAACAGACAGAGGCAGGATTAGAGGTCATCTGAGCTGGTAAGGTAAAAACTAGTGTTAAGTCTCTAGATAGCCACAAGGGAGCCCATGTTTTTGCTGCTGCACAAATTCAGCAAGAGCTGAGGGTGTACAAATAACAGTTACATGGCATGCAAAGTGAAAGCAAAAGAGGCTGACTTGCCTCGAGGTGGACGGTCCGGAGGGTGTACAAGGCCATTTCAGAATACATACAGAGAAAACAGGAGAATAGGTGGTGTGGGTTTTTGGAAAAGAGCCAATTTGAGTTGAAAAAGCAGAGGAAACCCCAGACATTGCATGGTTTTAGGCTTTAGCCCTACCACTCTCATGAACCTCTTGTCTAGGAGAGCCATTGTGTCTCAGGTCAATGATCTTACCTGGGAAGGACTCCAAGGTCCTTCCTACCCCTGTGAGCTACCGTACATCAGCAGGAGCTGAGAGATGAGCTTGAGGAACAGAGCCACTGTGGCCGAGAAGAATTGTTCTGGGGGTTGGTTAGTAAGCAGAAGAATGAAAAGAGCAAACGAAACTGTGTACAGGGGTTAAACACCTCCAGCCAAAGAAGTTGAGGCATAGAGATGTCTTACCACTGAGGAAGCATATTTGAGTCACGTGGCACCAAAGTATGTTAACATTAGGGAATGTATCCAAATCACAGCACCAAAGTATGTTACCGACAGCAAATCCATAGAGGTCTGCAGCAATCTCAATTCTTGCTTCTTCAGAAGAAAGAATTCAACCAAGGAGCATAAGGCAGAGTGAGAGACCAAGGCAAATTTTAGAGCAGGAGTGAAAGTTTATTTTAAAGTATTAGAGCAGGAATGAAAGGAAGTAAAGTACACTTGGAAGAGGGCCAAGCAGACAACTTGAGAGATCAAGTGCACTGTTTGAGCTTTGACTCGGGATTTTATATGTTGTCATGTGTCCGGGGTCTTGCATCTCTCCTCCCCAGATTCTTCCCTTGGGGTGGGCACTCCGCATGCACAAAGGCCTGTCAGCATTTGGTAGGGGGCACATGTGCAGTGTGTTTACTGGAATTGTACGCATGCTCACTGGAGGCTTTCTTCCTTTACCAGTCCAAATGTTCCTAGAGGGTCATATACCAGTTAAACTCTGCCATTTTGCCTCTTAACTACACAGGCATGAGCCCGCTCGCCAACTCCTGAGATTTTATCAGGAAGCTGCTGATCACCAGTTTCTGATGTTTCTGTCTGTTGGAAGACTGCCTTTCTGTGGCATCAGCTATGACCAATTATTATTTTAGAGAGACAGTTTAATAATCACCTGACCATCACCTGATGGTTGCCTGACATTCCTGGTGGTGGCATGGGGGTGGGGGATCCTCTCCTTCCCTGCTCATGTCTGGCTAGCTACCTGCTGTAACAGTGAGACATCAGTCAATATGCATAAGATGTACATTGGTTGGGTCTGGAAAGACGGGACAGCTCAAAGCAGGGGAGGGGGCTTCCAGGTCATAGGTATATAAGAGACAAAAGGTTGCATTCTTTTGAGTCTCTGATTAGCCTTTTACTGAATACACAATTTACATGTGAGAGGAAGATAGAGGAATAGTCACTTAAGCTTTAGTCTGGCTTAGTGAAACAATAGGGCAGAGGAAGAAATCAGATATGCATTTGTCTCACAGGAGTACAGGGATGACTTTGAGTTTTGTCTGTCCTTTGTCCACAAGGAATTTCCTTGTGGGCAGGTTGTGAGGGAGGTATGGGAGGTATGTAGTTTGTTTTTTTTTTTTTTTTTTTTTAATTTTTGTAGCTATCTTACTTAGGAATAAAATGGAGGTTGGTTTTCCTGGTGCAGTTCCTAGCTTGACTTCCCTTTGGCTTGGTGGTTTGGGGGTCCTGAGATTTATTTTCTTTTCACAGCTATATAATCATTGTGCACCTTACTACCCTCACTCAATATTATACTTGGGAGAGTTAGTCATGATAATACATACAATACTAGCTCATTCATTTCCACTGTTGTTTAAGTGTACCAAAACCTTAGTGGGTTTTTAAAATTCATGTTAAAGCCAAAAGAATATTTTTTGCAAAATTTGTAGCATTTATTCTTGTGGATTTAATATGAATTTTAAAAACCACTTGAAAATTGTATTTAGATTTCTTTAATCATTATTTAGTTTTTTTCCATTATTCTAGAAACTATCTGGAGGGTAGATTTGAAGGGAATAAGGACTGGATTAGGAAAATCACTTACGAAACTATTACATTAGTGAAAATGAATGAAGATTAAAATCTGAACTAAAAATTCTGATGTATCACATGGGATAAGTTGGAAGTGATAAGAGGGAATAGCAATTAATAATAGACTAAGGAAATTTGCATGTCACATGAAGAAATAAGCTATGATAAAGGGAAAATATAGTATTTTACCTTGAGAAAACAAATGGGGACTCTTGCTTTACCGGGTGTGTATGATTAAAGTTGAAGTGATATAAAGAAAGATAATTTGGTTCAGTAATAAACAGGAGAAAATAAGAAATGATATATATAACTTCAATTTCATAAGTATGTATATCGTATTTTCTAGAGTTGCCACTAAAAAAATAGAAAAAGAGTTTATAAATACCATACTAACAGAGGGGATGAAAGAAGAGACAGGAGAAATTGAAAAGAAGGAAAAAAGAGAAGATAGAAAAAATAAAAACCAGGCCAGGCGCGGTGGCTCACACCTGTAATCCCAGCACTTTGGGAGGCCGAGGCAGGTGTATCACCAAGTCAGGAGAGCAAGACCATCCTGCTTAACACGGTGAAACCCCGTCTCTACTAAAAATAGAAAAAATTAGCTGGGCATGGTGGCGGGCGCCTGTAATCCCAGCTACTCAGGAGGCTGAGGCAGGAGAATGTCATGAACCCGGGAGGCAGAGCTTGCAGTGAGCTGAGATCGTGCCACTGCACTCCAACCTCGATGACAGAGCAAGGCTCCGTCTCAAAAAAAAAAAAAGAAAAAAGAAAAAGAAAAAGCATAAAATAAGATACCACATTTATCTCTATATATAGTGTATATCTCAATAATTACAATAAGTATAGATGGATTAAATGAAATAGTTAAAAGACAAAAGTTGTCAGACTGGATTAAAAATATTTCAGTTACAGTCTCTGATTTATGTTCAATTTAAGATTTTTCAACTTTACAATGGGTTTATTAGGACGTAACCCTATCATTAAATTGCGGAGCATTTGTGTATGCTGTTTACAAGAAGTAGAGAAAGGTTGAAATTAAAAGATGAGAAAAGATATAGTAGGCAAATTTCAACAACAAAGCTGGTGTGGTATTATTAACGTCAGACAAACAGACTCTGCAGGGGTTAGTTTTTAGAACAATGCTAGCATTCTAAAACAGGAACCTAAATACAGGCCTTAGAGATGAAATTGAAAAGAAGGTAATAGTGTTTCCAAACAACTAATATGTTCAATGAGTGTTACCTGATTTGAAGAATAAAGGCAAAACTGAAAGTTTGGGAAAACAAATACTCATAGATTATATGGAATTTACAGTTTAACCAAGTATTTTCCTTCAGAGAGTCCAAAATTACTGGCTTTTTCTTTCCGTGTATACTGTCTATGATTGTTGACAACACATATAAAATTAAATGCATTTGTAAGTCCTTGCTCTTATGTTTTCAGGAATTCAAAATGTCCTCAGCCTCTTTTGTGCAGTCCTCACAGAAAATAAGGTTCTCTTCCATTCTGCAAGTTTCCAGAGACTTAGTGATGCTTGTAGAGCCCTGGAATCTTTAATGTTTCCTCTTAAATATAGGTGAGGTTTTCATTTGTTAATTTTATTTATTCCTAAACTACATATCACTTATCGTTGATAAGTCATAATGTTATGGCACAATGGTTTTGAACCACATAGGGATATTTTACAAAGTTATGCTGTTATATGAGTCATAGTTCTGATAAAATCTAGTCTAGAATTTGAGACTTTCCAAGTTGTCCATTACTGAATGTTGATTAGTGTAAAAATATTTAATTTGAATAGTATTGTCAGCAACTTTTAACACAATTGGCATAAATGTCTAGTCAATGCTATTTGATATTAAAGAATTATTAATTTTTAGAAGTTATAATGATAGAGATTCTATTAATAAAAAGCTCTTATCTCTCTTAGATACCCACTGAAGTGTATTATATGGGTAAACAATATGACATCTGGTATTTGCTTGAGAATAATACAGTAGAGAGAAAAAAAGTGGGTAGAAATATATATGTAGCCGTGCACTGGTAATTCTCAAAGTTGACAATTACTGCAGGGCTTCGTTGTAATTTTTTCCTCTGTTTTTTTTATGGGATATGTTAAAATTTTTTTCCTAATAAAAACTAAAAAACAAAATAAAATCTAAACAGTGATGACTAATAGTGCTGTAACTAGAATATTATACCTCTAATATACTGTTTAATCAATTGATAATCATAACATCTGGGAAATTAGTTCATATAAACTAGATAAAATTTTAGACTCCAGAATTTCTTTAAAAAAATTTTTTTGGCCAGGCGCAGTGGCTCACACCTGTAATCCCAGCACTTTGGTAGGCCGAGGCGGGTGGATCACGAGGTCAAGAGATCCATACCATCCTGGCTAACACGGTGAAACCCCGTCTGTACTAAAAAAATAGAAAAAGCTAGCCGGGCATGGTGGCAGGCGCCTGTAGTCCCAGCTACTGGGGAGGCTAAGGCAGGAGAATGGTGTGAACCCTGGAGGCGGAGCTTGCAGTGAGCCGAGATCGCACCACTACACTCCAGCCTGGGCGACAGCGTGAGACTCCATCTCAAAAAAAAAAAAAATTTATTTTTAATTTAGGTGCTTTTCTTAACTTTTTAGATAAGGTAATTATTGGCCCCCCCCTTTTTTTTGCCATTCTTATTGAATGCAAAAATCAAGTATAGAAAGTGGAATTTGAATGCTTGTTTTGTATAGATAAATCATTGCCTCATACTGAGAGGGGAGGCCCTATCAGAGAGTCAGTGTTACTGTCTAATGTCGGGTTTCTATGTAAGGAAAAATGCTTTCAAACAGTACTAGAAGACCTAAAGAGACTGCTTGCCTAGAAGAAACAAAGGTTAAGGAAGCAGGCTTGGATTCCATTTATTTTATGTCTTATATCTGATTGTATCTTTCACATGAAGATTTTTAAATCATTTTTTCCAAAATTTTAGTATTAAAAAGCATGAAAACATTATTGATAATTTCTAAACATAGGTAATATAAAACTTAACACAGCATAAAGATGAAAGAAGATATGTTTATGTTAAAGAAAAATATATTTGACGCATATTTTTATTATTTCCAGTTATCCTTATATCCCTATTCTCCCGGCTCAGCTACTGGAAGTTCTAAGTTCCCCAACGCCTTTCATTATTGGAGTACATTCTGTCTTTAAAACTGATGTCCATGAACTTGTAAGTATTCATCTTTAAAGTTTCCAGTTATTGAGTCCAGAAGTTTATCATATTTCTTTGGGTCCTATAACATTTCAACTCATCACTATTTTCAGATCTGTAGCATTTCCAGTAGAAAAGATTGGATAGAAGAAAAATATCATTGAAAAGTCTGTATATTAATTTTGCCATATAGCAAGTATAGGAGGTTTTATAAAGGAATTTATTAATATTTTTAAATATCCCTCTTTTGGTACATTGTTTATCTTTATTATTCATCTTACATATGACAAAAGATAAAATTCTATTTATACTTTTGATATTAGTGCATAATTGTTTTATATTTTGAAGTGAGACGTGTCTTGATACCAAATTCCTGATAACTAACAAAGCAGAAAGCATATGCAAAAGAGTGAAGAGTTTTAGTGGAACAGAAGTTTGGTATGAGCTTCCACGAAATTTTTGTATTCTTAATGCCATATGAATAGAAGAAGCAAAAGTATACTCTATATTCAAGCCAGTTCTGGAATAATTCATTTAGTTCTGTGTATCACACTTTATGAGGGACTGTAACAAAATAAAGCACATCAGAAAAGGACATCCAGGATTATCAAGTATTTAGAAACTATGTTCTGTAAGGGCCTAAGGAAATTTTCTCAGGTAATAATCTGATACTATTTGATAGGTAAAAGTAAGTATTTAAGTTACTGTCATAGAAGAAGGGTTGAGATTCATTTTTTGTAACTCTAAAAGGCTGAAATAAAATCAGTGGATGAAGTGGCTATAGAAACAGATTTCTGCCCAGTAAAAGTGTTTCCAACAATTAGAACTGCCTGGTTATGGAATGGATTTCCTTATGTGAGATGAGGAGTGTACTCTCAAGCACTGTAAGTAGAGTGTAAGGAAAAGATTATGTGACACTTTTCAGAGAGCCTGAGAAAAATTCTTCACTGTAAAGTTAGGCTGCATAGCATCTATGATCCACAGATCCCTAAGATTTTGTAATTCTTCTTCTGTTTTAGTTTTAAATGCCAGCAAAGAAGTAATTATAGTTGTAACCAAATCAGAGGTGTCATTTAAACTAACAAAATATTATTTAACATTATAATTATAAGCAGGACTTTCATTCGTATAGTCATCATTCTTTCTAACTTTATATGTTGATACTTAGTTCCTATTTAATTTTGGTATCACTGTATAAAAATATGTGTAAATCAATAAACATTTAATAAAACCTAATTAATACTAGTTAGAAGCATATCCACCTGGTTTGTACATAATTTTATTTCTGCTAAATATAAACAGTCACTGGAGGCCAGGCACGGTGGCCCACACCTGTAATCCTAGCACTTCGGGAGGCCAAGGCAGGCGGATCACCTGAGGTCAGGAGTTTGAGACCACCCTGGCCAACATGGAGAAACCCTGTCTCTACTAAAACTACAAAAAATTAGCTGGGTGTGGTGGTGCATGCCTGTAATCCCAGCTACTCAGGAGGGTGAGGCAGGAGAATCACTTGAACCTGGGAGGTGGAGGTTGCAGTGAGTCAAGATTGCACCACTATACTCCAGCCTGGGCGAGAGTAAGACTCTGTCTCAAAAATAAATACATACATACATACATACATACATACATACATACATACATACATACATACAGTCACTGGAGGTAGGACCAACCAAGTGTTGCCAAATAAATAAAAACAGTCGCTGGAGGTAGGACAAACCAAGTGTTGCCAAATGCAAATTTCTTAAAATCGTAATGAATAAATTAGAATGAAGTATAATATTGTCAATATAACAACTTCACTCATCTTGGTTGTTTTCTCTTACACTTTTATGTAAGTTATTTTTAAATAGACTTTTGTAAAATGCTAAAGATCAGCTTTTTCTAAGTGGCTAAACAGCACCCTTTTGATGTATACTAATTGTTAATTCTTATAATAAATACTAATTTTTTTAGAATATTACTAAACTACTTGAATAAAGTGTCTCAAATGCAATCCTCTGTGCTTGCTGCAGCAGCATATATAGTAAAATCAGAACAAAATGCAATGGCTCAAACAAAATAAAGTGTTATCGAACATTCATGCAGCAGTCCATAGAGATGTTCCATTATGCCAGACCAGTTTGCTCTATGAAGTCACTCAAGATCCAAGTTTCCTTCCTTCTTGTTTCTCCAACAGAATCCTCCCAGGCATTGTCATCATGTGTATGCTGAAGGCTGGTTTGCTGCCAGTTAATAATTTCAGTCTAAGGGAAAAGGAAAGACAGCATAGGAGAGCTTTACATATCCCCTGTCTTGAAGGACAGGAAAACACATGTCACTTCTCATGTTTTATTGGCAGAATCTTAGCCACATGCCACACTTAATTTCAAAGGAACCTGGGAAATACAGGGTAGGTGGGAACTTGTTAGCCCAGAATTCTACTACTATGGACAAACAAGAGTCTCTTCCACATCTGATTCTTCTCGTTTTGAATTAGTCAAGGGAAAAATAATTTGCTTAACAACAAATGTATTTTGGTAATTATAGGTTAATTTTTTTATCTCTTTCAGTTAGATGTAATCATAGCAGATTTGGATGGAGGCACTATTAAAATTCCCGAATGTATTCACCTCTCTTCCCTCCCAGAACCACTTCTACATCAGACTCAATCAGCTCTTTCTTTGGTATGACATATTTTTGTAATAGTAACTTTCTCTTTATTTAAATCTGAAGCTAAGATAGCTAAAATTAAAAATGTTTGTCAATGCAGTTTGTTACTTTAATTTAAAGAGAGCTATATATTTGAAACATGAACATAATCTCATACAGTATTTAGAATTCTTCATTTACTAGGTAGTTATCTAAAGCATATATTTTGGATCCTAACTGAATATTTGTTCTACATTCCTTCCTTCATTCAGCATACAGGACCTAGTACTGTCCTAGGTATTGGAAATTCACCTTTGAAAACAAGGCTCTGCCTTGAAATCCCTGATTCCCCTAAGATCCCCCATTAGATGTTGGCTTCTCTTCTCTAACCTCCCTATTGGCATCTCATTCCTCTTTGGTACCTACAAAACACTGTAATATTGTCTTGCCAATACTTTCAGGTTATTACAGAAAGATGTGTCATATTGATACATAAAGTGTCCAAAATTCATTCTTTTTTTTTGAGACGGAGTCTTGCTCTGTCGCCCAGGCTGGAGTGCAGTGGCACGATCTGGGCTCACTGCAAGCTCCGCCTCCCGGGTTCACACCATTCTCCTGCCTCAGCCTCCCGAGTAGCTGGGACTGCAGGCGCCCGCCACCACGCCCGGCTAATTTTTTGTATTTTTAGTAGAGACAGGGTTTCACTGTGTTAGTCAGGATGGTCTCGATCTCCTGATCTCGTGATCTGCCCGCTTTGGCCTCCCAAAGTGCTGGGATTACAGGCGTGAGCCACCGCGCCCGGCCCAACATTCCATTCTTAATGCCATATGAATAGAAATACCAAAGAAGAAGTATATGCTACATTCAAGCCAAATAAAGCTTTAAAAAATCTTGTGGCTTGGGTTTTTCTCATTGAAACAAATTTAAATTTTTTTGCAGTTATTTTACCTTAGCCAAATTTTGAAAACAGTATTTTGTTTTACTGATAGCCTTTTAGGTGCTTATGATCAGAAAATTGAACTGTAGAAATTCTGCATTGCTTTTCAAGATATCACTAGAACTAAGGCCTTAATAGTCTACTTTAAGAATATTTTATTCTGGGCTATTTAAAACATTTTTTCCCCTCTTAAATAGAAACTTAGAAGCCTAGGATTACCAGGAGGGATTTTATTCTCAGAAAACTTTCAAATTTGTGTTAGTCTTTTTGTTATCATGGTGGTATCTATGAAATGGGAACAGTTAGAGAAGACTGACTTTTCCTTATATAATTTGTAATCTGAAATGCAAGATGTGATAGAGTGCAAAAGACACTAGTGTGGGATACAGGATACCTGAATTCCAGTCTGTGTTCTGCCACTTGGTATTATTGAGAATCACATTTTTATCTCTAGGCTGTCTCCTGGTCTTTACCTGTAGGTTGAATGTTTTTACAGAGATGACTAGGTGATTGTTTGCCAAAATGAAGCATGGTGATGATTTGGGGTAATATGTGGTCAACCTTTTTTATTTTAATAATTATGTTTTTATTATAATGTGTACTTAAAATAGCATATAGAACCTGTCATTGCTCAACTATCATCTAAGAAAATACTGGGTTTAAGAAGGCGAGTTTGGCAGGGTGCGGTGGCTCACGCCTGTAATCCCAGCACTTTGGGAGGCCGAGGCAGGCAGATCACGAGGTCAGGAGTTCGAGACCAGCCTGTCCAACATGGTGAAACCCCCATCTCTACTAAAAATACAAAAATTAGCTGGGCGTGGTGGCGCACGCCTGTAATCCCAGCTACTCAGGAGGCTGAGGCAGGAGAATAGCATGAACCTGGGAGGCGGAGGTTGCAGTGAGCCAAGACTGCGCCACTGCACTCCAGCCTGGGTGACAGAGCTCGACTCCATCTCAAAAAACAAAATAAACAAAAAAAGAAGGTGAGTTGATTTAAAGACAATTTAAAGAAAAATATTAACTACATAATTGCATAGATGGTATATGGATATAGCAAAAGCTGAGAAGGTAGTATTTGAATGACTGAAGAAAGTTTAATGTTTCTAGAATTCCTACAGTGATTAAATCTTATGTGTGGTTACTTACTAGTGATATGAATAGTTATTTAGGGGTTAAGTAGCAAAATTAACAAAGATTAAGATTGTACTTCTTAAGCCAATGGCTCCTGGTAAGGGTTCTGCTGCATACTCGTATACCTAAACCTGCAACACCCGTGCCACCAAATTTGATCAATGTGTAAAATTCCTTTTTGGTAAAACTGAGTATACGTATTGTTATAGTTACTAAGCACAGTGGTGGATTAGATACTACTTAATGTACTGTGAATAAGAAATAGGAGCATACGGCCGGGTGCGGTGGCTCATGCGTGTAATCCCAACACTTTGGAAGACTGAGGCGGGCGGATCATCTGAGGTCAGGAGTTCGAGACCAGCCTGACCAACATGGTGAAACCCCGTCTCTACCAAAAAAAAAAAAAAGACAAAAAATTAGCCGGGTGTGGTGGTGCACACCTGTAATCCCAGCTACTCAGGAGGTGAGACAGGAGGCTCACTTGAACCCAGGAGGCGGAGGTCGCAGTGAGCCGAGATCACGCCGTTGCACTCCAGCCTGGACAACAACAGCAAAACTCTGTCTCAAAATAAAAAAAAAAAAAGAAAAGAAAAAAAGAAATAGGAGCATAATGTATTGTCAAACTAGACCAAAAAGAGACTAAATTTCATGGATGATTGGGAGCATTGACACACAAGTATATAAGCTTTGTTTCATTCGTAAATAATTATAATCAAATGGCAACACTGTACTTAAACTGTGTAATATGGATTATTTTGTAGACACTAAGATATTTTGTACTGTGGTAGTGATTCAGTGACTTGAACTGCCAATATTTTAGTGTTGCCTTTAAGTGTTGCTTTGAGTCTTTTGGTCTATTCTCAGCATAGCATCAAAAATCTTAGTAGTTGAAAATGATTCTGCAAGAAGAAAATTTGCTACATACTGATATAATTTCATCTTCTCTGTGCAAGTCCTTCACAGGTCCTTCTTTCCCAGATGCTCCCCAACCTGCTTTCCTTCAAAGCCTAACTCAAATGTTACTTTGTTTTTTGTTTAGTCTTCCCTAAGTTGAATTAATTACACATTTCATGTATTGCACTTTATATATTTTTGCACTTCTGTGACATAGTTTTATACTTTCACCTGTCTAGACTGCAAAGTTCAAAATCTTATTTTCTGTCTCCTCAGTAATTTTTATTTTTTTTTTTTTGAGACAGAGTCTTGTTATAACTGTCGCCCAGGCTGGAGTGCAGTGGTGCGATCTCAGCTCACTGCAACCTCTGCCTCCCAGGGTCAAGCTATTCTCCTGCCTCAGACTCCCAAGTAGCTGGGACTACAGGCATGTGCCACCATGCCTGGCTAATTTTTGTATTTTGAGTAGAGACAGGGTTTTACCATGTTGGCCAGGCTGGTTTCAAATTCCTGACCTGAAGTGATCCACCCACGTTGCCCTCCCAAAGTGTTGGGATTACAGGCGTGAGCCACTGCACCTGGCCTCTCCTCAGTAATTTTTAATTACACTTAGAAACATAAAAACAAGCAGCTGTTTTTAAAAATTCAACTATATAGACAAATAGCTCTGGCCTAGATTATTCCCTTACCAGAAATGACTACTATTTTATAGTTTAGTGTATTTTTTTCAGAACTTTTCATTTTCATATATATATATATATGTACATATATAGATTTAGGGTTTATTTTGTTTTATTTTCAAATAAATTAGGCCATACTATGTGTATTTTTCTAGAACATGTTTTCTTTTCTTTTTTTTTTTTTGAGATGGAGTCTCGCTCTGTCGCCCAGGCTGGAGTGCAGTGGCGCAATCTCGGCTCACTGCAAGCTCCGCCTCCCGGGTTCACGCCATTCTCCTGCCTCAGCCTCCCAAGTAGCTGGGACTACAGGCGCCCACCACCACGCCCGGCTAATTTTTTTGTATTTTTAGTAGAGATGGGGTTTCACCGTGTTAGCCAGGATGGTCTCGATCTCCTGACCTCGTGATCTGCCTGCCTCAGCCTCCCAAAGTGCTGGGATTACAGGCGTGAGCCACCGCGCCCGGCCGAACATGTTTCAACTGAATATTTTGTCTTGGAGATCTTTCTACAATAGTACATATAGAACTACCCCAGCTAATTGAATTGTATTCATGGAGGGAATATATTATAATTCATATGCTGACATTTTCATCTTAATGTCTCAATAATAGATTTCATTGATATTATGATATTTTACATAACAAAACTTTTTTGCTTTAGATTTTACACCCAGATTTGGAAGTAGCAGATCATGCTTTTCCTCCTCCACGAACAGCTTTATCCCACTCAAAAATGCTGGTAAGAAGTTTAATATTTAAATTTAATGCTGTTAAAGAGAGCTGTATTTTTATTTATAGGGTTGTTAAAGAAGCTAAGTGAAGTTAGAGTTAGATGGACAGCAGAGTAAAAAGTGCCCCAAATTAGAAATTAGGATACTTGCCGCTGACTGTCCTTATGTCCTGCTCAAGGAGGAGCCACAGGGAAGTTCACTGGGCAAGAGGCCACTAGGGCTAAGACTGTTGCCCTGAGGAGGCATGAGTTAAGTGTAGGACAGAAAATCAGAGCCTAGATTATAGCCTGGAAAACTGTGCCAAGCATCAAATTGAAATGGCCACACAAGGATTCAAAACAAAAGAGATGCTTACAAGAATGGATATAAAGAATGTTGGTTATAGGAGAGAATCAAGTTTGAAGAGTCTGTGGATGAAAATAGTTTCAATTAGAAGCCATAAAAGGTTACGTATATAACAGAGGCCCCTTTTTTATTTTGCTCAGTGCATTTCTTAGCAGTGGGCTTTGTAGCCAATAAGGAACCTCAGGGAGCTGAACACATATACTTAAGCATTCTTGACCTTCATTTCCTGATCAATTAAGTAAGGCATTGACTAACAGAATCTGTAAGTTTCCTTACAGTTCTAAACTGTGATTCCAATAAAAGCTGGATTAAATACAATCTTGAGAGTTTTTTCTTCTTATGTTTGGTTGTGACTGTAATTGTTTTGGTGGATATAAAAATCAAAGGACTTGGAATATATGCCCTTTTCACCTTTTTGACTTGATATTTCATTTGTTTTTAAAAAGTTAAATTACCTAACATTTCTTCTTATATTTTTAGGATAAAGAGGTGCGAGCCGTTTTCCTTAGATTATTTGCACAACTCTTCCAAGGATATAGATCCTGCCTGCAACTTATAAGAATTCATGCAGAGCCAGTAATACATTTCCACAAGGTAAGATAGAGTACTATATTGTATCTGTCCAAAAAATATATTCTAATTTAATAAAACTACTTGGTTTTTTTTCCGAGCCATTTATTTTGACCTTGATTTATCAAATGTGATTATTTAAAATCTCTGTGTGGTTAGATATCAGTTCTTAATAATAATATGGAACTCATAATATCTTAGAATATGTTAACTTTAAATCAATTTTTCTTTTAAAATTGAATGTTAATTTCTGATTTCTTCTCCTGACATGTAGACAGATTCATTTTTATTCTTTTCAATATATGTAGTATTTCAGAATAACTCTCTTTGAGAGAAATATATTTTATGACAGCATATATTTATACATGAAGGGATTTATATAGGCTTTGATCTTTTTATTGTATTTCTGTTTTGACCATTTGTCCGTTACCAAGTGATAAATTATTATTTCACATTTTCTTTTTTCACAGACAGCATTCTTGGGGCAGCGTGGTTTGGTCGAGAATGATTTCCTCACTAAAGTACTCAGTGGAATGGCATTTGCAGGTTTTGTTTCAGAAAGAGGTCCTCCTTATAGATCTTGTGATCTCTTTGATGAGGTATAGCTCTTATTAAATGAAGGCATTATTTATAGACATAATTAGACTAGTAGTTAAAAGTAAAAAGTAACATTTTCCATATTTATATAGTCAAATATAAATTAGGTATTAAATAATCCCAATGTTATTTATTATGCTTATCAAATCTCGATATTTTAATGTGGATTATAAAAATTACAAAAAATTATAAGATGCCTTGGAAATACATATAATTTTTGAACAACTGAATTTTAAATAATTGAACAATGTATACTACTCAGGTGATGAGTGCACTAAAATCTCAGAATTCGCCACTATGTAATTCATCCATGTAACCGAAAACCACTCATACTCCAAAAGCTACTCATATTTTAAAATATTACATTTTAAAAAATGGTTGTTTAAAATATTTTTGAAAATTTAATAGTGATTGTATAAATAGAAGTCTTATTTTTAAAGGCCCTAATACAGTAATTCTTTTGTCAGTGTTTTAGGGAGAAAGGTCTAATTTGAAGCTAAGATAGCTGAAATTACTTCAAACTGGAGTTACATTTAGTCTATCAAAATCATAGAGCCATAGTTTAAGTTTGTGGCATTCTCACTAATCAATTATCAACATTTCTCTACCTGTCTTAGGAGACATTAAATATATGGAAGACAAATTTTTGTCTCTATCTTCAAGGAATTAGCCATATAAAGGGAGAAATAGGGCAGATGTGACTCAAAATAAGGATGCTGTTTTGCATTTATTGTGCTCTTTTTTAAAAGCATCTTTCCTTTTATCATTTAACTCTATATTCACAGCAGCCCACTCTGGTGGATAGAACAAGAATATTATTCTCATTTCAATTTTTGAAAGAGTACTATATTAGAACCAAAAATGTAAAAAGTTTCTTGAAATCTATAAAAGAACAACACTCCTAGAACCCAAGATATTGGAGAATCGTGGCAGTGATCATGTTTTGCTTCTGGTGATTTTCTTTTATATAGAGAAGGTAGGAATCAAGGTCTTAAATATCTTTGGTTCAGAGGAGAAGGATCTTTTATTTTTTGTAAAGATAGTGAAGTATTCACAGGTAAGAATTTTTAAAGAAGAGGCACATATTTTAGTTCTGTGTAGAATATGTTTACTGCATCAGATGCTTTAATTAAAAACACAAAGCATATGAAGATTTAGGAAACATCCTGAGGTGGACAAGTTTTTCTAATCAATTATTGGTCATTGATTCTCTAATATTACCATCTAATATGATTGGTTATTGATTCTACTAACATATCAGCCTTTAGATTCTGTACTAAGTAATTCATAACATAATATTTTATGGGATTAAAATAGATGCTCTCCAAGGTCTTTTCTAGCACCTACATTTTGTTAGTCTTTGAAGCTTTATGAATAGTAACATTGGTTTATATACTCTTTCTTTTCTATTCAAATTTATCTTCCTCTGACAGCTTCATCACAACTAAAAAGTGAGATTAGTTACTTGCAGAAAACTTGCTTGCCACAGCCTCTATTTTTGTAGGTCTTTCCCTTGCTTGGAGTGCCCTCCTCTGTTCTTCATACTCTGCTCTTATCTCACCATCTCTTCCAAACTCTCCCAAAGTCGTTGACTCTGAGAGCCACTCGACTGCGTTAGGCTTCATTTTGTCTCTAACTTTATATGGTAACTTATTTTTTATTTATTTATTGTTTGTACAAATATAGTCTAGATTGGAAACAATGATAAGGCAAGGACTCTGTCCAAGGTTCCTACTGAGTCACCCCTTAGTGTTCATCCAGTTCTCTGTTTGGCCTACAGTGGTGACTTTGGGTGTCTTACTTATGTTACTTGACTGCCAGCTAATCATATGTATGTATCAGTCAAGAGCCTAAGAAAAATGAGCCATCAGAACTAAATAATTTCTCATTCTACCCTCTTTGGCCGTTTGCATGGGAATGCTTTGGTAGAAAAATAGCATTTGCTCCTGGGAAAGTGATCCTTGTTTTCACTTAGCCTGAGGCAGCCTACCACAATGGGGTGTTATGGGGGCTTTGAGAGGCAGCTTGCATTGTGCATGGCCTTGTCCTCACACTTCCATCAGATAGATGTCTTAGAATGAAAAGAATGTTTGCCCTTGACAGTCTTTCTTTATCCTAGCCTAGAATAGGTAAGCCATAGTTTTATATGCCTATGCAGTGAGTCTATTAGTTCCTAGAAGAATCCTGTATTGTACCTTTTTATTTTTGTCATCCATCTATTTACCCCCCCACAATTTTTTTTTTCTGTCAGCCTTCTTTTCTTTACCCCTAAGTATACAGACTCACACAGTTCTCCCAGTAAATTAGTTAATAAAGAGATAGTTTGAGAACTAGAAGGAGTCTAAGGGTCATCTTGTTCTTCCATCTTATTTTAGAGATGAGAAAACTGAAGCTTAGGAGTTTAAGTGCCTTGTCCCAGATCACACACTGTCAGCAGAGCTAGGACTAGAGTCTGAGCATCCTGACTTGAACATTTGGTTCATGTTTTGTGAGTTAAGGAAATGTTTAGACACTTTCTGACTGTCTGAATTTCTCTGACTGAGGCCTGTGGAATGACAGGGTCTCTCTGAGTTCCAGAAATGACTTTTCCCTAGAAGAAATAGGGCCCTAAATCCTCAGGGAGGAACCACTAGACAATTCAAGGGTTTGATTGACCCTGTAACCCCAGAATGGAGGTGAAACCCCAAAACCTGAAATATTTTGTTTTAAAAATAATGTATATGTTGGATTTTTTTGGCTTGCAAATTGTATGAAATTATCACAGTTTTTGAATTTGGCATATTTTGGAATTGATGTTTTGCCATTTGATTCTTTTTCCTAGTTGGTAGCCTTTGAAGTAGAGAGAATTAAAGTTGAAGAAAATAACCCAGTGAAGATGATAAAGCATGTCAGGGAACTTGCTGAGCAACTATTCAAAAATGTAAGTAAGTATATTTATTTAGACAGTCATTAATTTTATTTATTTATTTATTTTTCCGTAAGTTATTGGGGTACGGGTGTTACGTGGTTACGTGAGTGAGCTCTTTAGTGTTGATTTGTGAGATTTTGGTGCACTCATCACCCAAGCAGTATATACTGCACCATATTTGTAGTCTTTTATCCCTCGCCTCCCTCCCACTCTTCACCCCAAGTCCCCAAAATTTATTGTATCATTCTTATGTCTTTGCGTCCTCATAGCTTAGCTCCCACGTATCAGTGAGAACATACAATGTTTGGTTTTCCATCCCTGAGTTACATCACTTAGAATAATAGTCTCCTATCTCATCCAGGTTACTGCAAATGCTGTTAATTCATTCCTTTTCATGGCTGCACAGTATTCCATCGTGTACGTGTGTGTGTGTATGTGTATGTATGCATATGTATATATATATATATATTTGGCACAGTTTCTTTATCCACTCATTGATGGGCATTTGGGTTACTTCCGTGATTTTGCAATTGTGAATTGTGCTGCTGTAAACATGCATGTGCAAGTATCTTTTTCGAAGAATGACTTCTTTTCCTCTGGGTGAAACCCCGTAGTGTGATTGCTGGATCAAATGGTAATTCTACTTTTAGTTCTTTAAGGAATCTCCACATCATTTTCCATAGTAGCTGTACTAGTTTACATTCCCAACAGCAGTGTAGAAGTGTTCCCTGTTACCACATCCACTCCAACATCTACTGTTTTTTTATCTTTTGATTATGGCCATTCTTGCAGAAGTAAGATGGTATCGCGCTGTGGCTTTGATCTGCATTTCCCTGATCATTAGTGATGTTGAGCATTTTTTCATATGTTTATTGGCTATTTGTATACCTTCTTTTGAGAATTGTCTATTCGTGTCCTTAGCCCACTTTTGGATGGGATTGTTTTTTTCTTACTGATTTGTTTGAGTTTGTTGTAGATTCTGGATAGTCGTCTTTTGTCAGATGTATATAGATTGTGAAGATTTTCTCCCACTCTGTGGGTTGTCTGTTTACTCTGCTGACTGTTCCTTTTGCTGTGCAAAAGCTCATTAATTAGGTCCCAGTTATTCATCTTTGTTTTTATTGCATTTGCTTTTGGGTTCTTGGTCATGAAATCCTTGCCTAAGCCAATGTCTAGAAGGGTTTTTCCAATGTTCTAGAATTCTTATAGTTTCAGGTCCTAGGTTTTAAGTCCTTAATCCATATTGAGTTGATTTTTGTATAAGGTGAGAGATGAGGATCCAGTTTCATTCTCCTACATGTGGCTAACCAATTATCCCAGCACCATTTGTTGAAAAGGATGTCCTTTCCCCACTTTATGTTTTTGTTTGCTTTGTCAAAGATCAGTTGGCTGTAAGTATTTAGGTCTATTTCTGGGTTCTCTATTCTGTTCCATTGGTCTATGTTTTTATACCAGTACCATGCTGTTTTGGTGACTATGGCCTTATAGTATAGTTTGAAATCAGGTAGTGTGATGCCTCTAAATTTGTTCTTTTTGCTTAGTCTTGCTTTGGCTATGCGGGCTCTTTTTTAGTTCCATATGAATTTTAGAATTGTTTTTTCTAATTCTGTGAAGAATGATGATGGTATTCCGATGAGGATTGCATTGAATTTGTAGATTGCTTTCAGTGGTATGGTCATTTTCACAATACTGGTTCTACCCATCCATGAGCATGGGATGTGTTTCCATTTGTTTGCATTGTCTGTGATTTTTTTCAGCAGTGTTTTGTAGTTTTCCATGTAGCGGTCTTTGGACTCCTTTGTTAAATATATTACTAAGGATTTTAACTTTTTTGCAGCTATTGTAAAGGGGTTGAGTTCTTGATTTGGTTCTCTGCTTGGTCGCTGTTGGTTTATTGAAGAGCTTCTGATTTGTGTACATTAATCTCAGATCCGGAAACTTTGCTGAATTCTTTTATCAGTTCTAGGAGCTTTCTAGAGGAGTCCTTGGGGTTTTCAAGGTAAATGATTATAACCGTCAGCAAACAGTGACAGTTTTACTTCCTCTTTACCGATTTAGATGCCCTTTATTTCTTTCTCTTGTCTGATTGTTCTGGCTAGGACTTCCAGTACTATGTTGAAAAGGAGTGGTGAGAGTGGGCACTTGTTCCAGTTCTCAGAGGGAATGCTTTCAACTTTTCCCAATTCAGTATTATGGTGACTGTGGGTTTGTTATAGATGGCTTTTATTACATTAAGGTATGTCCCTCGTATGCCAGTTCTGCTGAGAGCTTTAATCATAAAGGGATGCTAAATTTTGTCCAGTGCTTTGTCTGCATCTATTGAAATGATCATTTGATTTCTGTTTTTTATTTTGTTTATGTGGTGTATCACATTTATTGGCTTGTATGTTAAATTATCCCTGCATCCCTGGTATGAAACCCACTTGATCATGGTGGATTATCTTTCTGATATGTTGTTGGATTTGGTTAGCTAGTATTTTGTTAAGGATTTTAGCATCTGTGTTCATCAAGGATATTAGTCTGTAGTTTTCTTTTTTGGTTATGTCCTTTCCTGGTTTGGGTATTAGGGTGATGCTGGCTTCATAGAATAAATTAGGGAGAGTTCCTTCTTTCTGTATCTTGTGGAATAGTGTCAAAAGGATTGGTACTGGTGTTTCATTGAATGTCTGATAGAATTCTGCTGTGAATCCATCTGGTCCTCGACTTTTTTTTGTTGGTAATTTTTTAATTACCATTTCAATTTTGCTGCTTGTTATCGGTCTGTTCAGGGTATCTAATTCTTCCTGATTTAAGCTAGGAGGGTTGTATTTTTCCAGGAATGTATCAATCTCTTCTAGGTTTTCTAGTTTATGTGCGTAAAGGTGTTGCCTTGAATGATCCTTTGTATTTCAGTGGTGTCAGGTGTAATATCTCCAGTTTCATTTCTTAGTGAGATTATTTGGATTTTCTGTCTTCTTTTCTTGGTTAATCTTGCTAATGGTCTATCAATTTTATTTATCTTTTCAAAGAACCAGCTTTTTGTTTCATTTATCTTTTGTAATTTTTTTTTGTTTCAATTTCATTTAGTTCTGCTCTGATCCTGGTTATTTCCTTTCTTCTGCTGGGTTTAGATTTGGTTTGTTCTTGTTTCTCTAGTTCCTTGAGGTATGACCTTAGATTGTCTGTTTGTGCTCTTTCAGACTTTTTGATGTAGGCATTTAGGGCTGTGAACTTTCCTCTTAGCACCGCCTTTGCTGTATCCCAGAGGTTTTGATAGGTTGTGTCATTATTGTCATTCAGCTTGAAGAATTTTTTAATTTCCATCTTGATTTCATTTTTGACTGAATGCTCATTCAGGAGCAGGTTATTTAAATTCCATGTATTTGCAGGTTTTGAAGGTTCCTTTTGGCGTCAATTTCCTGTTTTATTCCACTGTGGTTTGAGAGAGTGCTTGATAAAATTTCAGTTTTCTTAAATTTATTGAGGCTTGTTTTATGTCCTATGATATGGTCTATCTTGGAGAAAGTTCCATGTGCTGTTGAATAGAATGGGTATTCTGTGGTAGTTGGATGAAATGTTCTGTATATATCCATTAAGTCCATTTGTTCCAAGATGTAGTTTAAATCCATTGTTTCTTTGTTGACTTTCTGTCTTGATGACCTGTCTAATGCTGCCAGTGGAGTATTGACGTCCCCCACTATTATTGTGTTGCTGTCTATCTCATTTCTTAGGTCTATTAGTAATTGTTTTATAAATTTGGGAGCTCCAGTATTAGATGCATATATGTTTAGGATTGTGATATTTTCCTGCTGGAGAAGGCCTTTTACCATTATATACTGTGCCTCTTTGTCTTTTTTAACCACTGTTGCTTTACAGTTTGTTTTGCCTGATATAAGAATAGCTACCCAGCCAGGCGTGGTGTCGCACACCTGTAATCCCAGCACTTTGGGAGGCCAAGGCAGGAGGATCACCTGAAGTCAGGAGTTTGAGACCAGCCTTGCCAACATGGTGAAACCCTGTCTCTACTAAAAATACAAAAATTAGCCAGGCATGGTGGCGAGTGCCTGTAATCCCAGCTACTTGGGAAGCTGAGGCAGGAAAATCACTTGAACCTGAGAGGCAGAGGTTGCAGTAAGCCAAGATAGCACCACTGTATGCCAGCCTGAATGTCAGAGCAGGACTCTATCTCAAACAAAACAAAACAAAAAAAAACAACTAAAAAGAATAGCTACCCCTGCTCGCTTCTGGTGTTCATTTGCATGAAATGCCTTTTTCCACCCCTTTACCTTAAGTTTATGTGAGTCGTTATGTATGTTAGGTGAGTCTCCTGAAGGCAGCAGATAGTTGATTGGTGAGTTCTTATCCATTCTTCAGTTCTGTATCTTTTAAGTGGAGCATTCAGGTCATTTACATTCAATGTTAGTATTGAAATGTGAGGTACTGTTGCTTTCATCGTGCTCTTCGTTGCCTGTGGGCTTTGGTTTTGTTTTTTGTTATTGCTTTTTAACTTGTATTTTTGTTTTGTAGGTCCCGTGTGATTTATGCTTTAAAGAGGTTCTGTTTTGATATGTTTCCAGGATTTGTTTCAAGATTTAGAGCTCCTTTTAGCAGTTCTTGTAGTGGTGGTTTGGTAATGGCAAATTCTTTCAGCATTTGTTTGTCTGAAAAATGACTGTATCTTTCTTTCATATATGATGTTTAGTTTCACTGGATACAAAATTCTTGGCTGATAATTGTTTCGTTTGAGGAGGCTGAAGATAGGGCTCCAGTCTCTTCTAGTTTGTAGAGTTTCTGCTGAGAAATCTGCTGTTAATCTGATAGGTTTTTCTTTATAGGTTACCTGTTGCTTCTGTCTCATAGCTCTTAAGATTCTTTCCTTCGTCTTAACTTTGAATAACCTGATGACAATGTGCCTAGGCGAAGATCTTTTTGCAATGAATTTCCAGGTGTTCTTTGTGCTGCTTGTATTTGGATGTCTAGGTCTCTTGCAAGGCCGGGGATGTTTTCCTCAATTATTCCCCCAAATATGTTTTCCAGGCTTTTAGAATTATCTTCTTCCTCAGATACAGCGATTATTCTTAGGTTTGGTCATTTAACATAATCCCAGACTTCTTGGAGGCTTTGTTCATATTTTCTTACCCTTTTTTCTTTGTCTTTGTTGGATTAGGTTAATTCAAAGACCTTGTCTTCCAGCTCTGAGTTTCTTTCTTCTACTTGTTCAGTTCTATTGCTGGGACTTTCCAGGGCATTTCCCATTTCTAAAAGTGTGTCCAAAGTTTCTTGAATTTTTTATTGTTTTCTCTTTAAGCTATCTATTTCTATGAATATTTCTCCATTCACTTCTTGTATCATTTTTTGGATTTCCTTGCATTGGGCTTCGCCTTTCTCTGCTCCCTCCCTCATTAGCTTAGTAACTAACCTCCTGAGTTCTTTTTCAGGTAATCAGAGATTTCTTCTTGGTTTGGATCCATTACTAGTGAACTAGTGTGATTTTTGGGGGGATGTTGAAGAGCCTTGTTTTGTCATATTACCAGGGTTGGTTTTCTGGTTCCTTCTTATTTGGGTAAGCTCTGTCAGAGGGAAGGTCTAGGACTGAAGGCTGTTGTTCAGATTATTTTGTCCCACAGAGTGTTCTCTTGGTGTAGTACTCTCCCTCTTTTCCTATGGATGTGACTCCCTGTGAGCCGAACTGCAGTGATTGTTGTCTCTCCTGGATCTAGCCACCCAGCGAGTCTCCCTGGCTCCAGGCTGGTACTGAGGATTGTCTGCACAGAGTCCTGTGATGTGAACCGTCTATGGGTCTCTCAGCTGTGGATACCAGTGCCTGTTCCGGTGGAGGTGGCGGAGGGTGCAGTGAGCTCCATGAGGGCCCTTAGCTTTGGTGGTTTAATGCTCTGTTTTTGCGCTGGTTGGCCTCCTGTCAGGAGGTGGTGCCTTCCAGAAAGCATCAGGTGTAGTAGTGTGGAGAGGGACCAGTGGTGGGCGGGGCCCTTGAACTCCCAAGATAATATGCCCTTTGTCTTCTGCTACCAGGGTGGATAGGGAAGGACCATCAGGTTGGGAAGGAGCTAGGCCTGTCTGAGCTCAGATTCTCTTTGGGCGGGTCTTGATGTAGCTGCTGTGGGGGATGGGGGTGAGATTCCCAGCTCACTGGAGTTGTGTACCTAGGGAGATTATGGCTCCCTCTGCTGAGTCATGCAAGTTGTCAGGAAAGTGGGGGAAAGCCGGCAGTCACAGGCCTCACCCAGCTCCCACGCAAACAGAAGGGCCAGTTTCTCTCCCGCTGTGCCCCCCAGTAGCCCTGAGTCTGTTTCCAGGCAGAGGGCAAGACGGGCTGCCAGACGGGCTTGAAAACTTGCCCGAGGCTATCCGCCTCCCAGCTGTGAAAGAAAAGTGCTTTAGTTCTTCCCCTGCCTGTGAAGTCTGCAACCCGGATTTGCAGCCCCCACCACCCCCGGGGCTTCTCACCCCATTCAAATAGTTAAAAAGTTCAGCTAGAGAATTCCTTCTCCCTGTGGAGTTTTACCTGCTGCTCCTCTGGCCACCCTTCTGAGGGATCCCTGTGGTGCCAGGCAGGAATGGGCTGCTTTGGGACCCGGCAAGCTCCCAGGGCCTTTCTGCTGCTTTCTCTACCCCTGTATTTCGCTTGGCTCTCTAACTTGACTCAGCTTTAGGTAAAGTCGGAAACTTCTCCCACAAACAGACCTTCAGCTTCTCCGGTGTGTGTTCGGGAGAGGAGGGTCTCCCTTTCCCACTTAGACAGTTGGGGCACTCACAGTATTTGGGGTGTCTCCCGAATCCCGCAGGAGCAGTTCACTTCCTTCCGAGGATCTGTGGTTCCTCTCCAGATTGCTGGTTTGTTCTTGCAGTTGATCTAGAGCTGAAACTCACAATGCAAGCCTCCACATGCTTCTCTGTCTGGAGCTGCAATCTAGTCCTGCCTCCCATCTGCCATGATCCACTCTATTTAGACAGTCATTAATTTTAAAAATATACTGTTAAATAAAGTATTTTGTTCACAGAACTAGAAAGCTTCCTGTGATAGTTTTTTTGCTCTGGATTGTAAATTATGAGATATTACAGTTGGTACTGTATATCAAAATAGACCACATTTTTCAAAGTAATTTTCCTGTCAGTCAGTGTGTTATGAAAACATGTTAGTCACAATTTTTTCAGTTAGTCATTTGCCCTCATTATGGTTTTCATTTGGGTCTCTTGTAAGACATAAAGATTAGACTCACTGGAGACCAGAACCACCTCAGACAGAACCGACCAGTGTCCTCTGCTTTGGCTTGGCACTGCGGTTGTCAGCTGGTCAGGAGTTGCATTGTTTTGAACAGAGGGAGCGAAAAGCTGAAAGAAAAAAAGCAAATTGACAAGTGACCACAGAAACACAAGGATGAAAATATTCCATGGATAGAGGAAATGCAGTAAGTTAAAAGGACTCGGATGTGATAAAGTGTGAAATAACTATTTGAACACCAGGAAAGAAAAGAGCATAAAATGACAGAGATTATATTCATATGGAAAAATGGATTTGGGCTAATGAGTGTTCCTTATTTCTTCTGCTGTGAAGTTTTGAGTCCTAAGAAAAGTAAAGTAAGTCGGAACTATAGTCCTCCAGGGAAAAGTTGAGGGAAGATGTGATTTTTTTTCATTACGATTAGGTCCTGACTTTAGTAAACAAAAAAATATTCTGGAAGACAGAAATGTAACATTCGATACTGTTTCTAATCTAAACATTGTCAAAGTAGAAATTTTCTTTTAATTTGTGGTTCTAACATATACTTTATCTGTATAGCAAATAACTTCTGCAAAGACAACTCAACCGATCTAAATTTAAAGCCATATCATTGATTTAAATATAATATTGGCATCCAAAGATTAAAATATAATAATGGTTATACATTTTCTCATTAGTCTTTTCATAAGGGAAATATAGAATTGAACATTAAAATCTTACTAATAAGATGGTGGTTATTGGTTGTATATCTCTTGAAAAAATAAAAGAAATTATAAATCAAGTAAACTTTTGTTTTTGCCGATTTCAAACGTTTTTTAAATAATTTCAACTTTTATTTTAGATTAAGGGGCACATGTGCAGATTTGTTAGCTGGGCTTAGTGTGTGATGCTGAGGTTTAGGGTACGATTGATGCCATCACCCAGGCACTGAGCAGAGTACCCAGTAGTCACTTTTCACCCCTTTCCCTACTCCTTTCCTCCCCTGTCTAGTAGTCCTCGGTGTCTATTGTTGCCAGCTTTAATGAGTACCACTTATTTAGCTTCTGGGGAAGATGTATTTTTAAGGAAATAGTGAAGAAGAATTCAGGGTCAGTATCTTGACTCACAACAGGTATTGTTTAATTTAGTGATTTGACTAGATGGACCTTTTTGGACACTGGATTATTAGTCAGTGCTTTGTCACATTCATTTGAAATTTGAGAACCAATTGGATACAAGCAGGGATACTAAAACATTTGTTTCTTTATGTTATTCCATTATTTCTGAGTTTTAAGTTCTACATTTAGAATGTGATCTTTCTTTGAGGGAATAAATACTTTTTTGAAAGAGAACAAAGTAAAGTTCAGAGGTTTCATATTAAAACAAAAAAATCCATCTTTTATGAATTATGCTTATCTAAATTTTGGTAAATAGAAAATTATTGCTGGGCGCAGTGGCTCATGCCTGTAATCCCAGCACTTTGGGAGGCCGAGGCAGGCAGATCACAAAGTCAGGAGATCGAGACCACAGTGAAACCCCATCTCTACAAAAAATACAAAAAATTAGCCGGGCGCGGTGTCAGGCGCCTGTAGTCCCAGTAACTCCGGAGGCTGAGGCAGGAGAATGGCGTGAACCGGAGCTTGCAGTAAGCCGAGATCTCGCCACTGCACTCCAGCCTGGGCAACAGAGTGAGACTCCGTCTTAAAAAAAAAAAAAAATTCTTAAGTTCTGTTTTATCAATTGCTAGTGGTTCATTATAAATTCTGGAAATAGATATGGTCTGCCAGTAATATTAAGGGAGCAGTAATATTACTAACACATGCAGAAATCATTAGCCATAACATTTCTTGTGCCTGTTAAAAGATGAATTTAGGCTGAGTGTGGTGGCTCATGCCTGTGATCTCAGCACTTTGGGAGGCCGAGGCAGGAGGATTGCTTGGGGCTAGGAGTTCGAGACCAGCCTGGGTAATATAGTGAGACTCCATCTCTACAAATTTTTTTTTTTTTTTTTTTTTTTTAATTACAAGAGGCTGGGTATGGTGGCTCATGCCTGTAATCCCAGCATTTGGGAGGCTGAGGCGGGCAGATCACTTGAGGTCAGGAGTTCGAGACCAGCTTGGCCAACATGGTGAAATCCCGTCTCTACTAAAAATACAAAAATTAGCCGGGCATGGTGGCACGTGCCTGTAATCCTAACCATTTGGGAGGCTGAGGCAGGAGAACTGCTTGAACCCGGGAGGCAGAGGTTGCAGTGAGCCGAGATCACACCACTGCATCCAGCCTAGATGACAGAGCAAGACTCTGTCTTGAAAAAAAAAAAAATTACATGTGGTGATGGACACCTATAGTCCTGCCTGTTCAGGAGACTGAGGTGGGAGGATTGCTTGAGCCCAGGAGTTCAGCCAAGGAGTTTGAGGCTGCAGTAAGCTATGATTGAGCCACCGTACTCCAGCCTGGGCAACAGAGCAAGACCCTGTCTCAAAAAAAAAAAAAAAAAGATGAATTTAATTTCAATTTTAAATTACTTAACACAGAAGTACTTTAATTGACTGTTACTTGTAGATTATTAGCTTCTTTACTAAGAAGCAATATTTTCAGATTTCTAAATACATCACACATTAAATCATAATACTGGTTTAGCAAAAGTATAAATAAATTATTTTTCTGGCAACTTGCATGCCAAGATCTGTTACTTTAATTTATTGACTGATCACATTTTTAGTTATTTATAACCATGCCTGATATAATAAATGTGTTTCCTGATTAGTATACTAAAACTTAAAAAAGAAATCTGGTAGAATTCTGTTAGAAGGAAAACTTGTGTTGTATGCTGGTCTTTGCCACTTATAGTGGCTGTGTAGAAGTAATTACAGCATGATCATATGAGAAATTTCTTTTGACCTATTATAATAATAATAAATATTGAGTTCATGTATAAACATACTGCTTTTCTTTCCATGCTCAGTTGATGATGCAGGAGTTGGCCCACTTTGGCTTTCAGAATCTTCAGTGTCTGCATGAGAGCAGTTAGCTATATTGTGCCAGGCATGGAATTAAGCACTTTACATACAATTATCTCTCATCCTCATAACGACAATGTAAGGCAGGTGTCATTATCCCCATTTTAGTGGGGCTAATTGGCTCAGAATCATATGACTCTTAAGTGATTAAATCCAGATTTTAAATTAGGAATTTTCATCTATTCATTTCCTAAGCCTATGTTCTTTCACTATAAGGCTGGATCGCCTCCAATAGGAAAAAACGATGTTTCCAGTAGTTGACTTTACATGTTGTTCTTTTTGTTTGTTTGAGACAAGATCTCACTCTGTTGCCCAGGCTGGAGTGCAGTGGCACAATCTCGGCTTACTGCAGCCTCGACCTCCTGGGCTCCAGCAATCCTCCTACCTCAGCCTCCTGAGTAGCTGGGACTACAGGCGTATGCCACCACACCCAGCTACTTTTTTTGTATTTTTTGGTGGAGACGGAGTTTCACCGTGTTGCCCAGGCTGATCTGGAACTCCTGGGCTCAAGGGATCCACTCGCCTCGGCCAAGGAGGTCGAGGCTTGAGCCCAGAAGGTTGAGGCTACATTGAGCCGAAGTCCTGCCACCACACTCCAGCATGGGTGATAAAGTGAGACCCTGTCTCAAAAACAAAAACAAACAAACAAAAACAATCAAACAAACAAAAACATGGACAATCCCTATTCTTTAAAATTGACACTTTAAAAGTGATCATCGTGAAGTATTATTATTAAGAGATTATATTACTAGGTAAGAGCCCTTCAAATGTCTTCTACATTTCATAGGCCTTATTGGAAATTTTTTTCACAATCTAATTATATTTCATTTAATTTAATAAATTCTATTAGTTAAGTACTTATTAGTGCCAGGCATATTCTAGGTACGTAATTCTCCTAATATCCTTCAGAAAAGGATACACAGACATGACAAGTAAGAATTTGTGACTGTCCCAGTGGATTGTCATTAGATTGTCTGAGATTCCTTCTAGTGCTAAGATTCTGAAGTCCGTGATGACAAAATCATCATTCATGAAGTAAATACTTTATAAAGTTAAAAAACAGAACATGATAGTAAAGTTACTTTCTTAGGTTATGCAGGAAATTGGGGGAAGGGAGGCAGGATGGTATCAATGCGAGGAAAATAATCCACATGGTTCTATTTTTAACTAGTCAGTTGTTGTTTTTTTAATCACATTTCTAAAATTCCCTTTTGATAAGCAAGAACCAGCCATCTAATTTGACTCTTTCCTTGTTATTGGGTTGGAATTGAGACCTGGTGATTCCATTCAGATGTTTGTAAATACTTTATTGCACTGAAGTCTGGTATGTGTATCTAGGCCCTCTTTTCATTTCCCTTTGAAGCACCTCAAAAATACACCTTAATTTTCCTGTCTCTTCTCACCACTCCTTTATATTGCTTTTTAGTGAGATTTTAGGAATGTGAGTAGGATGAATTGTAACTGAGCTTAGCTGCTCTTTTAGCTTTCTGGAGCTTCCCAAATAATTAAGAAAGGCATTTGGTGACTTTGGGGGAATGGGTTAGGTGGAAGGAAGGAGAAGGAAATGACTAAACCCACTAGAGACAAACAGTGTAAGCATTGGTAACAAAGATTATTGTAAAAAAGATATTGTAACAGAGATTATCGGCAACACCTCTATGCAGCTTCTTTCCATTCCCAATTCATAATGTAGGAGTTGGCCTACTTTTTTGGCTTTCAGAATCTTCAGTGTCTGCATGAGAACACAAGTAACTACTTCCCTGCCCTATCCCTATGATTCTTTTTTTTTTTTTTTCTTAAAGAGACAGGGTCATGCCCTGTCACCCAGAAAGGAGTGCAGTGGCTTGATCATAGCTCATTGCAACCTTGACCTCCTAGGTTCAAGCAATCCTCCTGCTTCAGCCTTCCTAGTAGCTGGGACTACAGGCACACATCACCATGCCTAGCTAATTTTTTGTAATTTTTTTGTAGAGATAGGGTCTCACTATGTTGCCCAGGATGGTCTTGAACTCCTAGCCTCAAGCAGTCCTCCTACCTCAGCCTCCTAAAATGTTGGGATTACAGGGGTAAGCCAATGCCCCTGGCCTCTATGATTCTTGATATGCACATATAAAGGACCACTAATAAATGTTTTCACAAAGTGAGAACATTAAGATAGGCCAAGACAAAAAGATAGGCCAAGACAAGAACTTCATAAAACTTCTACTTCAGGGCATTAAGAAATCAGTTGGGTGGGGTGCGGTGGCTCACGCTTGTAATCCCAGCACTTTGGGAGACTGAGGCAGGTGGATCACGAGGTCAGGAAATCGAGACCACGGTGAAACCCCGTCTCTACTAAAAATACAAAAAAATTAGCTGGGCATGGTGGTGGGCGCGTGTAGTCCCAGCTACTCGGAGAGGCTGAGGCAGGAGAATGGCGTGAACCCGGGAGGTGGAGGTTGCAGTGAGCCGAGATCACGCCACTGCACTCCAGCCTGGGCAACAGAGCGAGACTCCATCTCAAAAAAAAACAAAAAACAACAACAACAAAAAAAAAGAAAAGAAATCAGTTGGACATGTGTTTTATTGTTTTACATAGTACAGTTTTTGTAATTTGTTTTGCATCTGCAATAGTATAAAAATATTTGCTAGATATGTAATTTGACAATTTTTGTTTTATTGTTTTTTGCTTTTTATTTTGGAGGTGGTGTCTCGCTTTGTTGCCCAGGCTGAAGTACAGTGGCTATTCACGGGCATAAACATAATGCACTACAGCCTCAAACTTCTGGGCTCAAGCGATCCTCCCACCTCACGCTCCCAAGTAGCTGGGACTACAGACACTTACCACCATACCTGGCTTTGTCTGACAGTTTTAGAAAAAGTTAAAGGAAATATTAAAGAACTTAAAATTCTGTGTAAAATAATATCAGATATCTGGGCCAGGCGCAGTGGCTCACGCCTGTAATCCCAGCACTTTGGAAGACCGAGGCGGGCAGATCATGAGGTCAGGAGTTGGAGACCAGCCTGCCCAACATGGTGAAACACATCTCTACTAAAGATACAAAAAATTAGCCAGGTGTGGTGGCATGTGCCTGTAATCCCAGCTACTCGGGAGGCTGAGGCAGGAGAATCGCTTGAACCTGGGAGGCAAAGGTTGCAGTGAGCCGAGATCACGTCATTGCACTCCAGCCTGGGCAGCAAGACAAGACTTCGTCTCAAAAAAAAAAAAAAAAAAAGAAGAAGAAGAAGAAGAAGAATATGAGATTTATAATTGTGCCTTATGGATATTTCATTGCCCAGCATTGAACCAAATAGAATCCTAATGGGAGAACAAAACTCAAATACAAGAAATAACTAGTCCAAATCAAATAAAATCTACGCCCTTTACATTTCCGCAAAATGTTAATTTCACTACCAGGTTAATTTCACTACATGTCATCTACACTGATGATATTTATACTGTTTGCCAACTGTGAATAAAGGAATTTTTTAATTATAGGAAGGAAGTAAAATATTGTGATTACCTTTAGAGAGTCAAGACATAGACATAAACGACTTATATAGATAATGATGATGAAATGAAGCCCTGCCCGCAAAGCATAGGCTTCAAATTGAACCCCCCTCCCGTCCTATCTGATTTCTTTGTTCACTTATAAGTCAGGTTTATCATGATCTAATTTTTATATACAGTAAAATGTATACTTTTTAATCTACAGTTACGAGTTTTGACAAATGCATGAAGTCATACAACCACTAGCATCACAATAAGTAGGTAGAGTATTTCTATCACTCCCCCAAAGTTCCTTAATTCTCCTTTATAGTCACATCTTCCCACCACCTCAAACACTTGGCAACCACTGATCAATTTTTTTGTCTGTATAGTTTTGCCTTTTCCATAATGGCATTATGTAGTTTTTTGAGTTTAGCTTCATTCACTTAGCACAGTGCATTTCAGATTCAATCATGTTGCTTCATACAGTTGTTTATTCCTTTTTCTGAGTGGTAATCCACTTTATGGATGGACTAAAGTTTTATTTACCTGTTGACCAACTGAAAGACAATTTTAGCAATAATGAATAAAACCACCCCAAACATTTGCATAAGTTTTTGTATAAATATAAGTTTTCATTTCTCTTGTATGAATACCTAGGAGTGGGAGGCTGGAATATATGGTAATACAATATTTAACTGTATAGGAAACTGCCAAACTGTTTTCTCAAGTGTCTACGTTATTTTGCATTTTCACCAGCAGTATATTAGCATTCCATTTGTGCCACATCTTTACTAACACTTGGTATTGTCAGTTGGTTTCTTTTTTTCTTTTTTTTTTTTTTTTTTTTTTTTTTTTGAGTCAAAGTTTCGCTGTTGTTGCCCAGGCTGGAGTGCCATGGCACAATCTTGACTCATCACAACCTCTGCCTCCTGGGTTCAAGCGATTCTCCTGCCTCAGCCTCCCAAGTAGCTGGGATTATAGGCATACACCACCACACCTGGCTAATTTTATATTTTTAGTAGAGGCGGGGTTTCTCCATGTTGATCAGGCTGGTCTCGAACTCCCGTGAGCCACCCGCCTCGGCCTCGCAAAGTGCTGGGATTATAGGCATGAGCTACTGCACCCGGCTGGTTTCTTTCTTTTCTTTTTTTTTTTTTTTTGGGCGGTGTTGGGGGTGTCTTGTTTTAGCCTTTCCAACAGGTATGTGGTGGTATCTCATTGTGATTCTAATTTGTATTTCAGCAGGTGAGTGAGAGTATAGGACTGTTAGCTGGTCACTGTATGTTGCCTTCGTACTTGTGACAAGAGTACTTGTCTTAGAATAGGAAATCTCTATCTGGAGTCATGAATTAGAGCAGTGGTTCTCAACAGGAGCAACCCTCCCACCCTACTTCATGAAATTGGTCTGGAGACATTTTTGGTGGTCACAGTTGGAGGGACTGTGCTACTGTCATCTAGTGGATAAAGGCCAAAGATACTTCTAAACATCTTACAATACACAAGACACCTACTCTTTATCGCAAATAATTATCAAGCCCAAATGTCAATTAGTGCATAGGTTGAGAAACCCTGAATTAGGGCAACCAGCATATCAAATATTAAAGTCATCTACTTGTATTAAGGATAAGACATTCAGTTGAATGTCTCAGTCATCTCACAAGGATGTGATCCTTGAAAGTCCTATGAAGTTGGAAAATTGAGGATGAGTCATTCCATCAATGTCATGTACACTACCAGGCAACTCTAAAGAGTCCAGTTACGTTTTGACAATGTTTAACAATTTACTCCAGTGACAGTATTGCCATCAACTGTATTAGAAAAAAAATTTGTGTCACTTGCTATCCCACATAGCTCTAAGTATAATTTGTGCACGTTAAATAATTTCAAATACTTGAATTAATCTGGGAAACTTGATAAGCTCTAACAATATCATATTGATTTGTCTTTCAGTGCTGAGACCAATACATAGGAAAAATTTTCTTTTTCCCAAGGTGGCTGTTGCCTACTTTGAATTTCCATTGGGGTTTGGGGCTTTTGTTGTGCCTTGCTTTGCTTTTATTTGAAATTAGTTTCAAGCCTTGTATTCTGTAACCCCTAGGCATATTCTCACTTAGCCTACCAAAGCTGGGGGTAGCTGGGCGTGCTGCAGGGGGGAGGGGTGCTGCAGACCAGATGATGTGTGTATATGTCACTTTTTCATGTCTGAGAAAAATCATTCTACCTCGAATTACTAAAGTATACTCTTAAAGCAGGATTATAGAGACCATTCCTTGAAAATCATTATCCAAATTCAAAATGTAAAAGACAGTGCATTCTGCCAAACTCTTTTCAGTAGTTTATTTTGGTTACTTTGGAAAAAAATGTTGCCAGGTTCACTGTAAGTGTTTAGTTGTCTAGCCCTTGTTTATTACTTTATATTTGCATTTCTCTGGAATCAAAGATGAAAATTTGGCTGCTGCTTTGTACTGTCGGAAAATAACGGATTTCCTTATTTCAACAAGGAGATTCAACACAAAATTTGGCTGTAGCTTTTAATGAGCTTGGTGACGTTCAAGGGACCAGTCCAAACACATCTTGTGTTACAAGTAAAAGCAGATGTTTTTAAGTATATGCAGAATACAGTGAGCCCTACCCTAAACTTCCTCTCATTGCTATTGTCTTCTCAAAAGTCATTTCGCGACCAAGTTAGGTTCAAGGTAGCAAATGTGGTCCTTTACATTTATCATGCTGCCCGTTAGAGGGCAGCAGTATACAGACTCAGGAGCCAGAAAACCAAATATTACTGTATTCTGGGGCATAAGTCTTTTTCGAATCTTCTAAACACAGCTAAATATATCATAATTTAACAAAATCCCTAATCTGCATTTTGGTGTAGAATATCTATATAACTACAGATATTCAACTTTGAACTTTGTTTTAACATGATCTTTTTTACAAGCTTGTAAATTAATGCTTGTAATTCTAAATTGTGTATGGATTTGGTTTACAATATTTCTAATTGCTTCTGGGAAGACTCTATTTAAAACTTATTGGAGGGCTGGGCGTGGTGGCTTACGCCTGTAATCCCAGCGCTTTGGGAGGCTGAGGCTGGTGGATCACGAGGTCAGAAGTTTGAGACCAGCCTGAACAACATAGTGAAACCCCGTCTCTACTAAAAATACAAAAGAATTAGCCAGGCGTGGTGGTGCACACCTGTAATCCCAGCTACTTGGGAGGCTGAGGCAGAAGAATCACTTGAACCCGGGAGGCAGAGGTTGCAGCGAGCAGAGATCGCGCCACTGCACCCCAGCCTGGACAACAAAGTGAAACTCTGTCTCAAAAACAAACAAACAAACAAAAAACATATTGGATACTACTACTATAATTACTAAAATGTAAGTAGTTGGTAATGTGTTGGAAATCTTGGGAGAAAGAGATGGCTTTAGTTATAGAAGCATGGTACCATGCCATAGAATATGCAGAGAATAAGAGAATACATATTTTTTAAATGAATGTAGCCAAAATTTTTGGAAAACAGCCTTTAGATTCATTCTGGGGTGGTGTGTGTGTGTGTGTTTGTGTGTTCTAACAGCTTTACTGTAACAGCTCGTTCAATACTCATAAGAACCTTATGAAGTAGGTACTATATTATTATCTTCCTTACAGATGTGAAAACTACAACACATGGGGTAAGTGAATTGACACTGCACCAGGTCACACTACTAGTAAGTGGCCAAGCTAGAGTTTGAAACGAGGCGTTCTGAAATCAGAGATCATGAACTAAAAATACTTTGTTATACTACCTCTCATTGAATTGTCTAACCTTTCCCCCTGAATTGTCATGCCACCTATCTCTATCATATTTTCTCACATAGTCCTGTTTTGGGGCTCTCTATTCTATTCCATTCATCCTTTTAACCCTTCACTAATAACAGTTGTTGTACTGTATTAATTATTAAAGGTTTATGTAAGTTTTGATATCTGGAAATCTTAACTCTCCCACTTAACTCTTCTTCAGAATTTCCTTGACTATTTTTGGTCTTTGTATGTCCCTATGAAGTTTAGGATGAACTTACCAAATTATAGGACCAACTCTTTAGAGATTTTGACTAGAAGTGATATGTGCATCCTTCTTTTTCTTTTTCTTTTTCCTTTCTTGAGACAAGGTCTCACTCTGTCACCCAGGCTGGAGTGTGGTGGTGCAATCACAGCTCACCACAGCCTCCATCTCCCAGGCTTAAACTATCCTCCTCCCTCAGTCCCCTGAGTAGCTGGGACCATGGGCAGGCACCACCATGCCTGGCTAATTTTTTATTTTTTTGTAGAAATGGGGTCTCACTATGTTGCCCAGACTGGTCTTGAACTCCTGGACTAAAGTGATCTGCCCACTCCGAACTCCCAAAGTGCTGAGATTACATAAGCATAAGACACTGTGCCTGGCCAATGCATCCTGCTTTTTCTAAACCACCCCAAGTCATTTTTGGAAAAAGACAGAAGACAGATAATATAACAATAGAGAAAAATATATATATATAACTAGAAAAAATACTGGTGTTACTAAGATTATTTCTACTTTTATTTTTCCAAGTTTTAAATTTTATTATAAATATTTACTTCATGGGAAATATATTTAGAGTTTTAATTTTTATTATAAAGAAAATATAGATAGAAACCAAAGTAATGAATATACTTTAAATAATTCAGACCTCAAGATCCATATGAATTACCTGGCCAGCCTGAAAAAAAAGATACCTACCCAATATGTTTTAGAGAATTGATATTTATTATTTTTGGGAAGACAGTATATGAGTAAGAGTCATGCCTAAAGAACAGAGAAGAACAAAAACACTACTTTTTGAAAAGGGCAGTTTTAGACACTACAGGCCAGTGACATTGGTGTTAAGTCCAGACAGAATTGTAAAACACTTTTTCAACATTTGGTTTAGAAAGAGTGATTACTAAGAGTTGGACTAAGGATTTACTTACTTATTTTTCCCTGTCTTTGCTAGATATGGGGGGAAATACAGAGCATGTATGAGAGCTGCTTTGGCAAGAACAGATTTTAAATCTGATTTCACCTTCTGAGGAGCCTTATATAAGATAAGCTTAATTATATAACTTAGGCAAAGTTGTTTTCCCTGCATCACATAATAAGGACTAGAGCAAGAACTGGAACCCATGTGTTTTGACACTTACGGCAGTGGGAGGAAGCAGTGTGTTTCTATTATATTGCTGAGGCATACTAGCTATATCATCTGCCTTAGCCCAACATTTTCTTTATCTAGGTCTGGGCCATATAACCAAAAAGAATTGTGGGGAGCAGCCCTAAGAAGTGATGGCAGTTGGCCATTTTAAGTGTCAAGAGGATGTATGGGAGGCTGAGGCGGGTGGATCACGAGGTCAGGAAATCAAGACCGTCCTGGCTAACACAGTGAAACCCTGTCTCTACTAAAAATACAAAAAATTAGCCGGGCGTGGTGGTGGGCCCTGTTGTCCCAGCTCCTCGGGAGACTGAGGCAGGAGAATGGTGTGAACCCGGGAGGTGGAGCTTGCAGTGAGCCGAGATCACGCCACTGCCCTCCAGCCTGGGCGACAGAGCAAGACTGCGTCTAAAAAAAAAAAAAAATAGGATATATGGGATAGTATTGAGTTTAATCTACAGCATGAATAACATAAGTTCAGTGGGAATAAGGAATTTTCTGGTCGCAAAGAATAAGTGTTAGAATTGGTCAAGAATAGTTGTAAAGCAGCCTTCCCTAGAGAACTTTATGAAAGAATGGATTCCATTCTACCTGGAGTGTTTGAGATCTAATCCTGCTTAACTAGATGACTAAAAAGTTCATGCCAACCCAAAGAGTCTACAAAAATATTAGCTGACACATTTAATTCAATTCTTGCAATCCTTATGTGTGTTCAGCATTGTGTCCCCCTCATTAAGATGCAGTGGGAAGAGCTTTAGAGTGCCTGCTGTGTGCCAGGCAGTTTCTAGATGCAGTAGGTATACGTCTACTCTCATGGAGCTTTATTTTATGGAGAGAAGGATAGACAATAAACAAGTTAAATAAAATGTAAAGTATGTGAGAGAGTGATAAGTGATATAGAGAAAAATATAACAGGGATAGGGAGTGTGTTGGGGAAGAGAGTATAATTTAAGATAAGGTGATTGGGAAAGGTGGCTTTTGAGCTAAGAAATGCAAGAAAGGAAGGAGGATGCTGTACAGATTCATGGGGCACAGGCATTCCAGGCAGAGAGAACAGTTAAGTGCAAAGGCTTTGAGTCAGGAACAAGAAGTTCTGTGTGTCTAGAGCAGAAAAAAATGAAAGAAATCATGGCAGGACACATCATATAGAAAGGCCAGATCTTGTAGGGTGTTGTAAGTTGTTTTAAGAACTTTGGGTTTTATTGTGAGTGAGATGACAAGCCATTGGAATGAACAGAACGGTTATGTGATGAACTGACATACTCTTAACTAGATCACATAGTCTGCAGTGTTGAATGAAGGAGTACAGGTGGAAGCAGGGAGACTAGGAGACTGTTGTATTGCTGTAACGTGAGGTGTTGACTTGAACCAAAGTGTTGTGAAACTGGCCAAGTTGTAAACATTTTAAAGGTCAAGTCCACAAGATCTGCAGAGGAATGGATAGTTGGGTGTTAGAGAATGGCATTAAAGATAACTCTAAGCTTTTTGTCTAAATGATTGGAAAAAATAAATGTGCCATTTACTGATGTGAGGAAGACTGAAGAAAGCAGGGATAGAGGTGGGTGAAGATTAAGAGCTGCATTCTGGACATAGGTTTAGAATTTTTTAAAAAATCCAAGTGAAAATATTGTATAGAGAGTTAAACATGTGGGTATGGGGTTTAGGAGAAAACTTGTTTAAAGAAAAAAACTTGTGAATTGTTGGTATTTTTATGGTTTAAAGATAGGAGACTGGAAGTGATCACCAAGGAATGAATGTTAATAGAAAAAAGACCCAAGGACTGAGCCCTGAGATATTCACATTGTTAAGGGATTAGGGAGATGAGAAATAGACAAAGATGTAGCAAGAAGACCTAGAAACCAAGTAAAGAAAGTGTTCATGGAAGAGGAAGACAGATGCCAAGCTGTATCAGATGCTGCTGATAGAGCATGTAAGAAGAAGTAAGATTTTGGTACTTCATGTTTTATGGCGTATATATGAATGTATGTATAACTACCCAGCTCGTGTCCCTGTAAGCTCCCACTCCCTTCCTGGTGATCTGCCATTGTTATTTTAACTTGGAGTAATTTTACCTATGTCTGATATTACAGGAGAATCCAAATCCTCATATGGCATTCCAGAAAGTTCCACGGCCAACAGAAGGATCCCATTTGCGAGTTCATATTCTTCCTTTCCCAGAGATTAATGAAGCCCGGGTTCAGGAATTAATACAGGAAAATGTTGCTAAGAACCAGAATGCACCTCCTGCCACACGAATAGAAAAGAAATGTGTTGTGCCAGCAGGTCCACCTGTTGGTATGTATTTGTCTGTCTGTTTTAAAAGTAAACTGTTTATAAGGATGTAAGACCCAAAAAGGAAAAGTGTGCAATTTGATGAATTTTCACAAAGTGAACAAACTCCTGTAGCTAGAATCAGAGCATTATCAATACTCAGAAACTGTTTCATTCACTGCCTCCCAAAAAGGGTAATCATAACCCAACCACTGCCACTATAGAATCTTTTCTTTTTTTAATAACAGCTTTATTGAGATATGTTACATACTGTAAATTCACCAATGTAAAATGTGCGATCCCATGATTTTTAGTATATTTACAGACTCATTCAACCATTATTACTATTTAATTTGAGAATATATATATATTTTATATATATATATATATATAGAGAGAGAGAGAGAGAGAGAGAGACAGACAGACAGACAGACAGACAGACAGACAGACAGATTGAGTTTCACCCTTGTTGCCCAGGCTGGAGTACAATGGTGTGATCTCGGCTCACCGTAACTTCTGCCTCCTGGGTTCAAGCAATTCTCTTGCCTCAACCTCCTGAGTAGCTGGGATTACAGGCATGTGCCACCTCGCCCAGCTAATTTTGTATTTTTAGTAGAGACAGAGTTTCTCCATGTTAGTCAGGCTGGTCTCGAACTCCCGACCTCAGGTGATCCGCCCACCTTGGCCTCCCAAAGTGTTGGGATTACAGTCGTGAGCCACTGCACCCGGCAAGAATGTTTTTATAACCTAAATAGAAACCTCACACCTATTAGCAGTCACTCCCCATTTCCTCCCCAAACCACCTTCTCCCCAGCCTTATACAGTAATCTACTTTCTGTCTTCATAGCTTTACGTATTCTGGACATTTTATATAAATAGAATTATACAAAATGTAATCTTTTATGACTGGCTTCTTTCATTTAGCATAATATTTCCAATGTACGTCTATGTTGTAGCATGTATCAGCATTTCGTTTCTTTTTTTTTTTTTTTTGAGACGGAGTCTCGCTCTGTCACCCAGGCTGGAGTGCAGTGGAGCAATCTCGGCTCACTGCAAGCTCCGCCTCCCGGGCTCACACCGTTCTCCTGCCTCAGCCTCTTGAGTAGCTGGGACTCCAGGCGCCCGCCACCAGGCCCGGCTAATTTTTTTGTATTTTTAGTAGAGACGGGGTTTCACTGTGTTAGCCAGGATGGTCTTGACCTCCTGACCTCGTGATCTGCCCTCCTCGGCCTCCCAAAGTCCTGGGATTACAGGCGTGAGCCTCTGTGCCAGGCCTCATTTATTTTTAAATGTCTGAATAATACTCCGTTGTTTGGATATATATCACATTGGTTATTTATCCATCAATTGATGGATATTTGAGTTGGTTCTACATTTTGGCTATTATGAATAATGCTGCTGTGAACATTTATGTGCAAGATTTTGTGTAGATATGTTTTCAGTTCTCTTGGATGTATACTTAGGATTGGAATTGCTGGGTCATATGGTAATTCTATGTTTAATGTTTTGAGGAGCTGCCAAACCATTTTCCAAAGCGGTCGTGCCATTTTAGATTTCTTTCGTTCTAATTTCAGCCACTGATACTGAACATTTTTTCATGTGCTATTGGTCATTTCACTGTCTCTTTGCCCATTTTGAAATTGGGCTATTTGCCTTTTTATTATTGAGTTGTAAGCATACTCTCTATATTCTATATATAAGTCCCCTACCAGATATATTATTTGCTAATTTTTCCCCATTCTGTGAGTTGTCTTCCTTTACTAACTTTTGTCTTTTTTTCAGCTATTGAGGAAGAAATATTAAAGTCTCCCATTATAATAGCAGAATTCCCTATTTTTCAGTTTTTCCTGTTTTTCTTGATATATTTTGAAGTTGGTTAATTAGATGCATGTATAAAATGTGAATTAGGTTGGATTCTCCAAAGGAAAAAAATTCCAGATAGTAAACATATTTATTACAAGAAAATATGTTTTCTGGCTGGGCGTGGTGGCTCACGCCCATAATCCCAGCACTTTGGGAAGCCAAGGTGGGCGGATCACTTGAGGTCAGGAGTTCAAGACCAGCCTGGCCAACACGGTGAAACTCCATCTCTACTAAAAATACAAAAAATTAGCCAGGCGTGGTGGTATGCACCTGTAGTCCCAGCTACTTGGGAGGCTAAGGCAGGAGGAGAATCACTTGAACCCAGGAGGCAGAGGTTGCAGTGAGCCAAGATCGCACCACTGTACTCCAGCCTTGGTGACAGAGCAAGACTCTGTCTCACAAAAAAAAAAGAAAAAGAAAAAGAAAATATGTTTTTTTCTAATAACTCAGCCTAAAGAAAATTTAAAATACTGCTAAAGATATTTTAGATTTAAAAGTTTATAAACATAAACACATTGCTCTCTCAATAAAGTGTGTTATTAATTGGAGATTGTAAGTTTTCTATTCTAATATAGATAGATTTTCAGTTAATGCCACCAACCTATGTGTGTGGGAAGCACCAGAGCCCACAATTATGAATGAGCATTTCAGAGAGAAAAGTCACGTGAAATAATCAGTTTAACCAGGAAATTAATGTTACATGATTAAAAATGATTTGAAGAAAACTGGTAAAATTCAAGTAAGGTCTATAGTCTCATTCATTGTATTATGCCAGTTGTTTTCCTGATCCTAATAAAGCATAATTATGAAAGATGTCACCATAGGGGGAAGCTGGGTGATGAGTACAAAGATCTTCTTTGTATTACATTTGCAGCTTATTGTGAGCATATAATTAGTTTTATTAAAAAGTTTAAGGCTGGGCGCGGTGGCTCATACCTGTAATCCCAGCACTTTGGGAGGCCGAGGTCGGCGTATCACCTGAGGTCGGGAGTTCAAGACTAGCCTGAGCAACATAGAGAACCGCTGTCTCTACTAAAAATACGAAATTAGCCGGGTGTGGTGGCGCATGCCTGTAATCCCAGCTACTTGGGAGGCTGAGGCAGGAGAATCACTTGAACCTGGGAGGCAGCCGAGATCGTGCCATTGCACTCCAGCCTGGGCAATAAGAGTGAAACTCTGTCTCAAAAAAAAAAAAAAAAAAAAAGTTTAAAACATTATTTGACGAATATAGGTTTTGTATTGATGAGATGAAAGGAATGCTAATGAGTAAAATATGATAGTCTTTCTTCTTAGGTATGGGAGAAGGTGAAGGGATTGTGCCTTTAGAATCCAAAGAGTAGCCATAAAATATAAGTAGTCTTTTTGGCTTGAGAACCATTGATACTATTCTCACTTATAAATGGGAGCTAAATAATGTGTACACATGGACATCAAGTGTGGAATAATAAGACGCTGGTGACTCAGAAGGCTGGGAGGGTGGGAAGGGAGTGAGGGATGAGAAATTACTTAATGGCTACAATATACATCATTTTGGTTGATGGATACACTAAAAGCCCAGACTTCACCACTATGCAGTATGTCCATGTGACAAGGCTGCACTTGTACCCCTTAAATTTATGCAAAAAAAAACTATTGATACTACCTCATTTAAACAAATGGCATAGTATAGTTCTTTGTGAAAGTATAAATTTTATATAAATACTACTTTCATTTATATCCTTCTAATATTATTTTAATAAGTTAAATTTATTTAGGTAACTAGCTTAGTAGCCTAGGTAATACACTAGAATTTTCTAACCCTATGGTAAAAGGTGAAAGGTGCTAGGTTTGCATGACTAAAAAGTGACTTTCCTAAGCCAGTGTAACAGTTCATTGATCATGATCGTTTCTCTTTGTTTGCACTACTTTCTTTCAAGTCCCCTCTACTCAAATGTGTAATATCTAATATTTTGTGGAATGTAGTTTTTCTTTGGTAATATCTTAGAAATATTAACAATATTACTAGTTGTAAACAAAGTTTAAAATAGATGTTTGCCTTTGTTTAATATAATTTTACTTTGCAATGTGAATTAGTTTGCATAAAAGTTAAGTGTCTCATTAGAATCTACCCTGTGAAATTATTAATCAGCTAGCCTGATACTTCAACACTGGAACATGTAATCAAAATAATGATATGGAATACTTTCAATGCTCTGTAATAAGGGAAAAAATAAGGTGTAGGTCATATCAACAGTTTTTGTTTGTTTTCTAATAAGAGATGTGGTCTCACTCTGTCACCCAGCTGCAGTTCAGTAGTGCTGTCCTAGCTCACCGCAGACTTGGACTCCTGGGCTCAAGTGATCCTCCGACCTCAGCCTCCCGAGTCACTGGGATTACAGTGCAAGACACCATGCCCGGCTAATTTTTGTATTTTTTGTAGACAAGGGTCTTGCTATGTTGCCCAGGCTTGTCTCAAACCTCTGGGCTCAAGGGATCATCCCACCTCAGCCTCCCAAATTGCTGGGATTACGGGTGTGAGCCTCCACGCCCAACCTACAGTCTTAAAGTAGTAGTCTCTTTGCTTTTGTAATTACCAAAGAAGTTTAATTTATTTGTGCTTTCTTTATATTCTTTTACTAGTTTCGATAATGGACAAGGTGACGACAGTTTTCAACAGTGCACAAAGACTAGAAGTTGTCAGAAACTGTATCTCATTCATATTTGAAAATAAAATTTTGGAAACTGAAAAGGTAATAAAATGTGATCTTTCCCAAGTAAGCATTTATCATTTCCCTTTCAGATTTACGTGCTGAGGTTACCAGCTTCTCTCTTCTTTAATTCTATCCCTTTTCCTAATAAAGTATCCTCTCATTGTTTGGATCATTTTAAATGAATAGTGTCTAAGATTTAAAGCTGTTGGGCCAAGCTTAATTATATGACCACCAGAAATATATTCATAGTAATTTTTTCTGTCAAACTTTTAAACATTGTTCACAAAACACTATTTTGGGATATTACTTAGAAACTTAAAATTTTTTTCATTTTATTTTTATTTTTGGAGCCAGAGTCTTGCTCTGTCACCCAGGCTGGAGTACAGTGACATGATCTTGGCTCACTGCAGCCTCTACGTCCCAAGTTCAAGCGATTCTCCTGCCTCAGCCTCCCAAGTAGCTGGGACTACAGGCACGCACCACTGCGCCCGCCTCATTTTTGTATTTTTAGTAAAGATGGGGTTTCACCATGTTGGCCAGACTGGTCTTGAACTCCTGCCCTCAAGTGATCCAGCCGCCTCAGCCTCCCAAAGTGCTGGGATTACATGTATGAGCCAACATGCTTGGCCAAAACTTAACATTTTAATATAATTTTATGTATTGCAAAGAATCTAGTTAGAATATGTAATGAATTATAGGAACTGTAGTATTGAACTTAAATGTGCCTCCTTAGAGCATGTTTTCTTGCCTTCTTCAATGAAACATGCTGAACATAATGTAACCCTTTCTTACTGACTCATTGTCATAGTTCTGAATATCTATTTTCAGGGGTTGGTTAAAGCATGTAGAAATGTTTACCTTTACACTGACTGACCCAGTGCTCTTTACATTTTGTGCTTTTTGGTTTCTATGTTTTCTTAGAGTTGAAGTCTTTCACTTCTTTTGCTTTCAACTTTCACATCCTATTTCTTATACCCACCTTTAGTGATATCATGCCCTCCTACTTCTTGTTTTCTCCTTTGTTCTGATTTTTTAGCTAAATAAGCTTATTATTATTATATGTGAAGTAAATTAACTAAGTCCTACATGGTGAACTGAAGGAGGCATCTTTATGGATGTGCCTGTTGTAAAGCGAAAAGAGTTTTAATGCATACACCTAGAGATATCTGTTTTTGCAACTCCGAGTCCTTTTTCTTTCCTTTTTTATGATATTTAAATGAGAAGAGATTGTAGAACTTTTCAGTCATAATTTAAAGCTGAATAGTGATTAAGCAGCCAACCAGTTTAAAAGTATGAAATCACTTGTATTTCTTATTGTTTTAATTTTTCTTTCTGTTCTTGCCATGGAAAATTTACTAGTTATAGAAAGGTGTCTTACGTATCTATGGCTTTGACTCATGATCTGAAGCAACAGTCAATTTGGTAACCAAAGTTTTGTTAACTTGAAGAAAAATAGTGAAATTAAATGTTTTTCAATTTATCACATAATTATCTTATATTTCTTGCTGGTTTACATATAAAAATAACCACAAATCTATTTTATAATTGTCTTAATAATAAATCACCTATTCCCTAGGAGTTTAATTTTACTAATAACTATGTTAAATAAATTATAGGATGCGTTTGAATTTTCAGGATGATTGTTTGAAAGTTGTTGTTTCCCCCAGTGGTACCATTTGGTCATTTGTACCTCTCTTGTCCTCAGACCCTTCCTGCTGCACTCAGAGCCCTTAAAGGAAAGGCAGCAAGACAGTGTCTCACTGATGAATTGGGTTTGCATGTCCAGCAAAACCGGGCAATATTAGACCATCAACAGTTTGACTACATAATAAGGATGATGAATTGTACTCTACAGGTAATTTGTAGTTCTTTCAGATTATTCCTCTTATTTGAGAATACTTTTCATTTTTCCAGAATATTTTGTAATTACCAATATATCAGTTCTTGAGCCTACCACAGCTAATAGGATGAAGCGTCAGTATCTCTATCATTTCTGTCAAATACTTTTTTATTACTTGGCATAAATATTAAGAGTTTTTGTTCTTTCTTTGTTTTCTCTTTGAAAATGCTAGATTATTTTACTAGTTCTGTAATATAAGCAAGTTCTTTGAAAATGAAAAGTCATCTTTAAAGCATTCAGTTATATATTACTTAATGTCTATAGTCACATCAGCCCTTTTCAGTCAGTTTTCAGTTGTCCAAGCAGAGGACAATGAATGGTGGATAATCCAAACGATAAATGAATTACTTAATTAAGTATTTAAGTACTTTGTGTTTGTAAAGCACAACAACAAAATTTCCACTTGGCTTCAAAATGTGTGTATGATCTTTCAGAAACAAACTTCCCACAAAACAGTGAGGACAATTTAGGAGAAGCTAATAATCTTGTTTCCTCATCCTGCCTCCCTTGTTAGAGAGTCTATGACATTGGCATTCTGTTGAGAGGTAATGTAAAGTTCCTTTCTCAAACATTTTGCACAAGGTGGAAATGTAATTAAATATTAAGACTTCAAAGATCATCCGTGGGACTCCAGACAAAGTAAATAAATGCATGTTAAATATTGGTACATTGGAAAGCAAGAATTATAGGATATAATTAATCAAATTTATGAAAGAAACAAGGCCTAAATAAATGAGAAAATGTATCATTTGTATGGAATGGAAGACTCAATATGTTAAAGATATCAATTCTCCCCAAAACAATCTACAGAGACAATGCAATTCCTATCAGAACCTTAAACAGAAGAATAAAAGCCTTAAAATTACCAATATACTCCTAAAGAAAAACAACAAAGCACAGCAATTTACCTTGTCAGGTATCAAAAATTTAGTTTAAGATTATATTATTTGGCCAGGCACAGTGGCTCATGCCTGTAATCCCAGCACTTTGGGAGGCCGAGGTGGGCAGACTACAAGGTCAGGAGTCCAAAACCAGCCTGGCCAGCATGGTGAAACCCCATCTCTACTAAAAATACAAAAATTAGCCAGGCTTGATGGCAGGCGCCTGTAATCCCAGCTACGCAGGAGGCTGAGGCAGGAGAATCACTTGAAACCAGAAGGCGGAGGTTGCAGTGAGCTGAGATCGTGCCACTGCACTCCAGCCTGGGTGAAAGAGCGAAACTCCGTCTCAAAAAATAATAATAATTATTATTATTTAAGACAGTGTAGAATTGGCACACTTATAAACAAATTGACCAACAGAATAAAATAGAAAGCCCAGAAACAAATGCACACATATATGGAAACACGATTTATGGCAAAATTGGCACCAGCAGTGAAAAGATGAGCAGTTCAATTAATAGTGCTGGGACATGTACACATAACATACCATTGATACAAAAAATGCATAGATACCTCCCACCACACACAAGAATCATTTCCACATGTATTAAAGACTTAAATATGAAGAGCCAAAAAAAGCTAATCTATAAAGCTTAAAAGTTTTCAAACATAATACAGGAAATATCCATATGAATTTGGGGTAGGGAAAGATTTGTTAAACTAGTCACAACTAGTGCCAATGTTAAAAGAAAAGATTGATAAATTTGACTACATTAAAATTAAGAACTTCTGTTCATTAAAAGATACCATAGAGAGAGGGAAAACATAAACCTCAGAGAGAGAGGTTAATGCTCCGATTACAAGAACTATAAGCCAGGCATGGTGGTGTGCATCTATAGTCCCAGCTACTCAGGTAGCTGAGATAGGAGAATCACATGAGCCCAGGAGTTAGGCTGCAGTACACTATAATTGCGCCTATCAATAGCCACTGAACTCCAGCCTAGACAACTTATCAAGACCCCATCTCTTTAAAAAAGAAAAAACCCTACAAATCAGTATTTTTTCAAAAAGACAACCTAACTTGAAAATGAGCAAAAGATTTAAGTATCTTAAAAGGCAGAGCCGAGAATGGGAGAAGAGCAGAGTTTCTGAGCGCACAGTGGCCTCCCCTCCTCTCTCCTCTCCTCACTCTCGCAGCCTACCTTTACCTACCCGCCTGCTCAGTGCCCAGAACACCTTCCACCATGACCATCTCAGCAAGCTCCCACTTAAACAGAGGCGTCAAGCAGGTGTACATGTCCCTACCTCAGGGTGAGAAAGTCCAGGCCATGTATATCTGAATCGATGGTACTCAAGCAAGACTGCGCTGCAAGTGAACCCAAGCGTGTGGAAGAGTTACCTGAGTAGAATTTTGGTGGCTCTAGTACTTTGAAGGTTCCAACAGTGACATGTATCTCATGCCTGCTGCCATGTTTTGGGACCCCTTCCACAAGGACCTCCACAAGCTGGTGTTCTGTGAAGTTTTCAAGTGCAATCGAAAGCCTGCAGAGACCAATTTGAGGCACACCTGTAAACGGATAAGGGACATGGTGAGCAACCAGCACCCCTGGTTTGGCATGGAGCAGGAATATATAATCTCATGGGGACAGACGGGCACCCCTTTGGTTGGCCTTCCAGTGGATTCCCTGAGCCCCAGGGTCCATCTTAACTGTAGTATGTGAGCAGACAAAACCTATGGCAGGGACATTGTGGAGGCTCATTACCGGGCCTGCTTGTATTCTGGAGTCAAGATTGCAGGGACTAATGCTGAGGTCATGCCTGCCCAGTGGAAATTCCAAATCGGACCCTGTGAAGGAATCAGCATGGAAGATCATCTCTGGGTGACCTGTTTCATCTTACATCGTGTATGTGAAGACTTCGGAGTGATAGCAACCTTTGATCCTAAGCCCATTCCTGGGAACTGGAATGGTGCAGGCTGCCATACCAACATTAGCACCAAGGCCATGCGGGAGAATGGTCTGAAATACATTGAGGAGGCCATCAAGAAACTAAGCAAGCAACAGCAGTACCACATCCACATTCCCATGAAACTTCTAACATCAACGACTTTTCTGCTCTTATAGCCCATCATAGTGCCAGCATACACATTCCCCAGACTGTTGGCCAGGAGAAGAAGGGTTACTTTGAAGATCATTGCCTCTCTGCCGACTGTGACCCATTTTCGGTGACAGAAGCCCTCATCTGCCCGTGTCTTCTCAAACCGGAGTTGAGCCCTTCCAGTACAAAAACTAAGTGAACTAGACCTCCAGCTGTCAAGCCCCTCCTAGTACTTCATCCAACTCCAACTCTTCCCCTCTCCCAGTTGTCCTAATTGTAACTGAAAGGATGCTCACGCCTGTAATCCCAGCACTTTGGGAGGCCGAGGCGGGCGGATCAGGAGGTCAGGAGATCGAGACCATCCTGGCTAACACGGTGAAACCCCGTCTCTACTAAAAATACAAAAAATTAGCCGGGCGAGGTGGCGGGCGCCTGTAGTCCCAGCTACTCGGGAGGCTGAGGCAGGAGAATGGCGTGAACCCCAGGGGGCGGAGCCTGCAGTGAGCCGAGATTGCGCCACTGCACTCCAGCCTGGGCGACAGCGAGACTCCGTCTCAAAAAAAAAAAAAAAAAAAAGAAAGGATGGAATATGAGGGTCTTTTTAAATTCCTTGTGCCCAGTTAATCTTGCTTTCTTTCTTTGGCTGGGATAAGGGGTCAAATTATTAATTTCTTCACATCTTTACCCTCCTTTTCTTTCCCTATCACTGAAGCTTTTTAGTACATTAGTGGGGAGCTGGGTGGTGAAACATAACCACTGCTTCCATTTAACGGGGTGTGCCTGTTCAATAAGCGTAGCTATCGGAACAGACTGCATGTTTGAAGGAGGGGGATTTTTTCTTTGAGGGACCTGAGAGGGGAAGACCTGACTTATTCTGGTTAGGTTAGGATTTCCCTTTGTGGTGGAAATGTTTCTTAAAAGATTATAACCAACTTTCTACAAAAGTAGGGATTAGGAGAGAAGGTAGGGGTTGGGGATCAGGGAGGAGAATGCCCTTGGTCTCCTGCTTGTGTGGGACTAGCCTAGCTTGGGGTGAAATGCTCTCCTCTGAACACAAAGCTTAGTATAAACTGATGGATATCCCTACCTTAAAAGAAGAAGAGGTTCTTTTTGCTTGGTCCTCTATTTATCACACAAAACAGAGTAGTGTTTTTATATTTAAATGTAAAAACAAGGGTCGGGTGCAGTGGCTCATGCCTGTAATTCCAGCACTTTGGGAGGCCAAGGCAGGTGGATCACGAGGTCTGGAGATTGGGACCATCCTGGCCAACATGGCGAAACCCTGACTCTACTAAAAATACAAAAAATTAGCCGGGCATGGTGGCAGGCGTCTGTAGTCCCAGCTATTCAGGAGGCTGAGGCAGGAGAATCGCTTGAACCCAGGAGTTGGAGGTTGCAATGAGCCGAGATCATGCCACTGCACTCCAGCCTGGGCGACAGAGCAAGAATCTGTCTCAAAAAAAAAAATAAAAACAAGAAGATTATATATATAGTTTTGTGGCTTATGTGTGTTTTGCTAAGGGAGAAACAACATACAGGTCACGGGATACCAAATTCAAAGCAAATAATCTAGACAGAAATTAAGTAGCCCCTTTTGAGTAAGGAGTGAGGGAAGTGGTGCTTGAAAGTTGTTGATTTGCGGTTAGTCCTTCATGACCACTCTAGGGTTTCTGTGCCCTGCCCACCCTCTGGAGAAGACGAATACTGGTCAGTTAACAGACGACATGTTACTAGCAGTCACTTGATCCCCATGGCTTTGGTTTAAAAGACATATACTTGTCCACATGGGTTTAGAGGTAAGAGTTAGCTGGTCAACTTGAGCATGTTACTGACAGAGGGAATATTGGGGTTATTTTCTGGTGGGAATAACATGTCACTAAAGCAGGACTTTTGATATATTAAATTTTTAAAAAACAAAATAGAAGTTTAGATTTTAATCAAATCTGTAGAGTTTCTAAGTAATTTTTGCAGAATTGCCTGTTTGCTTTAACTGTCTCCTTCTGCCTCTGCTCTTGAAGGATATGGGGACAGGGCTAGAGTCAAAACACTTGAAATTTTGTATCCCAATGTCTTTTCTCCCAGTGTGAAATATTCCATTCTTTTGTTAAGACTACTGAGCAGTTATTTTTTTCTTTTGTAATAAGAAACAAACCCCACCTTTATCTCTACATTTCCGCTACCATTCTCTGGTTTTTGTGTTTGCTTCAGGGGGCCAGCTGTGGTTTTCTCTTGCCATGATGACTTCTAATCGCCAAGTACAGTATGCTCAAAGTCAGACAACTCCTTACTATAAACAAATTGTGTAACTGCCCAGAGCAGCACTTATAAATCAGCCTAACATAAGATCTCCAAAAAAAAAAAAAAAAGAGTTAAGGAAACCCACTTGGATGATAAGTGTATAACAAGATGATCTGTGTCAATAATTGAAGAAATGCAAATTAAAACTATAAGCAGAGCCTTTTACACTCACTGGCAAGAATTAAAAAGTCTGATAATATCAAACAAATGTATGGAACAAATAGAGTATATAAACTCTGCTAGTGAACGTGTAAGTTGGTATAGCTACTTTAGAAATTTTAATAAGATATGAGAAATAAGATTATTGGTCATTATCTTATAAAGCTGCATATGAAGCGTACTCTATCACCTAGTGATTTCCTTCCTAGAGGAGCTCTTGCCCACATACATCAAGAGACATGTACAAAAATGTTAATGGCAAGATTGTTCAAAATAGCAGAAAACTTGAAATGACTCATATGCCAACCAACACTAGAATGGATAACTTATATCTTCTTACACTAGAATATTATATATCAGAGAAAATAAATGAACTGCAGTTACAAAGGATGATGTAGATGAATCTTAAAGAAGATAATTCTGTACAAAAATAAAAAGACAATTCAGCACTGTCATGAGTTACAGAAAAATAAAAAGGAAAAAAGAAAAAAAAGGACAATTCAACTATAATATGGATCCACTTTACAAAATTCAAGTGCATGTTATATACTATTTAAGGATATTTAATCTAATGATACAAACATACGTGGTAAAAGTATTTTTTTAAAACTAAGGTAATAAGAAACAAAATATTTAAGAAAATTACCTCTGCGGGACACAGAGGAGGGGCAGTAAACATGGGGATCTTCCAATGTAATGATAATATACTATTTAGGTACATGGGTGTTCATTGTATCATTCTTCATAACCTTATAGCTTATGTATATTTTATGTCTTAAAGTACTGACTGCTATTAGATTCTTTACAGGGCATATTTATCTTCTCAAACTCACTTCAAACATTTTGTAGATTGTATAAGTTAATTGCCAAGTTAGGGGATGATTCACTTTTACTGGATATACATTCTTTAGAGTATGAGACAGTAGATATAATACTTTATAATGGCAAAAATCAAAAACAGCCTAACTGCCTACCATTTGGCTAGCGATTAAATATGGTGCACCTCTTCTTTAGAACACTGTTCAGCTACTAAATAGAAACAAGTACATCTATATATGTACTGATATGGAAAAATTTCTTATATATTGCTAAGTAGGCAAAAGGGAAGTTACATAAAGTAGATATGAATCTATTTTTGACCTAAAATTATATGTATGTATGTATGTATATGATAGTAAAAATCTGGAAGGATATTTACACTAAAACCTGTTACGATTATCCTGATAAGAGAGATACCAATGATTACCTCTGGGATGTGGATTAGAAGAGTTTTGATTTCCATTTTAAACCCTTCTCTGCTTGAAACATACACATATAACTACATTATATAAGATATATAACAAGCATGTATTACTTTTATAATTTGAAAAAAGTCCTCAGTTTTTTAGAAAGGAAATTTTAGCATCCTATGAGAAGAACTTGCCCTAAAAGAAAAGCCCTGTCTTTTGTTACTTTATTACAGTTACTTTGTTACCATTATTATAGAGGATAAAGGAATAGAATTAACAGATTAAGGTCTCTAGAAGTCCTAAAGTCAGGCAATTTCCTAATTCCCCAATGATTGGTATTAAAATGACAAAAACCATTTTGGAGCTTTTTGCTATTAGTACTTTCTGTGCTGTTTATTAGCTGAAGAACTAACTTTTAAGGCTTTCTCTAAACTTAATTTTAGCATTTACAATTATGGCACTTATAGAATAGCAGATACCCTTAGGCTACAAATATTTTTCATTTGAATAATCATATTTCTAGAAACAAAAAGACATGGAGTTTTTTTGTTTTTGTTTTTGTTTTTGCAGCTTTCAAATACAATTGATTTACTCAGGAGTTGTTTGAAAAAAACCAAATACATTTGGATTGAGGGGCACTTAATATTTTATAATTCACTATTTCATGTATACATAAAAAGAGATCCTGTGCTTCATCAAGCACATGCTGTTGTTGAACGTTGTATAGAGGCCCTTCGCAGTTATGAATGGACTTACATGTGATGTTCTTACTTTAATGTGTTATTTGTTTAATGTGTCACCCACTTGGGATTTGTTAGTATTTATATTCTTGATGCAACAACGTACTTATCAACAGGGATTTAACATGACATTCTGAACATTTTTTTACAAAAGCATAGAGTTTCAAGGCAGAGTGGCCAAACATCTGTGTTGATGTTTTAAGAAAGAAACATTAACTAAATGAACTAATTTTTAGGTAGTGATTCAAAAACTTTGGTAATTTTTACTTTTCATGACCTAGAAGTTATTCTTCTGTCTTTCCTATCCACAAGGGAAAATTAAATGGAACATGAGTACTGCCAAAAGGCTGTTTATCAGGTTATTTCAATGCCAGTGTAATTTTTTATAGCACTGTTTCATAGAGGTTATAGACTATTCCTACCTATCATTTCATTTCAAAGAACTGATCATATTTTAGTATTTTTTGAAACTGAGATTACTAAAAATCTCTCCAAAAATATCATGGCCTTAACTTTTTATTTTGTCAAATATACAATTAAAGCTTTTTATGTGTCTACATCCTAGCTAAGATCTTTTAAAAATAAATTATAATTTTAAAACCCAGTGAAGTCTTCTATGTCCAGCATTATGTTAAATTGCATATACGATGAGGAACCTTCTCACTAACATAGAAATAGATCTCAGAAAATTACAAACAAATATAAACCATTATTTTGGTACATTGTTTCTCCTAAGAAGAAAAGAAAATCTCTAATGTATACCTCTTTATACTCTGAAGAAAAGGACAAGTAGAGAAAACCAAGCCCTGAGCAGTTAACAGTTGGGACAATCAGATTTGTGAGTACACCCTTGGCCTCTATAAGTCTTGGCCATCTGGTTGAACCTGAAAGTTTTGCGTCAAGCTGGAACATTGGAAAAAGAATAAAGTAATCCTTATTTACTTAGAATAATAGTCTCCAATCTCATCCAGGTTGCTGCGAATGCCATTAATTCAGTTCCTTTTTATGGCTGAGTAGTATTCCATCATATATATCTGCCACAGTTTCTTTTTTTTCTTTTTCGTTTTTTTTGAGTCTCACTCTGTCACCCGGGCTGGAATGCAGTGGCGTGATCTCGGCTCACTGCAACCTCTGCCTCCCAGGTTTAAGCAATTCTCTGCCTCAGCCTCCCGAGTAGCTGGGATTACAGGCGCATGCCACCACGCCTGGCCAATTTTTGTATTTTTAGTAGAGATGGAGTTTCACCATCTTGGCCAGGCTGGTCTTGAACTCCTGACCTTGTGATCCACCTGTCTCAGCCTCCCAAAGTGCTGGGATTACAGGCATAAGCCACTGTGCCCAACCCAATATGCCACAGTTTCTTTATCCACTCATTGATTGATGGGCATTTGGGTTGGCTCCGCATTTTTGCAATTGCAAATTGTGCTGCTAGAAACATTCATGTGCAGGAATCTTTTTGGTATGACTTCTTTTCCTCTGGGTAGATACATTGCTGGATCAAATGGTAGTTCTACTTCTACTTCTTGAAGGAATCTCCACACTGTTTTCCACAGTGGTTGTACTGGTTTACATTCCCACCAGCAGTGTAGAAGTGTTCCCTGTTCACCGCATCCACACCAATATATATTATTTTTTGATTATGGCCATTCTTGCAGGAATAGGGTGGTATCATATTGTGGTTTTGATATGCAGGAAAGAGCCTGTGATTTTGAAAACTGAGGAATATTTCCATATTAGTGAGTATAGTGTAGAAATGTGGTTGGAGAAGAGATGAGAACAGTAGATGGAGTAACCTGTGGTTAAAGTAAGCAGATTGCATATGTACATTAATCTCTGCTACCACCCAAAAGCCCATTAAAACAAAAGTAAGCCACTTAAAAAAATACATAAACCCACAGGCAGAACAGGAGAGGAGGCAACAGCAACATCTTAGAAGCTAGAAAGCTGATAGATGAGTGATCTTTACTTAGCAGACCCGAGAAAGCCTTTTCCCAAGTAGCAGCGGGAAAAGCCTTGAGGCAGCCCAGTTTACAAAACCCCAAAAGGCTCAGGAATTAGTAACATCAGGTATCTCTGCGAGCAGAAGGACAAGGTGAGGCTAAAACATAAAAAATAGAGGATTGGTTGAAAGCTGCTTAAGATTCTGTTGGATCCCCCTCCCAGTTCCTTTCTTAATTCGGTGTAAACAGCCAGCTGCCTCTCCTTTACCATGGCAGAAGATTAGATGTTTGTTTGTTTGTTTGTTTGTTTGTTTGTTTGTGTATTTATTTTTATGAGAGAGAGGCTGTCATTGGCCTGGAAGATACTAGGTCTGGTTGAGGGAAATTCTGTCTTGCTGCAAACAAGGAGGTTGTGTGAATGCCAAATATTGAGAATGCCAGTGGGCTTTCCCCCTTTAGCTTCCAGGACTCTGGCAGCCTGCCTTCCAGGCAAGAGATTGTAAAACTGTTCTCTGAGAAATGTGACCAGCCAAAGAGAAAAATACTTTATTAAAGATGTGGAGGTTGACGTTTTTCAGTAGAACAGCTCTCCCAGGGCATACTATAATGAAGCTGTCACTCAACAAGCTTCATCCATGTGGACATTATTTTCTTCTGTCATTCTTTGATTTACTTCTCCTTTCAGGGAATGACCTAAACAGAAGGGACCATCAAACAAAGTCATTTGCTGCTCCCCACCATTGTTCCCCCAGTCTGCTTTCATTTTCCATTTTTTCTTGTAAAAGAACCATCCAGTCAGCACTTATAATTGTCCTGTCCTCTTCCTTCTTGGGTGCCTGTATCACTCTGTACTGCCTCAGATAATCTCAGCTTTTATTTGTCCGTGAAACTGGGTAAGCCACAATCATGGTTGCCCTCTGGAAATAGACTTAAAGAAATTAAGTACATTTTTGAAATCACACAACTAGTAAATTAAAGCAATGAATTCTAAATGAAAATCTGGTATTTTCATTTGCCTCTTTAGATCCATCTTTAGATCTTCTCTCAGTCTAAAATTCTCCCTAGGCAGTCTTACTCATCTGCATTACCATCTCTTGCTTCTGCCTTCCAAATCTCAAGCCTAAATTCATCTCCTAAATTCTGCTACCGCACCAACTTCTTAACTGGTTACCCTACCTCCATCCTGACCCATTTCTATAATATAACTGTTCTCCATTTCCCCAAAGTGATACTCGTATATTTCAAGTTGTATCTTTTCACTTCACAATTTAAAATCCTTTGCCTTCATAGTAAATTCTGATCTTATCTTGGCCCCTGCCTATATCTACAGTCTCATCGTTCACTGCTGTCAGTCCCCAGGCCTTACACATCTATTGCCTTTGTTTGGAACACTGTTTCTTCCTCCTTTCCTTTCTCCTCCCTGCTCCCTCAATCTTTCCTTTCCCTTGGCCAACTCCTACTCATCCTTTAATTTCAGCTTGGATGTCATTTCTTTCTGGAAGCCTTCCTCAGCCCATGAAGCCTGGATTGGTAGCAACTCTGTGCCTCTACTTCATCTTGTACTTCCCCTATACTATCCACCATGATCCTGCAGTAGCACTTAACCACATATAATGATATTGCCTGTTGACATGTATATTTCCCATTTTGTCTGGCATGGAGTAGTCTCTCACTAAAAATTTGATGAATTAATAAATGAATAAATGAATGTGTTGTAAGTAGCTGCTTACTTCAGCTGGTTAGAATTTTAGTCCCTATACTGAGTTTCTGTCCCTTCACAGGCCAGTAGCTTTTGCCCCTTTCTTGGCTATAATCTAATCATCAACCCGAGCCAAGCTCTATTCACCTTTATGTCTTTGTGCACAGTAATCTCTAGGTTAGAGAATGTTGACGGACATGTTGATAATTCATGACCTAGCTTGAAAGTAAACTTAAAGTTTACATACAGCTGGTCAATATTGTGCCAGTGGACAGGAGTGTCATCGATATATTTAAAGTGCAAATGTTCATACTGCTGAGTTACAATCATCATAGCTGAAGCTTACACATCTGTATTTTTTAATGTCCCACAAGTAAATTTGATATATACCTAGAGTTGAAATATCAGTGTCCTATTATCTGCAGTAGTCATTTTAAAACTTTTTCATGTTCATTTCTGAGCCCCATCATCAGATGTTCTGATTTGTTAAGTTTGGGAAGGGGGGAGATCAGAGCTAACATTTGAAACTTTTCAACAGTGAAATGGGCAGCTTTGTAGAAATGCCATCCTCATCTCATACAGTGTGCCATCAAACACTCTTATAGTCATTTGTCAGGAAAGCTGTAAAGGATTTCTACATTGTCAGGGAGATTGGACTAAATGCCCTCTAAAGTGTCTCCTCCTCTGAATTTCATGATCTCAGGACACTTTTTTTTTTTTAATCCCTGCTTACGAGAAGCATTCCTGGTTCTCCAGTTCATAACACAGTATCATCTTTGGTCCCTGCAAGGTCCCTTCCTTATTTTATTTATTTGTTTATTTTTATCAGCATTATGCTCCCAATCTCCCTCAAGCATTTAAATGTGCTTTTTTAATTGACAGATAAAGTTGTATATTTATCATGTGCAACATGATGTTTTGAAGTATGTATACATTGTGGATATTTTAATGTGTTCAATATATTATTTTCTATGCAGGTGTCCTTGAAAAATGTATATTGTTTACTACATGTGTATTTTAATTTATGTAAATGGTGTATTATGTATTTCATTGTTTTTGTCTTTTGTCAGTCAGCATTATGTTTTTAATAAAACGTGAATCTCGAGTAACTCTGATTCCAAAATCAGATAGATACAATATAAAGAAAGGAAAAAAAAGCCCCTTTTTCTTATGAATGTAAATGCAGAACTCTTAAGAAAAATATTGGCTAATCTAATCCAGTAGTGCATTAAAAAAGTAAAGCGTCATAATATAGTGGAGTTTAACCTAGGATTCTTTCAGTGTAATGCACCCCATTAATAGATTAAAGGAAAAGAATTATGATTATCTCAGTCAGTTAAGAAAAGGCATTTAATAAAGTTTAATGCTATTTATTTAAAAGTTCTTAGAAGCTGTTATTAGAAAAGAGCTTCCATGTTTGGTAAAACCTACAGCAACCCTTGTAGTTAATGAAGAAACTTTATATGCATTCCTTTAAAATTAGAGCAAGACAAAGATGCTTACTATTACACTATTAACAATGTTATTAGTGTGTCAGTAGCTGTCATTATTTTTAGATAGAAAATCAGATTTCTGATCCTCTACCTAGAAAATGTATGAGAACAAACTATTTTTACTAATAAGATGACTCAGTTAGGTTTTCAAATATAAGATTAGCCTATAAAAATCAATAGCATTTATTTTCATCAGCAAAAAACAACTAAAAAGTAAAATTTTTTAGAAATTGTGCTTTCTACCTTTCTTCTCCCCCCTCCCATTCCTTCTTCTTTTCTCTTGCCTTTCCTTTCTCCTTCCCTCCCTTCTTTCCTTCTTTCTTTCCTTGTCCAGGCACCATTAAACAGGCTCAGGGAGAGAAGTAATGGCAGCCAAATAGAAGCTGGGCCTTATGCTTATAAACATTGAGTTTAAATGAGGTAGTATAGGTGGCCTAGTGAAGTCAGGATATTGTTTATCCTCAGAAGACAAAGCAAATAAGTAAATCTATTGAGGGTAATGGTAGCCAAGTTTTTCACAGATATAGAAGTGAGTACAAATATGGAAAAGGAGAAAGCTAGAATGAATCATATGGTTTTGGATGAATTTAAGCTAATGATGCTTATCTTTTTATAAATACTAAAATAACAGTTGGAAATGTGGGTATACGTCTATGTGTATATGAGGGGAGGAGTTAGGAATGCATACATATATTTCCTGGCTCTGTTCTGAGAGAGTCTGGCAACAGAGACACCCTATAGCAATGAGCATGTCTAGTGTCCAGATCTTGGTTTCTAAATATGAGTCTACTAAAAGGAACTAAGAATTCTTGAAGAAATGGCTAGCAGCAGGAGTAGGGCAAGGAAAATATAAGAAGGGCTTGAACATCTTTTTATTTCAGAAAGTACAGAAGTACTTAAAGAATCAATGAACTCTAGTTGGATTTTTAAAAACTGTGGTTAAATATATATAACATTAAACTTACTATTTTAACCATCCTTAAGTATACAGCTTAGTGGCATTACGTATATTTATATTGTTGTGCAAATGTCACCACCATACATCTCCATAACTTTTTCCATCTTCCCAAACTGAAACTTCCTATCTATTAAACGATAACTCCCGTTTCCCCCTGCCCCCAGCTCCTGGCAACCACCATGCTACCTTGTGTGTCTATGAATTTGGCTACCCTAAGTACTTAATATAAATGAAATCATACAGTATTTGTTCTTTTGTGACTTGCTGATTTAACATAATATTGTAGCATGTGTCGGAATTTCCTTCCTTTTTAAGGCTAAATAATATTCCATTGTATGTATATACCATGTTTTGTTTACCCGTTCATCTGTCAGTGGACACTTTGGGTTGCTGTCACCTTTTGCTTATTGTAAATAATGCTGCTATGAACATGAGTATGCAAACATCTCTTCAAGCTCCTGCTTTCAGTTATTCTGAGTATACAGCCAAAAGTAGAATTGCTGGATCTTATGGTAATTATCCTTTTAATTTTTTGAGGAACTGTTATACTGTCTTGCGTAGTAGCTGCATCATTTTACATTCCCACCAGCACAAGGGTTTCAGTTTCTCCATATCCTCACCAACGCTTGATTTTTTTTTTTAATAGTAGCCATCCTAATGTATGTGAACCGGATATCACATTGTGGTTTTGATTTGCATCTCCCTAACGGGAGTGGTGTTGAGCATCTTTTTGGTTAGTGACAGTATGAGCAAGCTGCAAGAGTACCTGACCCTACATTGACCTCTGAGCATAAGCATAGATGCCGCTTCACTTCCACCTTCCAATCACAAAGTGACACTAACAGCACCATACAGAGAAAGGAACTAGAGGTAATGTAGTACCAGCTTAGCTAAATTGACAGTATATAGTCACCACACCCTTCTTCCCCATCAGCATCTAATTTAACCTAAAAGACCTGTGAGGTTGTGAACTCAGTGTGTCTTGTTAGCTGAGTCAGCTAAAAGATTAGACTTTGTATATTATATTTAGACATCTCAGCACTGCAGCTGCTATATCTTACTTGATTTATCTTTTAGAGCGGTCATAGACATTTTTCTGTTCCCTTACCTGAAACTCGTGATAGGAATCTAAAGCCTGAGCTCATTGTGATCTTTCTCCAAATTCTCTAGCACACTTTAAAACAATGGACTAACCCCATTGTTCTTATTTGAACTAAAATATTTTATGGCAGTAACTATTTGGTTATCTATAGGCACTTGATTATAGTTGTCCATAGGTGATAATTTATTTAATTAATTGTTTTGCCATTGCATGCCATGGACTACCAGTTTCTCATTAACCGCTGGCAAAAAACTTATTAATGCTTTTCAATCTAATTAGATCAAATAACTAATTCTAGATTCCAGTCCTTAAGTTTCATTTCTCCTAAAACAACTTTTGTTACAGGTTAGGAAATTCCTTAAGTAATACTCTTTATTTTCTGCAAGTCTTTATTATACTTATCCCAGTTATATCTGTCTAAGTGTATAGAAAAGACTCACAGTAATTTCCAAATATTCTGGATAATTGCTTTTGCAAGTAGAATTTAAAATAGTATCTTACCTAGTTATATCAAATTGTATTAAGTGTTTGTTATACATATATAAGTGTTTGTTAATAGAAACATAGGCCAGGTGCAGTGGCTCAAGCCTGTAATCCCAGTACTCTGGGAGGCCGAGGCGGGCGGATTACCTGAGGTCCGGAGTTCGAGACCAGCCTTACCAACATGGAGAAACTCCATCTTTATTAAAAATACAAAATTAGCCAGGCATGGTGGCGCATGCCTGTAATCCCAGCTACTCGGGAGGCTGAAGCAGGAGAATCACTTGAACCTGGGAGGCAGAGTTTGCCATGAGCCGAGATCGCACCACTGCACTCCAGCCTGGGCGACAAAAGTGAAACTCCATCTCAAAAAAAAAAAAAAGAAAGAAAGAAAGAAAAAAAGAAATATAATAGCCTGTCAGCAGTTGTAGATTTGGCATTTTTTTCCCCAATTTTTATTTCAGGTTCAGGGGGTGCATGTGCAGACTTGTTATGTGGTTAACTTGTGTGTTGCTAGATTTTGTATGATAATGGCCTCCAGCTCCATCCATGTTGTTACAAAGGACGTGATTTCATTTTTGTATGGCTGCTTAGTATTCCATGGTGTATGTGTACCACATTTTCTTTATCCAGTCAACCATTGATGGGCATCTCAGTTGATTCCATGTCTTTGCTGTTGTGAATAGTGCTGCAATGAACATACAGGTATACTTGTCTTTTTGGTAGAACGATTTATATTCCTTTGGGTATATACCTAGAAATGGAATTGCTGGGTTGAATGGTGGTTCTGTTTTAAGTTCTTTGAGAAATCTCTTACTGCTTTCTACTGTGGCTGAGCTAATTTACATTCCCACCAGCAAAGTATAAGCATTCCCTTTTCTCCACAACCTCACCAACATCTGTTTTTTTTTTAACTTTTTAATAATAGTCCACTCTGACTCGTGTGAGATGGTATCTCATTGTGGTTTTGATTTGCATTTCTCTAATGATTAGTGATGTTGAACATTTTTTATATACTTGTTGGCCATGTATATGTCTTCTTTTGAGAAGTGTCTGTTCATGTCCTTTGCCCATTTTTTATTATTTGGGTTTGCTTGTTGGTTTAAGTCTCTTTTAGATTCTCAATATTAGACCTTTGTCAGATGCATAGTTTGTTAATATTTTTTCCCATTCTTTAGGTTGTCTGTTTACTCTTTAGATAGTTTCTTTTGCTGTGCCAAAGCTGTTTATTTAGATCCCACTTGTCTATTTTTTATTTTGTTGCACCTGCTTTTGGAGAATTCACCATGAAACTTCTGCCAAGGCTTGTGTCCAGAATGGTATTTCCTAGATTTTCTTCTAGGGTTTTTATAGTTTTAGGTCTTACATTTAAGTCACCAATCCATTTTGAGTTTATTTTTGTATATAGTGAAAGGAAGGGGTCCAGTTTCAATATTCTGCAAATGGCTAGCCAGTTATCCTAGCACCGTTTATTGAATAGGAAGTCCTTTCTTCATTGCTTCTTACTCTTGACTTTATTGAAGATCAGATGGTTGTAGATGTGTGGCTTTATTTCTGGGTTCTCTAACCTGTCTCATTGGCCTATGTGTCTGTTTTTGTACCAGTGCCATCCTGATTTTGGTTACCATAGTTTTGTGGTATAGTTTGAAGTTAGGTAGTGTGATGCCTCCGGCTTTGTTTGCTTTGGATGTTTGGCCTTTTTTTTGGTCCCATATGAATTTTATTTTTTTGAGATAGAATCTTGGCTCTGTCACTCAGGCTGGAGTGCAGTGGTGCAATCATGGCCCACTGCATCCTCAACCTCCTGGGCTCAAGTGATCCTCCTGCTTCAGCCTCCCATGTAACTGGAACCACAAGCATGTGCCACCACACTTGGCTAATTTTTTATTTTTTGTAGAGACAGGGTCTCACTTTGTTGCCCAAGTTGGTCTCAAACTCTTGGCCTCAAGCATTCCTCCTGCATCAGCCTCCCAAAATGGTGGGATTACAGGCATGAGCTCCCACTCCTGGCACCACATGAATTCTAGGGTCATTTTTTCTAATTCTGTGAAAAATAACATTGGTAGTTTGATAGGAATAGCATTGAACCTGTAAATTGCTGGGCAGTATGGCCATTTTAATGGTATTGATTCTTCGAATCCTTGAACATGGACTGTTTTTTCCATTTATTTGTGTCATCTCTGATTTCTTTGAGCAGTATTTGGTAATTCTCACTGCAGAGATTTTTTCACCTCCCAGGTTATCTGTATTCCTAGGTATTTCACTCTTTTGTGAAAATTTGATATTATATGTGTTTGACTATTTGAAAATATCCATAATATGTAGTAATGTGTGTTTTTGCTAGTCAAACACGAGTGTGTAAACCTTGCTAATCACTACCCATTCTGCATCTCAACTTGGTATTGTTTTCTAGTAGTCATTGTATGACCTGTGAAATGAAATCTGTAGTATTTATTAATATATGTTATGTTTAAAGAACAATAGTAAAATATATCTGTGTGCCCACCACCCAGTTTAAGAAATAGAACATGAACATTGAAGTCCTTCAGAGCTATACTGCAACTGCTTTCACTCTTCCTCTCCTTTAGAACCACTGTCCTGAATTTGGTTTAATCATTTCTTTGCTTTTTCCTACAGTTTTACCCAATAAGGATGTACTCTTAAAATATAATTCAGTTTAGTTTTGCCTGATTTTGACCTTCTTGTGATTGGAATCATCCTGTTTATTCACTGATAAAATAAGTATTCATTGAGCAGCAGCTTATGATATTCATACATGTTGCTTCATGTAGTTACGGCTTATTTATTTTCACTGATGTTTAAGCCCATTCTGCTATTGAAGGATATTTCATTGCCCTGGCAATGAAAACGGTGTTGTAACTAAACACAGTGTTGTAATGACCATTCCTAATAGATGTCTCCTGATGCACTTGTGCAAGAGCTTCTCTTGGATAAATACATAGGAATGAAATCAGAGTCAAGAGTATGTGCAACTTCAGCTGTGTTAGATTATAACAAATTATTTTCCAAAATGGTATTACAAATTTATACTCTGACAGCAATATATGAGAGTTTCTATTGCCTCACATCCTTGCCAACTTTTAGTATTAAAAATTCTGAATTCTTAAATTCTACCAGTCCAGTGATTATAAAAGGACATATCATTGTAATTATCATTTGCATTTCCCTGATGACTAATAAGTGGAACAATTTTTCATGTTCATTGGCTTTGCATGTTTTCTGTGTAAGGAAATGCCTTTTGCTTCTTTTGCCCTTTTTTCTTTCGCATTGTTTCTTTTTTTTCTCATTGATTTATGGGAGTTTTTAGTATGTTCTGAATACCAGTCCTTTGATACTTATACATGCAGCTGGTATTTCTTCCTAGTTTGTGGTTGTCTTTTCTCTGTCTTTCTGATGTCTTTTGGCAAATATGTTTGTAATTTTAATGTCATCAACTTCGTTAATCATTTCCTTGATGTTTTGACACTTTTTGTGTCTTGTGTAAGAAATCCTTCACTATCATGAGGCCATAAAAATATTCTCATACTCTCTTAAAATGTTTAGTTATTTTACCTTTCCTATTTAAGTCCTTAATCTATCTGAAATTGATTTTTGTGAATTGTGTGAGGTAGAGATCCAGTTAATTTTTTGCAAATGAATAACCAATTGCCCCAGAAGAATTTATTTCATACTGTGTCTTTTCACCACTGATTTGCAATAACCCCTTTTTTATATATCAGATTTCTATAAATATGTGACTCCATTCAGGATTTCTATTCAGTTCATTCGCCTATTTATGTAAGAGCATCACAATCTTTCTTTCTCTTTCTTTCTTTCTTTCTTTCTTTCTTTCTTCCTCTTTCTTTTTCCTTCTTTCCTTCCTTCGTTCCTTCCTTCTTTCTTTCTTTCTTTCTTTCTTTCTTTCTTTCTTTCTCTCTCTCTCTTTCTTTTCTTTTCTTTCTTTCTTCCTTTCTTCCTTTCTTTCTTTGTTTTTTTTGAGACAGGGTCTTACTCTCTTACTCTGTCGCCCAGGCTTCAGTGCAGTGATGTGACCATGGCTCACTGTAGCCTCTGCCTCCTGGGCTCAGGTGATCCTCTCACCTCAACCTCCCTGGTAGCTGGGTCTACAGGTGCACGCCACCATGCCTGGCTAATTTTTTGTATTTTTAGTAGAGACAGGATTTTACCATGTTGCCCATCACATAGTCTTAATTAAAGTTTTATAATAAATTTTAATATCTACCAGGGCAAGCCCCCATGCTGTATCTTCCTAAGAAATGTCTTCTGTATTCTTTCCCCTTGTGTTTCCATATCATTTTAGAATAACCTTATTCACTTCCATGAGAGCCTCTACTGGAACTTAAATTAAGATTACATTGAATCCATAGATTAATGTAGGAAGAATTGACATTTTGCAAGTTTTCGTATCTATAAACATAGTATTGTACATCTAGATCTTTAATGTCTTTCATAACACTGTATGGGCTGGGCACAGTAGCTCATGCCTGTAGTCCCAGCACCTTGGGAGGCCTAGGCAGGAAGATTGCTTGAGCCCAGCTTGGACAACATGGCGAAACCCTGTCTCACAAAAAATACAAAAATCAGCCAGCCATGGTAGCACACACCTGTAGCCCCAGCTACATGAGAGGCTGAGATGGGAGAATCACTTGAGCCCACTCGAGGGTGCAGTGAGCCGTGATTGTGCCACCGCACTCCAGCCCAGGTGACAGTACGAGACCCTGCCTCAAAAAATACATGTATGATTTTTCTCCATGAAGGTCTCATACATATTTTGTTAAATTTATTGTTAGGTGCCCTGTTTTGTTGTTGTTACTGTAAATGCTGTCTTTTAAAATTGCATTTTCTAATTGCTTTTTTTAAAATATATAGAAATACAGTAAACTTATCTATTAATATTGCAAACTTCCTTAATTTTAGTAATTTGCCACATATTCTTTTCTGTTTTCTATGTTGGCAATCATATCATCCAGTAATAGGAATGGTTTTTACCTCACTTTCTAAACGTTATATATATATTTTTTTTCTTTCTTATTTTCTGGCAAGGACCTATAGTATAACATTAAATAGAAGTGACAGTAAGTGCCTTTCTTTTAAAGTTTAATCATTAAGCTTTATCTGTGCTAGAAGTTTTGGTAGATATTTGCTATCAGGTTATTAAGTCCATTTCCATTCCTGGTTTAAGAGTTTTTGTCATAATAGGTGTCAGTTTTATGAAATGCTTTTTGTACAGCTCTATCTCATTCTTAATGTGCAATTATTTTTATGATTGAAATCAGTTTATAATTTCTCAAATACTCCTTGGCTGGTATTGGAGCTAAGTTATACTAACGTCAAAAAATGAAATAGGGAGTATTCCTCTGTATCTCTTCTCTGAAACACTTTATGTTAGAGTGAAATCGTGTGTTCCTTGAAAGTTTGTTAAAACTCACCAGTAAAGCCACCTTAACCTAATGTTTTCTTTGGGATAATTTTTTTTTTTTTATTTTTACTGAAGAGACAGGGTCTTGCTCCATTGCCCAGGCTGGGGCTGGCACGCAGGGGTGGGAATCATAGCTTACTGCAGCCTCAAACTTATGGGCTCAAGTGATCCTCCCACCTCACTCTCCTGTGTAGCTGGGACCACAGGCATGCGCCACCATGCACAGCTAATTTATTTTTTTATTTTTTTGTAGAGACAGGGTCTCGCTTTATTGCTCAGGCTGGTTTTGAACTCTCAAGCAACTCTCCCACCTTGGCCTCCCAAAGTGCTGGGATTACAGGCATGAGCCACCACATCCAGCCTTTGGGAGAATATTTTTAATTTCTAATTATAGTCTCTTCAGGTTTTCAGCTTTTCTTGAGTTCATTTTGGTAATTATTTCCTAAGAACATGTCTACTGATTAGTGGCTTTTTTCTTTTTTAAAATTAGTTTTGTCCATTTTATTAGTCTATAAACTCTTTGCCTTTGTATCTTTGCTTTCTGTCTAATTAATTTCTTTTCTATCTTTATTATTTCCATTCATCTAAGTTTTTCACTTGTTCTATTATTTTTTACTTCTTGGGCTGCAGGTTTAAGAGGTTCCCAAATTTTCTGAGTTCACAATGAGTCCTTAGTATCTCAGCAATATTTTCTTGGTGCCCCCTGGGCCAAACCAAATACCTGACAGCTTCATTTAGTAAATCTTTCAGGCCAAGTAATGTGTATTATATTCCTACAACTTAATAGCTATTTGGGAAAAAATATACACTTAAATTTTTTCAAAAATAGTAATATTTTTATTTCATTTAAAAATAACTACAACTGCTTACTAATGGTATACGTGCTCCTGTTGGGTACTACACAGCTGCTCAGACTTTGGTATTAGACTGGCTGCACCACCACCATTTCTATCTTTTAGCATAGTATGTACTTTAAAAAAAATTTTTTTTTGAGGCAGAGTCTCGCTGTGTTGCCCAGGCTGGAGTGCAGTGGCGCGATCTTGGCTCACTGCAAGCTCCGCCTCCCAGGTTCACACCATTCTCCTGCCTCAGCCTCCCAAGTAGCTGGGACTACAGGTGCCCGCCACCATGCCCGGCTAATTTTTTTTGTATTTTTAGTACAGACGGGGTTTCACCGTGTTAGCCAGGATGGTCTCGATCTCTTGACCTCGTGATCCGCCTGCCTCAGCCTTCCAAAGTGCTGGGATTACAGGCGTGAGCCACCGCGCCCGGCCTTAGCATAGTGTGTACTTTTTAATCACAGCAACCACTCAATACCCAGCTTTGCAAAGACACAATATCATTAATAGTAATGTGGCATGATCTAATGTTGAAACCGAATTACTTCAAGCATATAATATCAAGAGATTCAGTGTCAATATACATTCAAAAATGCTGTGTTTCCCCTGAAAATTAAAAATATATGACATCACTCTTGACATTTCCACATAGCACCTAGGATGACTTACTCCACAGTTTAGGAGCGAGGCTTTCAGACATTCTTTTTAATTATTACTTAATATTTCATGGTGCAGGCCAGCTTTTTTCCCCTTTGAACAAAATTTCAACAAACATCCTTGTATATACGTCTTTATTTACTGATACCTGTAGTTAATAAGTATTGGCAGGTTGCTGTCCAAAGGGCTATGTTTCATATCTCCACCAGCAGTTTTTCAGAGTATCTCCTTTCCCATATCCTTACCAACAACAGATTCAGTTGCTCTTGTAAATGTTGTTTGTTATATGGGCAAAAAAGGTGGTAAAAGTACATATAAAGAACTTGTTTGGTTTGCTTCTGATCCCCAGCACCTGAAATAGGGCCTCACCCATGAAAAGTTTCAGTAAATATTTGTTGAGTGAATGGATGCAGGAATCAGTCAACTAACTTATGTTATTGTTACTTCAATTTGTAGTCCCTGCAGTATTAATTGAATTTGAGCATTATTTTAAATGCATGTTTAGGCCGGGCGCAGTGGCTCACGCCTGTAATACCAGCACTTTGGGAGGCTAAGGTGGGCGGATCACAAGGTCCGGAGATCAACACCAGCCTGGCCAAGGTGGTGAAACCCCGTCTCTACTTAAAATAGAAAAAAATTAGCCGGGCGTGGTGGCAGGTGCCTGTAATCCCAGCTACTTGGAAGGCTGAGGCAGGAGACTCGCTTGAACCTTGGAGGCAGAGGTTGCAGTGAGCCGAGATCGCACCACTGCACTCCAGCCTAGGCGACAGTGAGACTCTGTCTCAAAAAGTAAAATAAAATAAATAAAATAAAATAAAATAAAGAAATAAAGCATGCTTGTTTGGCTTTTCTATTTTTCTTTGACTTGCTTATGTATACTTTTTGCCTTTTTTTCTTTTGGGTTAACTTTTTCTTGACATTTTGTAAGAGCACTTTAGTTTAGATATTGCCCTTTACAATTTTTTCCCAAATACATTATTTATCTGTTGACTTTGTGTTTTAACTTTTGCCATAGAAAAACTTTTAATTATATTTGCTCATTTTGGCTAGCCTTTTTTTTAATAACCTCTATATTTTCAGTCTGTTTAGAACATTTTCTTCATCAAGATATATATGTTGTCTAAATTTTCTTGCAAGATTCTTATTGCAGCTGGAATTTATAACTATACAGTATATTAGAAATATCCAGTTTTATTTTCTTCTGAAAGAATGGCCAGTTATTCTGGCAAAATTTATTAAATAATTTGTCATTTTCCTACTAAATTGAACTATAATATTTGTCATGTATTGGATTTTTATACATACTGGGATTTATTTCTGGATTGTTATTCTAATCCATGGATATTTATTTCTAAACGAATACCATATTTATTTGATAAAAGGACATTATGTTCCAAAAGCAAATTATCCTACATTGATTTTTTTTTTTTGTACTTTTTAAGCCATTCCTGGGCATTGATTATTTAATATAAACATTAAGACAATACTGTTCAGTTCCCCGAAAAAAAAATCCACTGGAATTGAGAGTGCAAACCATTTGGAATTGCATTCCATTTATATGTTAATTTTGGAAATTTAATATTATCTTTTTTTTTTCTTTTTTTTTTCTGAGACGGAGTCTCGCTGTGTCGCCCAGGCTGGAGTGCAGTGGCTGGATCTCAGCTCACTGCAAGCTCCACCTGCCGGGTTCTCACCATTCTCCTGCCACAGCCTCTTGAGTAGCTGGGACTAGAGGCGCCCGCCACCACGCCCGGCTAATTTTTTGTATTTTTAGTGGAGACGGGGTTTCACTGTGTTAACCAGGATGGTCTCGATCTCCTGACCGCGTGATCCGCCCGCCTTGGCCCCCAAAGTGCTGGGATTACAAGTGTGAGCTACCGTGCCCGACCCTGAAAATTTAATATTTTCTTATAAGTCTTCCCATCTAATAACATCCAGTTTTCAATTTTTTGTGTGCCTTTCAGTAGCTTTTAAGGTTTTCTTACAAGTTTTTTGGTTTATTAGATGTATTCTTTAGCATGTTATAGTTTATACTGATATTGTGAGTGAAGTATTTTTCTGTTTCCATTTTCAGTTGCTTTTTTGCTATAATAAATCAAAACTATTGCTTTTACATACTTATTTAATACCTATCCATTTTACCGAATTCTCTTATTAATTTCAGTTTTTTATTAGTTTCTTGGGTTTTCTAGACATGCAATAATACCAATTCAAAAGAAAGTTTTATATCTTTTTTGCCCGTTTTTATACAATTTATTTATTTCATCTTCTTGTCATATTGTATTCTCCAGAACCTCCAAGACAATGTTAAATAAAAATCTGATAAAAATTATCACTGTCTTAATCCTAATAAAAATGGTTAGTGTTTTGTTATTTAGGATAATTATTTTTTATTTGGCTTTAGTAAATAATTTTTATTATCTTGAACTAGTTTTCTTCTGTTCCCATTTTGCTTGTTATTTGTATTGGCTGATAAATATTTTTCAATTGCTTTTCAGCACTTATTATAATGTTTTTCTCTTCCTTAGTGTCCTGATTTAATAGATGAAATTGATAAATTTTTTTCATTGATCCATGATTGCATTCCTTTATGCTTCCCACAAAACTTTATCTTTTCTCTGTGGAAGCTTGTAGGATCTTCCCTTTGACCCCAGTCTTCAGAAATGTTATAGTGATGTCCGCTGATGTCATTGGGGTATTTGCATATATTGTGCTGAATATGTGTCAAACCCTTTTAATCTGGAAGCTTTTGTCCTTAAATTCTGGGCAATTTTCTTTAATCTTCCTTCTTTTTCTCATTTTGCTCTTCTGGGATTTATACTATTCAGATGTTGGCCCTTCCTATACTTTGAGTATGTTCCTCAGAATTCATGTGTTAGAAATTTGGCCCCTGATGTGTTGGTGTTGGGAGGTGGGACCTTTAAGAGATGATTAGGTCATTGACAGTGATTAATGCCACTCTTTCTTAACTGAGTTAATCCTCAAGGGAGTAAAGGAGTTCTTGCTCTCATGTGCCATGTTGGTTTGCTGCAACTATGAACTTGTCATTTACATTAGGTATTTCTCCTAATGCTATCCCTACCCCAGACCCCCACCCCTGACAGGCCCCAGTGTGTGATGTTCCCTGCCCTGTGTCCAAATGTTCTCATTGTTCAATTCCCACCTATGAGTGAGAACATGCAGTGTTTGGTTTTCTGTCTTTGTGATAGTTTGCTGAGAAGATGGTTTCCAGCCTCATCCATATCCCTGCATAGGACATGAACTCATCCTTTTTTATGGCTGCATAGTATTCCATGGTGTATATGTGCCACATTTTCTTAATCCAGTCTATCATTGATGGACATTTGGGTTGGTTCCAAGTCTTTGCTATTGTGAATAGTGCTGCAATAAACATACATGTGCATGTGTCTTTATAGTAGCATGATTTATAATCCTTTGGGTATATACCCAGTAATGGGATTGCTGGGTGAAATGCTATTTCCAGTTCTAGATCCTTGAGGAATTGCCACCCTGTCTTCCACAATGGTTGAACTCATTTACAGTCCCACCAACAGTGTAAAAGCATTCCTATTTCTCCACATCCGCTCCAGCATCTGTTGTTTCCTGACTTTTTAAAGATCACCATTCTAACTGGTGTGAGATGGTATCTCATTGTGGTTTTGATTTGCGTTTCTCTGATGACCAATGATGATGAGCATTCTTTCATAAGTCTGTTGGCTGCATAAACGTCTTCTTTTGAGAAGTGTCTGTTGATATACTTCACCCACTTTTTGATGGAGTTGTTTTTTTCTTGTAAATTTGTTTGAGTTCTTTGTAGATTCTGGATATTAGCCCTTTGTCAGATGGGTAGATTGCAAAATTTTTCTCCCATTCTGTAGATTGCCTATTCACTCTGATGGTAGTTTCTTTTGCTGTGCAGTAGCTCTTTAGTTTAATTAGATCCCATTTGTCTATTTTGGTTTTGTTGCCATTGCTTTTGGTGTTTTAGTCATGAAGTCCTTACCAATGCCTGTGTCCTGAATGGTATTGCCTAGGTTTTCTTCTAGGGTTTTTATGGTTTTAGGTCTAACATTTAAGTCTTTAATCCATCTTGAATTAATTTCTATATAAGGTGTAAGGAAGTGATCCAGTTTCAGCTTTCTACATATGGCTAGTCAGTTTTCCCAGCACCATTTATTAAATAGGGAATCCTTTCCCCATCTGTTGTTTTTGTCAGGTTTGTCAAAGATCAGATGGTTGTAGATGTGTGGTGATATTTCTGAGGCCTCTGTTCTGTTCCATTGGTCTATATATCTGTTTTGATACCAGTACCATGCTGTTTTGGTTACTGTAGCCTTGTAGTATAGTTTGAAGTCAGGTACCATGATGCCTCCAGCTTTCTTCTTTTTGTTTAGAATTATCTTGGCAATGTGGGCTCCTTTTTTGGTTCCATATGAACTTTAAAGTAGTTTTTTTCAAATTCTGTGAAGAAAGTTATTGGTAGCTTGATGGGGATGGCATTGAATATATAAATTACCTTGGGCAGTATGGCCATTTTCACGGTATTGGTTCTTCCTATCCATGAGCATGGAATGTTCTTCCATTTCTTTGTGTCCTCTTTTATTTCGTTGAGCAATGGTTTCTAGTTCCTCTTGAAGAGGTCCTTCACATCCCTTGTAAGTTGGATTCCTAGGTATTTTATTCTCTTAGTAGCAATTGTGAATGGGAGTTCACTCATGATTTGGCTCTCCGTTTGTCTGTTATTGGTGTAAGAATGCTTGTGATTTTTGCGCATCGATTTTGTATCCTGAGACACTGCTGAAGCTGCTTATCAGCTTAAGGAGATTTTGGGCTGAGACGATGGGGTTTTCTAAATATACAATCATGTCATCTGCAAACAGGGACAATTTCACTTCCTCTTTTCCTAATTTAATACCTTTTATTTCTTTCTCTTCCCTGACTGCCCTGGTGAGAACTTCCAACATTAAGTTGAATAGCAGTTGTGAGAAAGGGCATCCTTGTCTTGTGCCAGTTTTCAAAGGGAATGCTTCCAGTTTTTGCCCATTCAGTATGATATTGGCTGTGGGTTTGTCATAAATAGCTCTTATTATTTTGAGGTACGTTCCGTCAATACCTTGTTTATCGAGAGTTTTTAGCATGAAGGGCTGTTGAATTTTGTCAAAGGCCTTTTCTGCATCTGTTGAGATAATCATGTCTTTTTGTTGTTGGTTCTGTTTATGTGATAGATTACATTTATTGATTTGCGTATGTTGAACCAGCCTTGCACCCCAGGGATGAAGCCGACTTGATCGTGGTGGATAAGCTTTTTGATGTGCTGCTGGATTCGGTTTGCCATTATTTTATTGAGGATTTTCACATTGATGTTCATCAGGGATATTGATCTAAAATTCTCTTTTTCTGTTGTGTCTTTGCCAGGCTTTGGTATCAGGATGATGTTGGCCTCATAAAATGAGTTAGGGAGGATTCCCTCTTTTTCTATTGATTGGAAGAGTTTCAGAAGGAATGGTACCAGCTCCTCTTTGTACCTCTGGTAGAATTCGGTTGTGAATCCGTCTGCTTCTGGACTTTTTTTGTTGTTGGTAGGCTATTATTGCCTCAATTTCAGAGCCTGTTACTGGTCTATTCAGAGATTCAACTTCTTCCAGGTTTAGTCTTGGGAGGGTGTATGTGTCCAGGAATTTATCCATTTCTTCTAGATTTTCTAGTTTATTTGAGCAGAGGTGTTTATAGTATTCTCTGATGGTAGTTTGTATTTCTGTGGGATCGGTGGTGATATCCCCTTTATCATTTTTTATGTTTTATTTTTATTTATTTATTTTTGAGACAGTCTCGCTCTGTCACCCAGGCTAGAGTGCCATGGCACAATCTCAGCTCACTGCAAGCTCCGCCTCCCAGGTTCATGCCATTCTCCTACCTCAGCCTCCCGAGTAGCATTTTTTTATTGCATCTGTTTGATTCTTCTCTCTTTTCTTCTTTATTAGTCTTGCTAGCAGTCTATCAATTTTGTTGATCTTTTCAAAAAACCAGCCCCTGGATTCATTGATTTTTTTGAAAGGTTTTTTGTGTCTCTATCTCTTTCAGTTCTGCTCTGATCTTAGTTATTTCTTGCCTTCTGCTAGCTTTTGAATTTGTTTGCTCTTGCTTCTTTAGTTCTTTTGATTGTGATGTTAGGATGCTGATTTTGGATCTTCCCTGCTTTCTCTTGTGGGCATTTAGTGCTGTAAATTTCCCTCTACACACTGCTTTAAATGCGCCCCAGAGATTCTGATACGTTGTGTCTTTGGTCTCATTAGTTTCAAAAAACATCTTTATTTCTGCCTTCATTTCGTTATGTACCCAGTAGTCATTCAGGAGCACTTTGTTCAGTTTCCATGTAGTTGAGCGGTTTTGAGTGAGTTTCTTAATCTTGAGTTCTAATTTGATTGCACTGTGGTCTGAGACACAGTTTGTTGTGATTTCTGTTCTTTTACATTTGCTGAGGCATGCTTTACTTCCAATTATGTGGTCAATTTTGGAATAAGTGTGATGTGGTGCTGAGAAGAATGTATATTCTGTTGATTTGGGGTGGAGAGTTCTGTAGATGTCCATTAGGTCCACTTGGTCCAGAGCTGAGTTCAAGTCCTGGATATCCTTGTTAACCTTCTGTCTCGTTGATCTGTGTAATATAGACAGTGGGGTGTTGAAGTCTCCCATTATTATTGTGTAGGAGTCTAAGTCTCTTTGTAGGTCTCTCAGGACTTGCTTTATGAATCTGGGTGCTCCTGTATTGGGTGCATCTATATTTAGGATAGTTAGCTCTTCTTGTTGAATTGATCTGTTTACCATTATGTAATGGCCTTCTTTGTCTCTTTTGATCTTTGTTGGTTTAAAGTCTGTTTTATCAGAGACTAGGATTGAGGATTGCAACACCTGTTTTTTTTTTTTTTTTTTTTTTTTTTTTTTGCTTTTCGTTTGCTTGGTAGATCTCCCTCCATCCCTTTATTTTGAGCCTATGTGTGTCTCTTCATGTGAGATGGGTCTCCTGAATAGAGCACACCGATGGGTCTTGACTCTTTATTCAATTTGCCAGTCTGTATCTTTTAATTGGGGCATTTAGCCCATTTAAATTTAAGGTTAATATTGTTATGTGTGAATTTGATCCTATCATTATGATGCTAGCTGGTTATTTTGCCCATTAATTGATGCAGTTTCTTTGTAACATTGATGGTCTTTACAATTTGACATGTTTTTGCAGTGGCTGGTACTGGTTGTTCCTTTCCATGTTTATGCTTCCTTCAGGAGCTCTTGTAAGGCAGGCCTGGTGGTGACAAAATCTCTCAGCATTTGCTTGTCTGTAAAGGATTTTATTTCTCCTTCATTTATGAAGCTTAGTTTGGCTGGATATGAAATTCTGGGTTGAAAATTATTTTCTTTAAGAAGGATGAATATTGGCCCCCTCTCTCTTCCGGCTTGTAGGGTTTCTGCCGAGAGATCCACTGTTAGTCTGATGGGCTTCCCTTTGTGGGTAACCTGACCTTTCTCTCTGGCTGCCCGTAACATTTTTTCCTTCATTTCAACCTTGATGAATCTGACAATTCTGTGTCTTGGGGTTGCTCTTCTCGAGGAGTATCTTTGTGGTGTTCTCTGTATTTCCTGAATTTGAATGTTGGCCTGCCTTGCTAGGTTGGGGAAGTTCTCCTGGATGATATCCTGAAGAGTGTTTTCCAACTTGGTTCCATTTTCCCCATCACTTTCAGGTACACCTATCAAATGTAGATTTGGTCTTTTCACCTAGTCCCGTATTTCTTGGAGGCTTCGTTTGTTGCTTTTTACTCTTTTTTCTCTAACCTTGTCTTCTCACTTTATTTCATTAATGTGATCTTCAATCACTGATACCCTTTCTTCCAGTTGATCGAATTGGGTATTGAAGCTTGTGCATGCGTCACGAAGTTCTCGTGCCATGGTTTTCAGCTCCATCAGGTCATTTAAGGTTTTCTCTATACTGTTTGTTCTAGTTAGCCATTCGTCTAACCTTTTTTCAAGTTTTTAGCTTCCTTGCGATGGGTTTGAACATGCTCCTTTAGCTTGGAGAAGTTTGTTATTACTGACCTTCTGAAGCCTACTTCTGTCAACTCATCAAAGTCATTCTCCATCCAGCTTTGTTCCATTGCTGGGGAGGAGCTGCGATCCTTTGGAGGAGAAGAGGTGCTCTGGTTTTTAGAATTTTCAGCTTTTCTGCTCTGGTTTCTCCCCATCTTTGTGGTTTTATCTACCTTTTGTCTTTGATGTTGGTGAACTACAGATGGGGTTTTGGTGTAGATGTCCTTTTTGTTGATGTTGGTGCTATTCCTTTCTGTTGTTTAGTTTTCCTTTTAACAGTCAGGTCCCTCAGCTGCAGGTGTGTTGGAGTTTGCTGGAGGTCCACTCCAGACCCTGTTTGCCTGAGTATCACCAGTGGAGGCTGCAGAACAGCAAATATTGCAGAACAGCAAATACTGCTGCCTGATCCTTCCTCTGAAAGCTTCGTCCCAGAGGGGCACCCATCTATATCAGGTGTCTGTCGATCCCTACTGGGAGGTGTCTCCCAGTTAGACTACACAGGGGTCAGGGACCCACTTGAGGAGGCAGTCTGTCCATTCTCAGAGCTCAGCCGCCATTCTGGAAGAACCACTGCTCTCTTCAGAGCTGTCAGACAGGGACTTCTAAGTCTGCAGAAGCTGTCTGCTGCGTTTTGTTCAGCTATGCCCTGCCCACAGAGGTGGAGTCCATAGAGGCAGTAGGCCTTGCTGAGCTGCAGTGGGCTCCGCCCAGTTCGAGCTTCCTGGTTTCTTTGTTTACCTACGCAAGCTGCAGCAATGGCAGATGCCCCTCCCCCAGCCAGGCTGCCACCTCAAAGTTCAATCTCAGACTGCTGTGCTAGCTTGCAGTGAGCAAGGCTCTGTGGACATGGGACCAGCCAAGCCTGGCATGGGAGAGAATCTTCTTGTCTGCCAGTTGCTAAGACCTTGGTAAAAGTGCAGTATTTGGGTGGGAGTGTCCCGTTTTTCCAGGTGCAGTCTGTCATGGCTTCCCTTTGCTGGGAAAGGGAAATCCCCCAATCTCTTGCTCTTCGCAGGTGAGGTGACACCCCACGCTGCTTCGGCTCACCCTCCGTGGGCTGCACCCACTGTCCAACCAGTCCCAATGAGATGAAACAGGTACCTCACTTGGAAATGCAGAAATCACCCGTCTTCTGCATCGATCACGCTGGGAGCTGCAGACCAGAGCTGTTCCTGTTCAGCCATCTTGAAACGGATCTCCCCAAGTTAATAACTTTTTAACATGTATAGACACCTTTGAAACTATCACAACAATCAAAATAATGAACCAATTTATTATCCCCAAAAGTTTCTTGTACTCTTTTGTACAAGAAAAGGGATACAAAGGATACTCTCCCCTCTTCTCAACACCCTGCCTCTATACCCATTCCCAGGTGACTGCTGATCTTTTCTCTGCCACTATAGATTAGGTTGCATTTTCTACATTTTATGTGAATGGAATCAAATATGTAATTTTTTTGGTCTGGCTTCTTTTACTCAGCATCATTATTTTGATGTATGTAGTATGCATCAATAGATCATTCCTTTTTAATGGTGAATAGTACTGTTATATATTGTATAAATATTAGGTTGGTAAAAAAGTAAATGCAGTTTTGGACCATGAATTTTAAATCATTATAACTAGGCTCAAACACATTTTTTTTCACCTGTTTGTACTTTTTTTAAAATTCTTTATATTAATTTCTGAGGTACATGTCCAGGATGTGCAGGTTTGTTACATAGGTAAACGTGTGCCATGGTTGTTTGCTGCACCTGTCAACCCATCACCTAGGTATTAAGCCCAGCATGCATCAGCTCTTTTCCGTAATGCTCTCCCACCCCCACCATCCCCCAACAGGCCCCAGTAAGTATTGTTCCCCTACCTGTGTCCATGGGAGCTGAACAATGAAAACACATCTTTATTAATCAGAATAGGAACCGTTACAATCAACACATTTTTGCCAGTTAATAATAAGTTTCTTTATTCCTGTAGCATAAATGTCTGTGCTTCAAGATTCAACGAACTCTTGGAAAGCATTTTCTGCATCCTGCTGGTTGTGGAAGCATTTTCCCTGCAAAAAGTTGTTGAGATGCTTGAAGTGGTAGTCAGTTGACCAGGGGTTGGGTGCATACGGTGGATGAGGCAGCACTTTGTAGCCCAATTTGTTCAACTTTTGAAGCATTGGTTGTGTGACATGCATTGTCATGGAGAAGAATTGGGCCCTTTCTGTTGACCAATGCCAGCTGCAGGCCTTGCAGTTTTCGGTTTATCTCATCGATTTGCCAACTATACTTCTGAGATGTAATGGTTTCGCCAGGATTCAGAAAGCTGTAGTGGATCAGACTGGCAGCAGACCACCAAACAGTGACCATGACCTTTTTTGGTTGCAAGTTTGGCTTTGGGAAGCGCTTTGGAGCTGCTTCTTGGTCCTACCCCTGAGCTGGTTGTCACTGGTTGTCATATAAAATCCACTTTTTGTGGCACATCACAATCCAATTGAGAAATGTTTCCTTGTTGCATAGAGTAAGAGAAGATGACACTTCAAAACGATGGTTTTTTTTTTTTTGTTTTTTGTTTTTTTTGGTTCAGCTCATGAGGCATCCACTTATCGAGCTTTTTCACCTTTCCAGTTTGCTTCAAATGCCAAATGACCATAGAATGGTCAATGGTGAGCTCTTCGGCACCTTCTCGTGTAGTTGTAAAAGGATGAGCTTTGATGATTGCTCCCACTTGGTTGTTGTCAACTTCTAATGGCTGGTCACTACACTCCTCATCTTCCTCTTCTCCTTTGCAAAACTTCTTGAACAAGCACTGCACTGTATGTTCATTAGCAGTTCCTGGGCCAAATGCATTGTTGATGTTGCAAGTTATCTCTGCTGCTTTATGACCCGTTTTGAACTCGAACAAGAAAATTGCTTGAATTTAATTTTTATCTAACATCATTTTCATAGTCTAAAACATGAAATGAACAGCAAGTAATAAGTCATTAACAAAAGAAAAATAAAGTGAGAAATGCCCATTAAAATGATGTATAAAACATAACCACATTTATTTAAGAACGTATTCCAGTATCAAACGGCAGATTCCAACAATGCAAATACCTCAGTTACTTTTGCTTATCCATTCACATGTTAATGAATATTTGATTCATTTCCAGCTGGGGCCTGGTACAAGTAAAACTGCTCTCAACATTCATGCATAAGTCTTTGATGGACATAATGCATTCATTTATCTAGTTTAAAATAACAGGAGTGTATTGGCTGGACCCTATAGTATGTGTACTTTTAACTTTTTAAGAAATGTCCAAGCTGTGTTTCAAGCAGCTCTATCATTTTACATTCCCACCATGAGTATATGAGAGTTCCAGTATTTCCACATCCTCTCCAACACTTCCTGTAGTCAGTCTTTCCATTTGAAGCCATCCTAATAGGTGTGTGGTTGTATCTCATGTGGTTTTAATTTGCACTTTCCTAATGACTGATGATATTGGACATCTTGATTTATACTTATTTACCATCTATATATCTTTGTTGATGTATGTTCAAATATTTTGCCCTTTTTAAATTGGGTTGTTTGTTTTCTTATTACCGAGTTTGGAAAAATTTTTATATTCTGAATACAAGTCCTTCTCAAATATATGATTTTCAGTTATTTTCAGATATTGTCTTATATTTTTATTCTCTGAACAGTGTCTTTTAAAGATCAGAAGCTTTTTATTTTGATAAAGTCCAGTTTATCAATTTTTTATTCATGAATAGATATGCACTTGGTATCATATCTAAGAAGTCTTCTCTAAACCCAAAGTGACAAAAATTTTCTCTCATTTTCTTTAAAAATGCTAAATGTTTAGGTTTCATATTTAGATCTCAGCTGTTTCTAGTTTATCTTTTTAATTTGGTATAAGGTATGGGACCAAGTTCATTTCTTTTACAAACAGATATAGAGTTGTTGTTGCATCATTTGTTTACTCACTGAATTGGCTTTGCACTTTTGTGAAAAATAGTATAGATTTAAGTGCAGACATTAGCTGTAGGGTTTTTTTGTAGATACTCTCTTATCTGTTTATGAAAGTGTCCTTTGATTCCTAGGATACTGAGGAATCAAATAATTGATGTGGTATTTTGTCAGATTTTTTTTCCGTATCTTTTAAGGTGATCAGATAGTTTTTCTCTTCAGTTTTTTAACAGGGTGAATTACATTGGTTGATTTGCTAATGTGAAACCAGCTTTCCATTCTAGTTGATCATGATGTATTTTTTATTTTTTTATTTAATTTTTTATTTTATTAGAGACAGAGGACTTGCTATCTTGCCCAGACTGACTCCAGTGATCCTCTTGCTTCAGCCTCCCAAATAGCTGGAACTATAGGCACATAGTACTGCATCCGGTTTAACTTGTCGGATTTGATTTGCTAATTTCTGTGTCTGGTTTTGGTAGCAGGGTATTGCTGGCCTCATAAAATCAGTTGGGAAGTGCATACTCCGGCTCAATTTTCCAGTAGAGTTTGTCTAGAATTGGTATTATTGCTTCCTTAAATATTTGGTGGAATTCATAAATAAAGATATCCAGGCCTAGATCTTTCTTTATGAGAAGGTTTTTAACTTCAAGTTCAATTATTTTGTAGATGTAATGTATTTGGGTTATTTATTTTGTAAGAGGTATTTAGCAATTGGTATCTTAAAAGGAATTTGTTCATTTTGTCAAAATTGTCCAATATATAGATATAACATGTTAATCCTAGTTCTTTATTATCTTTTTAATATCTATAGAATCTAGAATAATGTCATCTCTCTCATTCCTCATGGCAAAAATGTGTTGTCTCCCCTTTTTATCCTGTTCAGTCAAGCTAGAGAGTTATACATTTTATTAAATTTCTCAGAGAACCAGTTTCGGGTTTCATTGATTTTCTCTCTGTTGTTTTTATGTTGTCTATTATTGATTTCTACACGACATTTTATTTCCTTTCTTCTACTTACTTTATATTTAATTAGCTCTTTGTCCATTTTCTTAAGGTAGATGCTAATGTGATTGATTTGAAACCTTTCTTCTTTTCTAACACAGGTATTTAGTGCTAGAAATTTCTCACTAAATACCGCCTTATTAGCAGCCAACAAATTTTTATATAATATGTCTTCATTTTTATTCATTTTTAAATACTTTCTCATTTCCCTTTTGATTTCTTCTTTGAACGCTTAGGTTATTTAGAATTATGTTATGTAGTTTATATTATACTCTTTGCGTGGATCTTTCAGAGGTTTTTCTCTTAATGCTTTCTAACTTCTATCATGTTCAGATAACATGCTTTTAAATTCATTGGGAGATGTTTTATGGTCCAGTATATGGTCTATATTGGCAGCTATTCCTTATGCACTTGAAAAGAATGTGTGTTCTAATATAAGAATTTTGATTGGTATAGCATTATGAAATTTTAAGTAGGGGCCATCCTTTTGCTTTTTCCCTACTTAAGATTTTCAGTCTTTCCAATGGTAGTTTGTTAAAAGGAAAAAAAAAAAGACAATTTTTTTTATTCTTAAGGCTAAACTTCAATTTTGAATTCTCACCAGTGACAAAAAGGTTTGCAAGTTTCTAACAGCTACAGGAAAATCAAATACAGTCTACCCGAAATATTTTTCTACTTATGCAGTGTAGAAATGACCAAAGTTCAATGTGAAAAGGGAAAAAAACAAGGAGACTAAAACACTTTTATAAGTACAACTTAAGCCAGATTACAGATAGTCTGCAATGGAGACAGCCCAGTTTCATAACAAAATCAAAGGGGAAAGATCCACATATCAGTCTTTGAGGCTGTCTGACTTTGATACCCTTTGAAGTTCAAACTGTTCTCTCTTTTATCTATAACTAATTTCATGGAAAACGTTATCACGTTGGTTCCAAACCTTATTTTTTAGCCTGGGGAGACTGACATTTTTCAGTTGCCCTATAACAAGTTCAGTACCCTGATTTGATGTCCCCTGCCATAATTTTCTAAACAGTATTCTAAAAATAGCAGCCAAAAGCCTAAGGAAAGGGCAATTGTGGGAAGAAAAGAGATAGAAAATCACACTTTCTATAACTTTAGGACTATAAGACCTATATTTTAAGGGTATTGTAGTCTAATGTAGTCCAAAATCTTTATGTGACACATGTGGAACTAGATTCGACTAGGTGAAATGTGTCTAATTCAAACCAAGATGTGCTGTTAGTGTGACATATACATTGGCTTTTGAGGACTTAGTCCAGTAAAGGAATATAAAATATCTCATTAGTGGACGGGCACGGTGGCTCACGCCTATAATCCCAGCGCTTTGGGAGGCCCAGGTGGGCGGATCACCTGAGGTTGGAGTTTGAGACCAGCCTGACCAACATGGAGAAACTCTGTCTCTATTAAAAATTCAAAATTAGTCGGGCGTGGTGGCGCATGCCTGTAATCCCAGCTACTTGGGAGGCTGAGGCAGGAAAATCGCTTGAAGCCGGGAGGTGGAGGTTGCAGTGAGCCAAGATCACGCACCATTGCACTCCAAGAGCAAAACTCCATCTAAAAATATATATATATATATATCATTAGTGACTTTTACATTAATTTTAGGTTGAACTATCATATTTTAGATGTGTTTGGTTAGATAAAATATATTTAATTTTACCTGTTTCCTTTTACTATTTTAAATTAGGCTACCAGAAAATATTAAATTACACATATAGCTCACATCATACAGATCCTGCTTGACTTAAAATGGGGTTACATTCCTGATAAACTCTTTGTAAGTTAAAAATATCCTAAGTTGAAAGTGCAGTTAGGCCAGGTGCGGTGGCTCACGCCTGTAATTCCAACACTTTGAGAGGCTGAGGAGGGAGAACTGCTTGAGCCCAGGAGTTCAAGACCAGCCTGGGCAACATAGTGAGACCTCATCTCTGCAAAACATAAAAAAAATAGCTGGACATGATGGTGTACACCTGTGGTCCCAGCTACTTAGGAGGCTGAGGTGGGAGGATTGCCTGAGCCTGGAAGGTGGAGGCTGCAGTGAGCTGTGATCATGCCACTTCATTCCAGCATGAGTGACAGAGCAAGAGCCTGTCTCAATCAATCAATAAATAAATAAAAATAAGAAAATGCGACTGGGCGTGGTGGCTCACGCCTGTAATCCCAGCACTTTGGGAGGCTGAGGGGGGTGGATCGCCTGAGGTCAGGAGTTTGAGACCAGCTTGGCCAGCATCGTGAAACCTCGTCTCTACTAAAAATACAAAAATTAGCGGGGCGGGGTGGTGCATGCCTGTAATCCCAGCTACTCGGGAAGCTGAGGCAGGAGAATTGCTTGAACCCAGGAGGCAGAGGTTGCCGTGAGCGGAGATCACGCCATTGCACTCAAGCCTGGGCAACAGAGCGAGACTCTGTCTCAAAAATAAATAAATAAATAAATAAGAAAATGCTTTCAATACACCTAGCCTACTGAACAACATAGCTTAGCCTAGCATACTTTAAACATGCTCAGAACACTTACGTTAGCCTACAGTTGGGCAGAATCATCTAATACAAAGCCTATTTTATAATAAAGTGTCAAATATCTCATGTAATTTATTGAATACTATACTAAAAGTGGAAAATAGAATGATTGTGTGGGTACTCGAGGTATAGTCCCTACCGAATGCATATCACTTTCACATCATCTTAAACTCAAAAAATTGTAAGTCAAACCATCATAAGTCTAGGACCATCTGTATTTCAGTCAGACATCATTGCTCTAGAATCCCATGCTCAAACTCTAGCTTAAGACACTAGTCTTGCTTTCCTTTTCCACCACTCATTTTCCTTTGATCCTGATGATAGAAGCCCCTGAAGTAGTGGTGGATGTAAGTGAGAACAGTTGAGAGCATCAAAGCCCTTACAGAGATTTAGCAAAAATTGCTTTTTAATTAATGGAACTAGCATGAAATTCAACCCAAGCTAATAAATCTGGTCTCTAATTTTCTGCCTCACACTTTATACTTCAGTGAAATCCTCTTAGTTTGGATTTTATTGCAATATTTGATTGAAGTTTAGGTGGCCATTTGGGGCCGGGAACTAGAGATTCTTTTTTTAAAAGGGTAAAGAAAATCAATTAGGTACAGATACTTTGCCAATAAGGGGTTACATTCCAAAGTTTACTGCTAAACCCTTCCTCCTGCAATTCACAGCATGATCTCCATGTGCCAGGAGGAGCCTGCCTAGAAAATGGTGAAGATCTACAACCATTTTTTGTTTTAGAGTCAAGAAAATATGTCCCATTGTAAATAGCTTTTCATTCTTTAAGGTTGCTTACTCAAACAACTCTTGACAGATTCAAAATTTCACAAATGTAGTAAACAGTGGCCGTGATGTTTCTAAGAATTACATTTAGACTGAAACCATTCTAACCACATTTTTGTAGAGTATCATTTGTCCCTAAAGTTTGTCTCACTGTAGCCAAAAATTCTGCCACTGGATTTAAATTGCTTAGTCTCTCCATTGTAGAACTCAGCACGCCTTGTCTGTTTTGTTGTTGTTGTTGTTGTTGTTGTTTTTAACTAGGGTGTAACCAAAATGCAGGTTTAGTTGCTCGTCACTTGCAGAGTCCAATTAACAAGGGAGAGATCTAGTATAAAGAAAATGATTTTTTATTCCAAAGCTAGTTTGGGGAAGAAGTACAGGCTTCCTGCCTTAAGGGTACCGCTTCACTTTTGGAGCAGGAAGTGAGTGCTTTTAAAAGGGAGTTTGGCAGGAATGGCATGCGAGGGAGGAAGAAAGAGGAGGGGATCCACATGACTTGCTTCAGTACTCTGTCTGCCCAGCATTCAAGCTGGCGAGCACTGTGCCTTTGTAGGCAGAACTAGGTTATAAAGGTAGCTGAAACTCTCCAGGTAGGAGAAAGTTTCCTAGTGGGCATACTTTGGGTTGTAGATTGACTGTTGTCTCTCGAGGCAACCTCCTGGTGGGTGCAAGTTCCACTCTGGAGCTTCTAAGCACATAGTTAAATGAACTTGCTCTGTAGGGAGTATCTGGTAACAGGGAGGTAAAAGGTTATAATTGCATTTCTAAAGGGCTAAGTAAGAAGTGGAAAGAGGGGGAAATAGAGAAAAGAGAAAAAAACGAGCTCATTCTCTCTGTCTCAGAAAAATGGGGGTGCTCAGTTACAAGGGTATGTTTCAAAGCAGGTCCTGTGCTTTTTTCAGTACACTACAGATGGTCTTTAAATGATAATGGTGTTTGGTCTATAACCATAATAACATTTCTTTAAATTTGTGTGAAATAAAAAAAAGTTTTGAATTCACATAAATAATGATAAACTAGTTTAATTTTGTAAACTTCTATTTAGGCAAAACATAATGCTTAAAAATGAAAAGCAGTAGACCCCATTTTTATTGCAGATATGTGTAAAAGTCTTATTTAAATTATAGTCATAGTTTAAACTATGTGCAAAATAACAGCCATTAAGTACTGGCATATAAGAGAAAAAAATTAGAGGAAAATGTGAAAGAAAAATGAGTCCAAATAGACTATTCATCTTCCAGTCCAGCTAAAATATGCCTCACTCGTGGATGCTGATTTTTTTCTTTTTTCTTTTTTTCCTTTTTCTTTTTTTGAGACAGAGTCTTGCTCTGTTTCCCAGGCTGGAGTACCGTGTCATGATCGTGGCTCACTGCATGCAGCCTCCATCTCCTGGGCTCAACCAGTCCTCCCACCTCAGCCTCCTGAGTAGCTAGGACTGCAGGTGCGCACCACCATGCCAGTTAATTTTTAAGTTTTTTGTACAATCGGAGTCCCACTATGTTGCCCAGGCTGGTCTTAAAACGCCTGGGCTCAAGCAGTCCTCCCACCTTGGCCTCCTAAAGTACTAGGATTACAGACATGAACTACCATGCCCAGCCCGTGAAGGCTTTTCTGATTGCTATTGGAATCACTCCCTCTTCTATAATCCCATAACATCTTTTTCTTCTGTTGTGGCAAGTTAAACACATGGATTTATATTAGCTATAGGTAAGCCTGCTTATCTGTTAGTTGCAATAGCTTGTAAGCCCTTTGAAGACAGAATAACTCCAATTGTAAGAGACTGTATGCAAGTTTTTACTTTGTATGCACTGGGCTCATACTTACTGGTGAAGAAATAAAGACATAAGTATGAAGTAAGTAACACAAGCATATTTCCTTAAAACACTTAGATTTTAATCTTAAAAATGTGGCGACAATTTACTTTAAGCAAATAGAGTAATTTTAATCATGCAAAGAATTTCACACATTGCTTGTATCCAAAATCAGGTATAATTCTAGTTTTTTAGAATGTTTCAAGGCCATATCAGAAAGGATAATTTTAGTACACTATAAGGCAGTGATTCTCAAAGTTTAGCGAGCATTAGAATAACTAGACAGCATGTTAAAACACAGGTCGCTGTGGCCACACCCAGAGTTTCTGATTAAGTAGAAACTAGGATGGAGCCCAGGAATTTGTATATTTAACAAGTTCTGGCTGGACGCGGTGGCTGAAGCCCGTAATCCCAGCACTTTGGGAGGCCCAGGCGGGCGGATAACCTGAGGTCGGGAGTAGGAGACCAACCTGACCAACATGGAGAAACCCCATCTCTACTGAAAATACAAAATTAGCCGGGCATGGTGGCGTATGCCTGTAATCCCATCTACTTGGGAGGCTGAGGCAGGAGAATCGCTTGAACCCGAGAGGTGGAAGTTGCAGTGAGCTGAGATCAAGCCATTGTACTCCAGCCTGGGCAACAAGAGCAAAACTCCAGCTCCAAAAAAAAAAAAAAAAAAAAAAGAAGTTTTCAGGTCATACTGATGCATATCATCCAGGGACCACATTTTGAAAACTATTACTATAGGCAGTAGGCTGAGAAGGGAAGAGAAGTAAACTGGAAAAGAGAAAGAAAGAAGTAGGGCAAAGTATGCAATGAATGGGAAAATTAAGGGTAGGAGGAACCCTTAAGGGTAGGTTGTGGAACCCTGACAGAACACCAGGGCATTAGAAAGACGTGGTCTCTCTCCATGTCATGCTTCCCTGACTAGGGTATCACTGTCCTCGTGCCTGGACATTCTGAAATAACGGTACAGGGCATGGTGTCCACATTGCAATTTAATATCCACTCACTTTTGTTTCGGGAAATTGGCCTCCTTCTGCAGCTAGTATTTTAAAACCAGTACTTTGAAGGGCTACTTTTTCCACACAGCACTGAAATCTTAGATAAAATCATAAAGAAATTTTAGATTAATGTCTCTTCTCACATGTGAAAGAAGATACTTTATAACTCAATAAGCAGAGAGTCTAATGATCTGCAACCTAATTATAAAATTCCTTTAAGTATATGTTCTGAAAGACAGACTAGGTTTTATGTAGGCATATGCTAATCCATATGTGTGGTAATTAATAGTATATACTTCTTGCACTGGTGCCTAGAATATCTAGATCAGGTCTCATAAACTACACACAAAGCTGGTAGCTTCTCTGTATCAGGAACTTGGCCTGACTCTTGCCTCCCTATCTCCCTGCCAAAGCTCAGTTATACAACTTAGAGTAAATTCTTCCCCCTTCCCAATTCTGCCTGTTTTTCCATGCCAAAAATAAGTAAATAAATATACATATATGATATACATATATGTGTGTGTATATATATATATATACACACACACACACACACACACATATAGTATTTGCAGTTTTGAGCCTTATGAGTTATATGTAGTTGCTGTACTCTCCCAGTATACCTGGCAACTTACTGAGTCTTATTTCTATTTCTTTGGACTAGAGGTATATATAAGATAAGAAATAAGTAAGTTTTTTTTAAAAAAGAAGAGGCCGGGCATGGTGGCTCACACCTGTAATCCCAGCACTTTAGGAGGCCCAGGCAGGCGGATCACCTGAGGTCAGGAGTTCCAGACCAGCCTGACCAACATGGAGAAACCCCTGTCTCTACTAAAAATACAAAATTAGCCGGGCATGGTGGCACATGCCTGTAATCTCAGCTTCTTGAGAGGCTGAGGCAGGAGAATTACTTGAACCTGGGAGGTGGAGGTTGTAGTGAGCCTAAGGGAGGAGACCACCCCTCATATTGTCTTATGCCCAATTTCTGCCTCCAAAGAAAGAAAAAGTAAAAACTAAAAGGCAGAAATGAAATCCACAAGCAGACAGCCCGGGGCCACACCCTGGACCTGGTAGTTAAAGATGGACCCCTGACCTAATTGGTTATGTTATCTATAGATTCCAGACATTGTATAGAAAAGCACTGTGAAAATCCCTATCCTGTTTTGTTACGACCTAATTACCGGTGCATGCAGCCCCCAGTCACGTACCCCCTGCTTGCTCAATCGATCACGACCCTCTCACGCACACCCCCTTAGAGTTGTGAGCCCTTAAAAGGGACAGAAATTGCTCACTCGGGGAGCTCGGCTTTTGAGACAGGAGTCTTGCCGATGCCCCCAGCCGAATAAACCCCTTCCTTCTTTAACTCGGAGTCTGAGGAGTTTTGTCTGTGGCTCGTCCTACTACAAGCCAAGATGGTGCCATTGCACTCCAGCCTGGGCAACAAGAGCAAAACTCTATCTCAAAAAAAAAAAAGAAGAAGAAGAAGAAGAAAGGAGAGGCTATTTCAAATCTTGATGGAAAATCAGCTAGAGAATGTGAGGGAAAAGAGATTAAAATATTCTAACAATAGTGGTATAAAGAAATGTCTAGGAATTACGAACTGAAGAATGACCTAATTCTGGGATCCTGGTAATTTACCTCCATACATTTACTTCTGCTCTTTTCCTAAAAGTTGGATAGTAGAGGATTAAAAAATAAAAAAAGCCAGATGCAGTGGCTCACACCTGTAATCCCAGCACTTTGGGAGGCCAAGGCGAGCGGATCACAAAGTCAGGAGATCAAGACCATCCTGGCTAACACGGTGAAACCGCGTCTCTACTAAAAAAAAATAGAAAAAATTAGCCGGGCGTGGTGGCAGGCGCCTGTAGTCCCAGCTACTCAGGAGGCTGAGGCAGGAGAATGGCGTGAACTCAGGAGGCAGAGCTTGCAGCGAGCCGAGATCACGCCACTGCACTCCAGCCTGGGTGACAGAGTGAGACTCCGTCTCAAAAAAAAAAAGACGTAAATCCACAAGGAAAAGAAAATAGATTAAGAGATATTAGCTACAACATTTTAGAAGACAGAAGGCAAAGGGGCCAGGCGTAGTGGCTCATAAATGTAATCTCAGCACTTTGGAAGGCCAAGATGTGTGGATCATATGAGCCCAGGAATTGAGACCAGTCTGTGCAACATGGCAAAACCTTGTCTCTGCAAAAAAATAAATAAAATACAAAAATACAAAAATTAGCCAGGCATGGTGGCGTGCACCTGTAGTTCCAGCTACTCAGGAAGCTGAGGTGGGAGGATGGCTTCAGCCTGGGAGGTTCAAGGCTGCAGTGAGCCATGATTGTGCCACTGCACTCCAGCCTGGATCATAAAGTGAGACCCTGTCTCAAAAAAAAGAAATAAAAAGAAAATGGACAAGTAGACTTAGTAGACATGGGAAAGCTAAAAATAGGAGGATGGGGGGGAAAACAGAGAAGCAATCTGATTTGTACTACAGAGCTCCCCCAAAGGCTCAAAAATGGATAGGAGTAAAGGTTATAGCCATGGTGAGAGTCCAAAGGTAGTAAGTTAGTAAGAGGGAGCCGATGACAAATGTGGCGAAGATAGAAATAACAGTACTTGATTAAGCTTCAAGAGGGCAATGATCATATAACTGCTTAATTCGTGGTCCCTAGATGCGCCTATTTCAACTAAACATATTGTTGGGTGGATAGATAGAAAGAAGGTCACTTTGCAGGCATCAAGTTCATATGTGATGGAATCGTAGGGTATGATGTGATGGAAAGGTTTTTGGCTAGGCGACTGAATAAATGCTGGTCCTGTTTACCAAAATAGTGTGGAAGAGGATCATGCTTAAGGGTGAGTGTCGGAGGCCTGGGTACAGATAATTGAGTTCAGGATATATCAAGTTTGGGGTTTTTAAAGACATCAAATTGGAGGTGTCCGGTCAGATGGAGCTGAGGAGGGTGGTCTAGGCTGGCGATACAGATTCCAGTGGTGCTTTATATTACAAAAATGGTCGCGCTAACCTCAGGAAGGCACGTACCATAAGAAGAGATCTGAAGATGAAAAAAAAAAGTGAGGAATACTAATATTAAGAAGGGAAGATAGAATAATAAAAACTTGTGGCTGGGCGCAGTGGCTCATGCCTGTAATCCCAGCACTTTGGGAGGCCGAGGCGGGTGGATCACTTGAGCTCAGGAGTTCAAGACCAGCCTGGGCAACATGGTGAAACCCCATCTCTGGTAAAAATATAAAAATTAGCTGGGCCTGGTGGTGTGTGCCTGTAATCCCAGCTACTAGGGAGGCTGAGGCAGGAGAATTGCTTGAACTCGGGAGGCGGAGGTTGCAGGGAGCCAAGACCGTGTCACTGCACTTCAGCCTGGGTGACAGAGGGAGATTCTGTCTCAAAACAAAAACAAAAACAAAAAAACTTGTAATGGGACCTGAGACAAAAGAAGGTCACAGAGGCCAAGGAAGGAAATCAGTTCAAGAATAAAGTGACTTTATAAAAGATAAATTATATAAATAAATATATGATCTGCAATTAGGAAGAAAATGAAGTATTGACACCAAAGTGTTACATTGATATTCAAAGATGGCAGGATTTATCACAAGATATTTTGCTTTCTTTTCACTTACATGTATTTCCTAGATCTTTCATATTGAAATGGAAGTTTGTGAGTTTTTTTTAAATGAAAATAAAAAAAAGAACACATGTGTAATCTTAAATGGTACAGAGGTTAAATTAAATGTCTAAGTATAATCCATTTGGTTGATAAGGGTGGGGGTTACAGAAGGCCCAAGCCAAACAAGAGGCTGTTGATCTTCTGACTAGTATCCAATTTTATGTTGTCATTAAGAAACAAGTTCAGGGTCAGGCATGGTAATTTGCTCCTGTACTCTTAGCACTTGGGAGGCTGAGGCAAGAGGATCACTTGAGGCCAGAATTTCAAGACCAGCCTAAACAACGTAGTGAGACCCCATCCCTACAAAAAATTTAAAAATTAGCCAGATGTGTGTAATCTCAGCTACTCAGGAGGCTGAGCAGGAGGATCACTTGAGCCCAGTAGTTCAAGGTTGCAGTGAGCCATGACTGCACCACTGCACTCCAGCCTGGGCAACAGAGCAAGACCCTGTCTCAAAAAAAAGAAAAAAAAGGAAAAGAAAGAAAAAGATGTAAGTTCAGGACTTGCACATTGTTTCTTAGTATTTCCAAGGCCGCTTTCATGTTACTATCCTGACCACCTGTAACACTTCACATTTCACCGAGTGTGAAAAAAATGTATTGAAGCACAGGGAAATATGTGAAATATAGATATAAATATATTTCATTCATTGTGTGCAACTGGATTTTGAATTTCAAAAACATTTTCATTAATAATGCTCAGCAGGAACAATTACATTCTTAAAATTTAAAATTTTTCTGCCAGTGTTTGATTTTGACCATTGACAATAACATTTCAGGATATTTTTCTTGAAACTGAGAGCTAGCTAAGCTTTTCTCTGATCTTCTATTATCATCTTTTTATGATATAAGTCATAAAGAAAATTATCCCTAGTTATTTGTGATAGTTGATTATATAAGTATTTGATTAGTTTATCTTTGCTAGTATTATAAAGGCAACATTATGATAGCTCATAGATTTAAAATGCTAAAAATTACTATTTGGTTTTTTTGTTTGTCTGTTTTTGGAGACAGAATCTCACTCTGTCACTTGGGCTGGAGTACAGTGGTGCAATCTTGGCTCACTGCAACCTCCGCCTCCCAGGTTCAAGCGATTCTCCTGTCTCAGCTTCCAGAGTAGCTGGGGTTACAGGTGCACACCACCACACCTGGCTAATTTTTGTATTTTTAGTAGACATGGGGTTTCACCATATTGGTCAGGCTGGTCTCGAACTCTTGGACCTTAGGTGATCCACCCACCTTGGCCTCCCAAAGTGCTGGGATTACAGGAATGAGCCACCGTGCCCAGCCTATTTGGTTTCTTATGACATTTTTTATATATATGAAGCTTTTTCTAATGTACAGAATGGTTTTTTATACATTTTATTTATTTGGTCAACCTACTAACCTTTCTAAATATGACAGATTTATAATTCAGTTTCCTTTTTTCTCACAGGAACCTTAAGTCTGGTCTTTAATTTTTTTTCTGAAAGAAAAGCAAAAAAAATTACAGTAGCAACTTTGAAACTATGTAAACTGTACAAATTATTAATGTTATCTCTTCATGGGTAAGTCCATCTTTTCCTTGTTTTAAAGTTAGAGGAAGCAGTTTATCAGCTAGAATTTCTTTTTTTTTTTTTTTTTTTGAGACGGACTCTTGCTCTGTTACCAGACTGGAGTACAGTGGCGCGATCTCGGCTTACTGCAGTCTCCACTTCCCGGGTTCAAGCAATTCTCCTGCCTCAGCCTCCCAAGTATCTGGGACTACAGGCACGTGCCACCACGCCCAGCTAATTTTTGTATTTTTAGTAGAGATAGGGTTTCACCATGGTGGCCAGGACCGTCTCAATCTCTTGACCTCATGATCTGCCCGCCTCGGCCTCCCAAAGTGCTGGGATTACAGGCGTGAGCCACTGCACCCGGCCTTCTTTTTCAAGTACTCTCTTTCCTTGGCTTCCATAATGAAACATTTCTAGCATATCCTTCTGTCTCTCTGGCCATTTCATCTCCATCTTCACAAGTTCATCCTTCTCCACTTGTCTTTTAATTTTTGAAGCCTTATATTCTTTTTCTTTTTAATAGACTTTATTTTTTAAAACAGTTTTTAGTTCACAGCAACAGTGAGCAAAAGTTACAGAGATTTTCTGTATACCACCTGCCCCCCGCACATCTATAGCCCCCCCCACTATAAACACCCTGTAACATAGTGGTATATTTGTTACAGTTGGTGAACCTACATTAACACATCATTGTGACCCAAAGTGCGCATTTTACATTAGGGTTCATTCTTGGTGTTGTACAGATTTATATTTTGCCAATATTTTCTCTTAATCTGTGGCTTATTTTTTCATTCTCTTGATGGTATCTTTCACAGAACAGAAAATTTTGATTTTTGTGAAGCCTCACTTATCAGTTATTTCTTTCATGGATCATGCTTTTGATAGTGTGTCCAAAAAGTTATTGCCAAGCCCAAGGTTGTCTGTATTTTCCCCTGTGTAACCTTCTAGGAGTTTTATAGTTTTGCATTTACACTAAGGTATCTGGTCCGTTTTGACATATTTTTTGTGAAGTGTGTAAAGTCTCTGTCCAGGTTCTGCTTTTGCATTTGGATGTCCAGTTGGGCCAGCATCATTTGTTGAAAAGACTATTTTGCTTCCATCCTACTGCCTTTGCTCCTTTGTCAAAGATCAGTTTACTGTATCTATGCAGATCTGTTTCTTGGCTCTCAGAGATTCTTTCCTCAGCCATGACCGGTCTACCACTAAGCCCATCAAAGGCATTCTTTATTTCTGTTAACTGTGTTTTTGATCTCTAGCATTACTTTTTGGTTCTTTCTAGGAATTTCCATCTTTCTACTTATATTGTCCGTCTATTCTTGTGTGCTGTCTACTTTATCCAGTGGAGCCCCTAGCATATTAATCACAGCTGTTTTAAATTCCTGGTCTGATAATTTCAACATACCTCCATATCTAAGTCTGTTTCTGATACTTGCTGTCTCTTCAGTCTATGTTTTTGGCCTTTTAGTATGCCTCATAATTTTATCTTGATAGCCAAATGTGATATACTATGTAAAAGGAACTGCTATAAGGCCTGGTGTGGTGGCTCATAATGCCTGTAATCGCAGCACTTTGGGAGTCCAGAGCAGGTGGATGGCTTGAGCCCAGGAATTAGAAACCTGCCTGGGCAACATAGTGAGACCCTGTCTCTACTTAAACAACAGCAACAACAACAACCAAAAGGAGCTGCTGTAAGTAGGCCTTTACTAATGTATTGTGGTAAAGTGTCAGGGAAGAGAAGCGTTCTGTAGTTCTGTGATTTGGTCTTAGTTTTCTGGTGAGCCCATACCTCTGGACTGTCACTCCTACATTTTATTCATGTGGACATTTTGGTTTTTTCCACATCTCAGCTATTTTATTTTATTTTATTTTATTTTATTTTATTTTATTTTTTTAATCTCAGCTATTTTAAACAACTCTGTTAAAAAACATCATTGCCATGCAATTCTAGTACACTTGTATATAAGTGTTAGAATATATACCTAGGAATGGAATTGCTAGGTCATAGGATATGCATATGTTCAACTTTATTAAATGAGGTCAAATGTTTTTTTCTAAGTAATTATACTAGTCTCATTCCCACAAGAAACTCCATTATTGTTTCACATCCTTATCAACACTTGTCAGCCTTTTTAATTTTTCCCAATCTGGTGGCTGTGTAATGCTATCTCTTTGTGATTATAATTTGCATTTACTACTGAAGTTGAGCAATTTTTCATGTCTCTTGGACATTCTAGTTTTCTCATTTTGTTTGTTTGTTTGAGACAGAGTCTCGCCCTGTCGCCCAGGCTGGAGTGCAGTGGCGCGATCTCAGCCCACTGCAATCTCCACTCAAATGGTCCTCCCACCTCAACCTCCTGAATAGCTGAGACTACAGGCACATGCCACCACACCGAGGTAATTTTTGTATTTTTCATAGAAACAGGGTTTCACCATGTTGCCCAGGCTGGTCTTGAACTCCTGGGCTCAAGCCATCAACCCCTGTCAGCCTCCCAAAATGGGGTTACGGGTGTGAACCACCACACCCAGCACGGTTTTCTCTTTTTTGAAGTACCTGTTTACATTTTTACCCAACTTTTTCTGAGTTACCTCTTTTGTTCTTAATGTTTTATAGTAATTCTTTATATAGTCTGGATAACAGTTATATGTTTTACAAATGTCTTCTTGTATGCAATATGCAGTGACTTGTCATTTGACTCTTCATGATGCCATTTTATAAATTTTTAAATTGACAGTGGGGATACATGCTGAGAAATGTGTAGCTTGACAATTTTGTTGTTGTCTACTTAGGCAAACTAATTTTTTAAAATAAGTAGGAGTGTACTGTAGATGGTACCAGGAATGTCCAATCTTTTGGCTTCCCTGGGCCACATTGGAAGAAGAATTGTGGTGGGCCACAGATAAAATACACTAAAAATAGCCAATGAGCTAAAAATTAGAATTTTTTTCTTTTGAGACGGAGTCTTGCTATGTTTGCCCAGGCTGGAGTGCAGTGGAGTGATCTCGGCTCACTGCAACCTCCGCATCCCAGGTTCAAGCTATTCTGCCTCAGCCTCCCAAGTAGCTGAGACTACAGGCACCTGCCACTACACCCAGCTAATTTTTGTATTTTTAGTAGAGATGGGGTTTCACCATGTTGGCCAGGCTGGTCTTGAACTCCTGACCTTGTGATTCGCCTGCCTTAGCCTTCCAAAGTGCTGGAATTACAGGCGTGAGCCACCGCACCCAGCTAAAAAATAACAAAAAAAATTTATAGAGTGCAGTGGAGTGATCTCGGCTCACTGCAACCTCCGCATCCCAGGTTCAAGCTATTCTGCCTCAGCCTCCCGAGTAGCTGAGATTACAGGCACCCGCCACTATGCCCAGCTAATTTTTGTATTTTTAGTAGAGATGGGGTTTCACCATGTTGGCCAGGCTGGTCTTGAACTCCTAACCTTGTGATTTGCCTGCCTTAGCCTCCCAAAGTGCTGGGATTACAGGCGTGAGCCACCGCACCCAGCTAAAAAATAACAAAAAAAATTTATAGTGTTTTTAAAAAGTTTATGAATTGTGTTGGGCACATTGAAAGCTGTCCTGGGCTGCATGTGGCCTGTGGGCCGCGTGTTGGACAAGCTTGGTTAGCGTATTCCACGCCTAGGTTATATGGTATAGCCTATCGCTCCAAGGTTACAAATCTGTACAGCACATTACTATACTGAATACTGTAGGCAGTTGTAACACAATGGTAAGTATTTGTATATCTAAACATATCTACACATAGAAATGGTAAAGCAAAAATACAGTATAAAAGATTAAGAATGGTACACCTGTATAGGACAATTACCGTGAATGGAGCTTGCAGGACTGAAAGTTGTTCTGGGTGAGTCAGTGAGTGGTGAGTGAATGTGAAGGTCTAGGACATCACTGTATGCTACTGTAGACTTTATAAACACTTTACATTTAGACTACACTGAATTTATTTTTTTAATTTCTTCAAAAATACATTAAACTTAGCTTGCTATAACTTTTTTGCTTTACAAAATTTTTAATTTTTTAAACTATTTGACTCTTTTGTAATAACACTTAGCTTAAAAGCCACGGTATTGTATAGCCATACAAAAATATTTTCTTTCATTATATCTTTATAAGTGTTTTCAATTTTTTTTTTTTTTTGAGACAGAGTCTCGCTCTGTCACCTAGGCTGGAGTGCACTGGCATGATCTTGGCTCACTGAAACTTCTGCCTCCTTGAAACTTCCACCTCCCAGGTTCAAGTAATTCTCCGCCTCAGCCTCCTGAGTAGCTGGGATTACAGGCACCCACCACCACACCCGACTAATTTTTTGTATTTTTAGTAGAGACGGGGTTTCACCAATCTTGGCCAGGCTGGTCTTGAACTCCTGACCTCATGATCCACCTGACTCGGCCTCCCAAAGTTCTGGGATTACAGGCATGAGCCACCGTGCCCAGTCGTGTTTTTTTTGTTTTTTTTGTTTTTTTGAGATGGAGTCTTGCTGTGTCACCAGGCTGGAGTGCAGTGGGGCGATCTCAGCTCACTGCAACCTCTTCCTCCCAGGTTCAAGCAATTCCCCTGCCTCAGCCTCCTGAGTAGCTGGGACTACAGGCGTGCACCACCATGCCCAGCTAATTTTTTTTTTTTTTTTTTTGTATTTTAGTAGAGACAAGTTTTCACCATGTTGGCCAAATGGTCTCAATCTCCTGACCTCATGATCCACCTGCTTTGGCCTCCCATGGTGCTGGGATTACAGGTGTGAGCCACCGTACCCAGCCCCAGCTGTGTTTTCTATTTTTAATAGAAAAGTAGAAAAAAGTAAAAAAAAGTTGTTTTTTTTTTACTTTTTAAACTTGTTCATTAAAAATGAAGACACAAATCCACACATTAGCCTAGACCTACACAGGGTCAGGATCATCCATATCACTGTCTTCCACCACCACATCTTGTCTCACTGGAAGTTCTTCAGGGGCAGTAACACACATGGAGCTGTCATCTCCTGTGATAACAGTGCCTTCTAGAATACCTACTGAAGGACTTGCCTTGGGCTATTTTACCATTAGCTATTTTTTTTAATAAGTAGAAGTGTACTCTAAAATAATGATTAAAAGTATAGTGTAGTAAATACATAAGCCAGTAACATACTCATTTATTATCATTCAGTATTATGTACTGTACAAATTGTATGTGCTATATTTTTATGAGACTGGCAGCACAGTAGGTTTGTTTACACCAACATCAGCCCAAATGTCTGAGTAATGTGTTACACTGTGCTCTCTTGGATGTTACAATGGCTAAAATGTCACTAGGCAATAAGAATTTTTCAGCTCCATTATAGTCATATGTGACCACCATCATATATGCAGTCCATCATTGACCAAAACATCATTATAAGGCCACGTGACTATAGTTGAATTTATTAGTCTTTTTCTCGGTGACTGTGCTTTTTTGTATCATAAGAAATGTTCCCCTAACCTGAAGTCATGAACACATTTTTTTATGTTACCATCTAACCTTCACCCACGTGGAACTGATTTTGCATGTAGTTTGAAGTAAGAGTCCAATTTTATTTTATTTTTCCATATTTCTGCCCAACAGCCTCAGCATCATATATTAAAATATATATCATTTCTTCTTTGATCTGCCATGCCAGGAATGGCATGTCAGGAATGGCAATATTTTTTGATGGGAAGTCCTAGGCCTAGATACTATTCCAATAGTTATTGAAGACTCTGAGCTATAGAAGGTTAGGTTTCAGTAGGTTAACTTCTGAAAATAAACCCACAGACTACAGATGTTTACAACTTAACTTCTCACTAAGATTTGAGTGTTTTTACCACAAAGTCGTCAGGGTATCTTTTTTTTTTTTTTTTTTGAGACAGAGTCTCGCTCTGTCACCCAGGCTGGAGTGCAGTGGCGCAATCTCGGCTCACCGCAAGCTCCACCTCCCGGGTTCATGCCATTCTCCTGCCTCAGCCTCCCGAGTAGCTGGGACTACAGGTGCCCGCCACCACGCCCGGCTAATTTTTGTATTTTTAGTAGAGGTGGGGTTTCACTGTGTTAGCCAGGATGGTCTCGATCTCCTGACCTCATGATCCACCCGCCTCGGCCTCCCAAAGTGCTGGGATTACAGGCGTAAGCCACCGCGCCCAGCCGCCTCAGGGTATCTTATATTGTAAGTCAGGTTTTTTTTACCTTCCTTCTAAGGTCAAAAGGAAAAAAAAAAGAGAGAAAGTATGGGGGTAAATACAAAACCAACAGAATAGAAAACAAAAACCTTCCAAAATAAGTGGTTAGGCTAAAGTGAGTTCCTTAGAATAAAACTGCACATTTGAGAAGTGATTTCATAAAAAGGAATCACTATACTAATACTTTATTTTCTCTTTTAGCTGTATTTGTAAAATAGCTTTCTTTTCATTTTTAGAGTAATCTTTCTTTTGTTTAGTAATATTCACTGAACATCTATTATGTATAACACAATCATTGCCCTCAAAAGGCCTTATGACTAATTAGGGAGGATATGCAGTATACATAATTTTAATACAAAGTAAAGAATAGGCTGGGTATGATGGCTCACATCTGTAATCCCAGCACTTTGGGAGGCTGAGGTGAGAGGATCGCTTGAGCTCAGGAGTTCAAGACCAGCCTGAGCAACGTGGCGGAACCTCATCTTTACAAAAAAAAAAAAAAAAATTAGCCATGCGCAGTGGCACATGCCTGTAGTCCCAGCTGCTTGGGAGGATCGCTTGAACTCGGGAGGTCAAGGCTACAGTGAGCCAAAATCACACCACCGCACTTCAGCCTGGGGGACAGAGTGAGACCCTGCCCTTTCTAAAACAACAACAACAGCAACAACAAGATTATGAACAGATGGCATTTGGGCCAAAAATTTAAATAAAGATAAGACTTTTTTTTTTTGAGACGGAGTCTCGCTCTGTCGCCTAGGCTGGAGTGCAGTAGCGTGATCTCGGCTCACTGCAAGCTCCGCCTCCCGGGTTCACGCCATTCTCCTGCCTCAGCCTCCTGAGTAGCTGGGACTACAGGCGCCCGCCACCACGCCTGGCTAATTTTTTTTGCATTTTTAGTAGAGACGGGGTTTCACCGTGTTAGCCAGGATGGTCTCGATCTCCTGACCTCGTGATCTACCCGCCTCGGCCTCCCAAAGTGCTGGGATTACAGGCGTGAGCCACCGCACCAAGCCCCCCATCTGCCTTCTCTATTCACAATTTCCAGTACTCCTGTTAGGTATATTTTAGAAGCTTTAACTTCATCCTCTATATTTTGTAATGTTTTTAAATTCCTAAATATAGAGATAAAATGAACACATAAGAAAAAAATTTTCTTCAAGCCCTTCCATTGCATTTTAATTGTAACAATTATGTTTTTAATTGCTTTTTCATAGATGTATAGTTTCAAACTCTCTTGAGGATATTATTTATAATTCACTAGAAGGTTTCTTTTTCATGAATTATGTTTCCACAGACTCCATTTTTATATTCAGTTCAGTATCTTACTTGAGAGGCAAGAGAACGTTGAGGTTTCAAGCACAAATACTGGAGTAAGACTATCCAGGTTCAAATTCTGGCTCTGCCATTTGTGGCTATATAATCGCAAGCAAATAATTTAACCTCTGAGAGGCTCAGTTTCATTATCAACAAAAAGGACATAATTACAGTACCTATCTAATCGAGATGTTGTGAAGATTAAATGAAATAATATCTGTAAATTCATACTTCAAATATGTGTGATACTTAGTAAACACTTAATAAGTGCTAACTAATTATTACCATATGCCAGGTGCAGTGTTCTAGTTTCCAGGCATATAAAGTTAAAAGTGACTTGGTCCATTCACTCAAATAACTTAAAATAAAGCTTGATATTATTTGTCAAGCCTAGCATTCACCTTCTATTGCAATGGGAGTCATTGTGCATATAAATAACAGTGGTATTCAAAACTGTGGTACATCCTTTATGGTTTTGTAGGTTTATTTAATGTTAAAATATAACTTGAAGCTGAAACTGTAATAAAAAAATCCTTTTGCCTATTTTTTGCTTAACATTGTACTTGGAAAGAAGGGAGAAATATGGGGGCATGCATATGAAAATACCAAGGAGAAAGCATGTAAATGACAAACCAAAGCATGGATGGGCTTCCTCAACCGTATTAGATATGGTAGGAGTAAGTATGATGTGGAATAGAAGGTGATAAATAAAATAGGTTGACTAAAGCAGCAGCTTGTGGCAGGGGCCCATATGGTCGGGTGGGTAGAGAGGTGGATCCGTACCGAGAAGGGCTAATAAGCCTGGCAGAAGAGTTTGGTCATTATTCTATAATGGTCAGAAAATAGCTGAATTTTTGAATAGGAGAGTAATGTGATACAGAGAGGAATTTGTGTTTTTAATTTTTGTCCTTATGTAGAAGATGCAAATGTTTTCAGTGTTTTGGGCAATTCAAAAAAACTTTTTTCTGAGCTGTGTCTAATCTAAACTCTAAAGGAAAGTCAGTTCTGTAACACATTGTTCCTTTCAATCTAGTTTTTTCTTTAATGTTTAAATATAACATTTTTTAGAGATTCCAGAGTTTTATCAAACTGGAATGTTGGCAACAACAGTTCAAAGGTATCTAGGTTAAAAGTACGAAGTAATTGAGGATAATGGGAAATTAAGATTGCAGGGCTCACTCTTCAATTGTAGCAGGAAAATTAAAGGTAAATTACAAAGCAAAGTTCAGAATAAAACATGTATCAGTATTCAAGACCTTGCAAGTTTATAAAATGTCTGGTATGTTTATTACTACAATGCTATTATTTGGCCAAAGCACAGGGGACTTCAGATTGTGTATTTATGGACTGATTCCCCAACAGATAACCACACAATTCTGGAATGCGGTTGCTGTGTCAATAGTTGTAGACTTATTGTTGTAAATTTTTTCCCTCTTTCAACCTAATTAACTTAGAATGTCTCTAACGTGATTTGCAAAGAATTTTTTATTTATATTTTGCAATCAGCATTTGAGCAGCACACAGGTTTGAGACATGCACTACAATGAGTAAACATTTTGTAAGATAATAAATAGTGCCCACTAGTCTAAATGTTTTATGATTGCCTGTTCCCTGCTAATTGGTCATGGATTGAAATTCCCCATTGTTTAATTTTTTTAATTTGTGGAAAATTATTATAAATGAGTGTGTAGGGCTTCATATCACAGCTGTTGTCATTTAAAGTTTGGACAGTGTCATTACAAATGAAGCCCTGCTGTGAAATCAAAGTCAAAAGGCATCTTGGCATCCCAACCATTTCCTTGGGAGAAGATTACAGCTCAAGTCTGTTGAACTTTATTGCCTTGGGCCTCATGACAGTCTTCAGAAACATGCAAGGCATTTCTGTTAAAGAAATTCAGATGTGCTAGGACACAGATGACATTCTTGTGCATAGCAGTGTCCTAAGGGGGTGAGGAATAAGTCAGGAAGAAAAAGATGATTCATACTTTTTGCTGCATTCTGGGATTATTATATATAATCCATAGAGAGGATGGAGACCTTGCAGAGATACCACATAGGAAAAAGGTGCGGTGTTTTCCTACATGGCCTGACTGTATTTTAAAATAAAAACCTAAACACGACTCCAAGGTAATGACTGCCTTCAAAGTAATATTTTAGTTGATTTTAATATTCTCTTTGAAGGAAGTTCTCATTGACTCATATTTCTTTTCTCCCTCTCCTTTCTCACACACATTCATTTCCAGAGGTTTGACTGAGGGAGAGCTGCTACTGAGTTTTAACAGTCACTCTTTTTATATGTAAAACTCATGTTCTTGAATTTAAAACAAAAGATTACTTGTTCTGACTTAAAAATCTATCTAACCAGTAACTGGGCTCCAACAAAGGTCCCCACAGAGACATCATAAAAGAACATCATTGTCCTCTAATTTAAGGATGTATCTTATTCAGCCATGAATTTATCTCATCCCTTTAAAATGTGTTCTTATTTGTCATCCCTATTTCCTCCTGGGATAAAGAGATTCCTGAGTTCATTAGCTACAGCATGCCTGGCACATAGTAGATACTCAATAAATATTTGTTGAGTAAATGAAAATCGTTATTCAAAGGAAAATCCTGATTACGCTCAATGTTAATTCTGGAAATCCAAGACCTAGTAAGATCATTTGTTCTACTGTTCTTTCAGCTTTGTATGACATTCAAAAAGGCATATCACTCATTCAACAACTTGCCATAAATATTGATAACTGCTTCTTAATAAAAATGCCATTAAATTGCTTATAATCTAGTGAAGAGACATACAAGTAAATAGATAATCACAATAGAGTGTGATATGCTAAGCATTTCCTAGCCTCAGTGATAATAACATTTATTGAGTACTTTCTATGTACCAGGTACAATTTTAAGTATTTTACATGCATTAATGATTTCTAACTTAATTGCATTGTGAGCTGACAACTCTGTCTATATGATTCAAAACATTTTGAAATTTACTGATAGTTTTTTGTTTTGTTTTGTTCTTGAGACAGGGTCTTGCTTTGTCACCCAGGCTGGAAGGCCACGTGATACAATCATGGCTCACTGTAGCCTCCACCTGCTCGGCTCAAGTGATTCTCCCATCTCTGCTTCCCAAGTATCTGGGAGTACAGGCACATGACACCACACCCAACTAATTTTTAATAATTTGTAGAGATGAGCTCTTACTATCACTCAGGCTGGTCTTGAACTCCTGAGCTCAAGCAATCCTCTCACCTCGGCCTCCCAAAGTTCTGTGATTATAGGTGTGAGCCACCATACCCAGCCCTGATACTTATTTTATGGACCAGTATGAGGTCAATTTTTTTAAATCCATGTGAACAGTTCTGGGTACAGTGTTAGAAAGTGCAGTGTCCATTAGAGCAAGCAAGTTTTTGTATACAGTGTTCTATACATATCTATTAGCTCTAACGTTTACAGTATTTCTTTTAATCTTCAATATGATGACTGATTTTTCTACCTGCTTGAACTATCAGTTACTGAGAGAGGTATATTAAAATATTTTAGCATGATTGTAAATTTATCTGTTTTTCCTTTTACATCTGTCAGTTTTTGCTTTGTATACTTTGAGGCTAAGTTATTAGGTTTATATACATTTAAATTGTTATAGCTTTCTGGTAGATTGAGCTATTTATTATTATGTAGTGCTTCATTTTATCCCTAGTAATGCATTTTGCCTTAAAGAGTATTTTATATTCTGATTATTAATATAGCTACCCCAACTTCTTTTGGTATTTGCCTGGTACATATTTTTTCATCCTTTAAATTTCGTGTATCCTTAAGTTTTATATATATATATGTTGTTTATAAGCAACAAATATTTAGATTCTGTTTTTAGATTCAGTGTCAATCTTTGTTTTTTTAACCAGAACATTTGGTCCATTTGTGTTATTGTATTTGTATTTGTTACAAGTAGTTAGACAGGCATGAGCGGGGCAGGAGAAAGCTGTCCCCCACCCTCTAGGAATGTCAGGTGATAGTTGGGCAGTTATCACTTTGCCTCTCTAAAAGTGATAAATTGGCAGCTGGCACCAGGGAGAGTCCATTTCCTGATTGTCCACACCTGGTACACTAAAGTGTTAATTGAATGCAGGCACCAGGGAGAAGCAACTTCCTGGGCATGAGCATTAAGAGACAAAATGGCAGAGTATGACCTCCCAGGGGCACACCACCCAAAAAGGGAAGAAAGCCACAGATGGGCGTGCATACAACTTCCTAAACACACTGCGCATGCTCACCTCCCAAGTGTAAGGAGGGCACTGCACTTATGAGTAGCCCAGCCTAAGGGAAGAATCATGGGAAAGGGGCCAGCGTATAAATAAAGTCCTAGGATCAAGGTTAAAATGGCACTTGACCTTCACGTGCCCGCTTGGGTCTCTTCCAAGCATTATTTCATTTCTTTCCCGTTCTAAAGCTTTTTAAAATAAACTTCCACTCCTGCTCTGAAACTTGCCTCGGTCTCTTTTTATGCCTTATGCCCCTCAGTCCAATTCTTTCTTCTGAGGAGGCAAGAATTGAGCTTGCTGCAGACGCATATGGATTCACCATCAGTAATACCTTGGATACCTTGACTGGTAACATATTTGGTGCTGTGAGACTCAGATATTTGCCACCACTAACACATTTATTCCTACCATCTTATTTTTTTTCTTTTTCTGATTGTTTCCCTTTTCTTTTTCTTTTTTTTTGAGACGGAATCTTGCTCTGTCGCCCAGGCTGGTGTGCAGTGGCACGATCTTGGCTCACTGCAAGCTCTGCCTCCCGGGTTCACGCCCTTCTCCTGCCTCAGCCTCCCTAGTAGCTGGGACTACAGATGCCTGCCACCACACCTGGCTAATTTTTTGTATTTTTTAGTAGAGACGGGGTTTCACTGTGTTAGCCAGGATGGTCTTGATCTCCTGACCTCGTGATCCGCCTGCCTCAGCCTCCCAAAGTGCTGGGATTACAGGCGTGAGTCACCGCGCACGGCCAATTGTTTCCCTTTTCTGAGTTTCTTTTTCCACTTCTTTTTTGTTTTCCCTTGGGTTCAGGTTTGTTGTTTTTTTTTTTTATTTTCCTATTATTCCATTTTTTCCTCCACTAGTTTGGAAGTTGCAACCCACTCTATTTCTGTTTCTTTCATGATAATACAGAAATTCTTAAAGGCTTACTTAATTTATCAAAATCTATCAAAATCTAACTCCAATCCACTCCCTTAGAAAGTCTATGCTACCATGGTTGTATAGTTTAGTTGTATCTTAACTTTCTTTGCTATCAAAAGACAGTATTGTCATTGTTTTATACAGTCAATGTGTGTTTAGATTTACCTACATATTTATCTCTTTTTTGGCTCAGTTATCTTCTTACATCTCAGACTTTCTATCTGGTGTCATAGATGGCTTTAGAGATCCCAGGATTATTGTCATTCTTGTTAATTGAAAAATCAAATCTGTAAAATATTTTAAAGAGGCTTATTCTGAGCCACTAGGAGTGACCACAGCCCGGTAGTTGGGTTGCAGTTTAATTTTATATATTCTAGGGAGACAGAAATTGTAGGTAAAATCATAAATCAATACATGGAAGGTGTACCTTGGTTCGTCCTAAAGAGGTGGGATATCTTGTGGGGTGGTGGCTTACAGGTCATAGGTGGATTCAAAGATTTTCTGATTGGCTACTGATTGAAAGAGTTAAGCTTTGTATAAATACTTGATGTCAGTAGAGTAGAAAGAAATGCTTGAGTCAAGATAAGGGAGTTGTGGAGGTCAAAGCCCTTATTATGTAGATGAAGCCTCATAGGTAGTAGCCCTCAGAGAGAATAGATGGTACATGTCTCTTTTTAGACCATAAAAGTGTCAGACTCCCAGCTAATCTCTCCCACAGCTGAGAAAGTCCTAGAAAGGGAAGGCCTGGCTGCATTAATGGAGATTCTTTACAGATGCAGATTTCTCCCACAACAGATGACTTTGCAGGGCCATTTCACAATATGTCAAAGAAAAATATTTTGATTTCCTTCAGGGTCTTCTATCTATCATGTGATGCTGTATCAGAATCAGGTTGGAAAGGAAGCTGCTTTATGCTGGGATAATTTTAAAAACCTGTTTTCATGCCTATGATCCCAGCACTTTGGGAGGCCAAATGTGGGAGGATCACTTGAGTTCAGGAGTTTGATTCCATCCTGGCCAGTAAGGTGAAACCCCATCTCTACAAAAAATACAAAAATTACCTGGGCGTGGTAGCACATGCCTGTATTCCCAGCTATTCAGGAGGCTGAGGTGGGAGGATCACCTGAGCCCAGGAGGTCGCAGCTGCAGTGAGCGCACACTGCACCACAGCACTCCAGCCTCCAGAGTGAGACCCTGTCTCAAAATATAAAAATTTAAAAAAAACCCATTTAATGAGATTTTATGGTTTATAGGGTATGACTTAACCCCTGCCTTGCATGGCCTTAGGTCGTGTTTATAATCTGGTATCTTATTGCCACAAAGAGTCTGTTTTGTCAGATCTGTAATTTTACCTAAACACCAAAAGGGAGAGGGCGTAATGGGGCGTGTCTGACCTCCCTTCCTGTTATGGCCAGGAATTCAGTTTTTCAGGTTTCGCTGGGATCCCTTTGGCCAGGGGTCTATTCATTTGGTTGTAGGGCTCAGGATTTCATTTTTGGTTTATATTCTTCTAATGGACTTCCTCCCTTTAGCAAGTGCTAGTCTTTTTGTCCTATCCCTTGAGTCTCTTGAGTTCACAACTAATACTAAAATTTGCTCACCACCAGTTCCTAAGTTAAAATTTAGCTTCAGTGCTCTGTTTATCTTTCCAAGTTTCTACTTATATTTTGGTCTGCATATTCCTTGCTTTCTTGCCAATTTATTGCATTGTATTAAAGATTTTAAAATATTTTATCTATCATTTAAAATTATTTTTAGAAAAATTGCCTTTCAGATTATGAAAACAACCATAAGTCAAGAAATAAAAATCCATAAGTAAATTTTAAAATGATCTTTTGGGCTGGGTGTCATGGCTTATGCCTGTAATCCCAGCATTTTGAGAGGTGGAGGCAGAAGGAAGCAGGAGTCCAAGACCAGCTTGGACAACATAGTGAAACCCTGCCTCTACAAAAAAAAAATTAAAAATTAGCTGGGTGCGGTGATGCGTGCCTGTAGTCCCAACTACTTGGAAGGCTGAGGCAGGAGGATCGCTTGAGCCCAGGAGTTCAGGGCTGCAGTAAACTATGATTGTGCCACTGCACAGCCTAGGCAACAGAGCAGGATCCTGTCTAAGAACATTTAAAAAAAATTTTTTTAAATGATCTTTTTGTTATAAATAAAGTTTCAGTGCCGCAAAAGAAATAGCACTCAAATATAAAATTGTCTTTTTCTCAGCAAGGCAAGTTACTTCTATAGAAGGGTGCACCCTTACAGATGGAGCAATGGTGAGCTCACACTTGGACAAGGGAAGGGAAGGGGTTCTTATCCCTGACGCACGTGGCCCCTGCTGCTGCGTCCTTCCCCTATTGGCTAGGGTTAGACCGCACAGGCTAAACTAATTCCGATTGGCTAATTTAAAGAGAGTGACAGGGTGAGTGGTTTGGTGGGAAAAATGGTTATGCAGGGTGGAGAATGAGTCAGGGCGGAGCAGGTATCACATAATTGGAATGAGTCAGGGCGGAGCTGGTAACTGGAATGAGTCAGGGTGGAGCAGTAATCGAAAAAGGTTGCTTTATGAGGAAGTTAAGTTTAAAAGTAGAAGGCAAAGAATTGAACATACTGACATATTGATTCTTTAAAATGAAATTTAGAACTCGTATCTAACATTTTGGTTGGAATTCTTTCATAGGATTTTTGATGATCTTAAATCATCATTTTCCAAAATATATTCTACAACTGCTTTCTTTTAAAATACTCAGTGAAACTGGGTTTACAAATGCTGTATACCGAATTCCCTTCATGGAGTCACAGTTTAAAATCCTGCCAAATCCTGTTTTTTTTTTTTAAAAAAAAAAAAAAAGAAGAAAAGGAAAACCTTGTTTAATTTTGTTTACCCAGCATTTCCCCAATTCCCCCCAAGTAACAGCTATCAGTACTCTACAGAGCTAGTATTAGCAGAATAGTTTAAAGAGCTCTCCCCACTCATCCTCCCCTCACCATAAAAATAGGAAGTCCTGAGTCTTCCTTGCAGAACCAAGCTGCTTTTTCCTCATATGTTATATCTGATGATATCATCAGGGATCTTGCTGTTTAATATAAATTCTAGATATTTGCTTTTTATGATGTTTTCAGGGTCTAACCATGCCTTAGAAATGGGGACCATATTGACTACCAGACGTATCTCAGAGTCCTCAGTCTACTAGTGATCTTTCTTTTTCCTCTCTCTCCTCCATTGGAGTTTCCCTTTTAGTGTACTTGGGACCCTTCTAATTCTCAAGAATCAAAGGATTGGATAAAATCTCACCGTTCATCTAGTTGAGCCCTGTTGAGATTCATTAAACAATAAATTTAGATGTAATAACTCTTCAAGTGGCTTTTTTTTTTTTTTGACAGTGTCTCTCTGTGTCACCCAGGCTGGGGTGTCACGGCATGATCATAGTTTGCTGCAGCCTCAAACTCCCAAGCTCAAGCGATCCTCCCATCTCAGCCTCCCAAGTAGCTGGGACTACATGCATGCACCATCATACCTGGCCAGTTTTTTTTTTTTTTTTAATTTTTTGTAGAAGCAGAGTCACCCTATATTGCCCAGGCTGATCTTAAACTCCTGGGCTCAAGCAGTCCTCCTGCCTTGGCTTCCCAAAGTGCTCAGATTATAAGTATGAACCACCACACCCAGCCCAAGTGACTATTTTATTGCTCTCCTTTCCAACCTTGAAGATTTATAGTCAGGGCCTTTTGTTTTATTCTACTCACCTGTTCTCTAATAATTTCAGAAATCACCAGTGACCTCTTATATTCATCAGTTTCTCATGTTTTTGTTGTTGTTTTTTTTTTAATCTTTATTTTACTAAACTTCCTCTAAAGCATGTAACACTGTTGGTCATTTCCTCTTAACATCTGTGATACCATTCTCACCAGTTCTCCTTCCCCATCTTGATTTTCCTCTCTGCCTTTATATAAATACATATCTTTCCCAAGTTTCTGTCCTTAGCCCCTTTTTCTCATTGTTCTCCTTATGTTTATTCCTTTATTTATTCACTTATTCATTTCTCCAATAAATGTTTATTCAATAGGATGAATTAGTTAAAATATTATTTTTAGCATAATATAGGAAGCTTGAGCCTATCTTTTACTTTTTTATTTTTAACTGGGTCACAGAATGTGAGCCATATGAGAATGACTTTTTACTGCTGAGATTTATCTTATAATCCTTTTTTTAAAAGACAGGTCTCACTCCGTTGCCCAGGCTGGAGTGCAATGGCACCATCTGAGTTCACTGCAACCTGTGCCTCCCAGGTTCAAGCGATTCTCCTGCCTCAGCCTCCTGAGTAGCTGGGACTACATGCACAGGCCACTGTGCCCAGCTAGTTTTTGTATTTTTTGTAAAGACAGGGTTTCACCATGTTGCCCAGGCTGGTCTTGAACTCCTGAGCTCAGGTGATCCACCCGCCTCTGCCTCCTAAAGTGCTGGGATTACAGGTGTGAACCACCGTGCCCAGCCTTATAATCCATTATTGTTTCAGTAGTCATTGCAATAGAACATGCAGTAAATTCTAAACTGTTTTTCAGAATTGACAATACATGAAATTCAATTGAAAACTCTTTTAGCTGATCCTAGTACCAAAAGCACTCAGGCTAGAAAGACTAGCTTTAGACTAGATGGCCACTTCTAGGCTAAGCTCTTGAAAGAAAGTTTCTTCCTTTTTCCTCAGGGCAGTACTACGCCCTCCCCATCCGCAGCAGTAGTTTGAAATAGGCAAAGATTATCTTTGCCTATTTCCCTTCTGACTCTTCCTCACTTCTGACTTTCCCTTCTGACTCTTCCTCCTGTTTTCTGGAGTGCTTCTCCCGGGCACTAGTGCACTTAGGCAGCTCTAAGCCTTCTGCTGCTCTCCTGGTCAGGTTAGTTCTCACCACCCTCACACTCTAAAATTAGTGCTGGAAGTTCAGACAATCCATATGTTCTACCTCAAAAATTAAAGGAAAGCAAGTACAAAAGGCAGTGTCTAGAGGAAAAAACACCACACTGATAGGTAGATAAATCCAGACTCCAGTTGTGGCTCTGTGGCTGACACCTATGCCTCTTTTCTCTAGTCTGGAAAGTGGAGGAATTGCACTGGAATAATTGATGTCTAAGGTCCCAGCTCTATGAGTTTAAAATCATTTCATGCAAACTTATAACGGATGGATGAGGAGTTTTGATGGAGATAGCTACATTGTCTAAGGTCAGGGCTTTAATCACTATTCTTCACCCACTAGGAAAATCAATTGCAGCTTTTGCAGCCATTGTGGGCACTATTCTGGATTCTGGCCACATTGGACCCCACTGCTAGACAGAGGAAGGACTGGTTAATATAACTGTATGAAAATATCTATCCGCCGGGCATGGTGGTTCATGCCTGTGATCCCAGCACTTTGGGAGGCTGAGACAGGCGGATCACTTGAGGTCAGGAGTTAAACCCCGTCTCTACTAAAAATATAAAAATTAGCCGAGTGTGGTGGCATGTGCCTATAATCCCAGCTACTCGGGAGGCTGAAGCATGAGAATCGCTTTAACCTGGGAGACTGAGGTTACCGTGAGCTGAGATCACACCACTGCACTCCAACCCTGGGTGACAGAGCAAGACTCTGTCTCAAAAAAAAAAATTATCTAACATAATGTCCATGTGGTAGCATGTGTCAGAATTTCTTTTTAAGGCTGAATATTCTATGCATCTATGTGTGTGTGCTTGTATACCGCATTGTGTTTATTCACTTATCTGTCAACAGACACCTGGGTCACTTTCACCTTTTGCCTATTGTGAATAATGCTTCTGTGAACATGAGTATACAAAAACCTGTTTGAGTTCTTGTTTTCCATTATTTTGGGTATATGCCCAGAAGAAGAATAACTGTAATATACAGTAATTCTATATTTATTTTTTGCATGTGTGGAATCGCTATACTGTTTTCCACAGTCACTGTGCCATTTTACCTTCCCACTGAGATTTCCTGACCTTTCTATTCATCAGCATTTCACTCAATGGGTTTTAGAATCAGTGATATATCTTGTCTGATCAATAGAAAGATCCTCCCCGCCCCACCCCCCTTTTTTTTTTTTTGAGACGGAGTCTCATTCTGTTGTCCAGGCTGGAGTGCAGTGGTGGGATCTTGGCTCACTGCAACCTCCACCTCCCGGGTTCAAGCGATTCTCCTGCTTCAGCCTCCCAAGTAGCTGGGATTACAGGCGCCCGCCACCATGCCTGGCTTTTTGTATTTTTAGTAGAGACAGGGTTTCACCATGTTGGCCAGGCTGGTCTCGAACTCCTGACCTCAGGTGATCTGCCCGCCTCAGCCTCCCAAAGTGCTGGGATTACAGGCATGAGCCACCGCGCCCAGCCTGAAAGATAACCCTTTTTATATAACAATAAGAAAGAAAAAAATATCTCCAGTCAATTATAAGATGATCCCCATCTCAGAAATGTTAAAATGTGCAAAAAAATGTATCTTAGACTCAATGGAATACAGTTGCTGAATATACTAAAACTTCCTCCAAAAAAAAATTTGTGTAAGTTACACAACTTTTAACAATCTTTGTAGAGCAGGAAAGTAAAGGTGGCTACTCAGCAATAATGTATGAAAATACCTTTCTCAAATATACTTTTACCTTATTTATAAAAGAATGTGCTTCACACACAGTTTTTTCCCCCAAAACTTACCTAGCTATGTCTTAATGGCAATTTGGAATAAGAGTACAAACCCCTCCGTCAGGTCCTCTGCAAAATAAAAAGGTAAAAACCCCATAGGACAGTAAACAGTGTATCCCAGATGTTAGTTCGCATGTATTTGTGATTTCTGGTAAATATCCTAATGCTCTTTTGTCTTTGTTTTGCTTAAAGGATTGTTCAAGTTTAGAAGAATACAACATTGCCGCAGCATTACTCCCTTTGACCAGTGCTTTCTATAGGGTAAGTTTCATTGGTCCATATATAAGCTTGTTATGATTTACATAAATGTATTCAGTTTGATTTATTATGGAACTACATGAAAATCCTGTCCTCTTAGTAGCATGCCTAAGATATATCTGCGGTTATATTTATTATAACATTTATTGCATGCTATGTGTAGGAAATTTAATATAGAACACTAAATCATCTCCTAAAATACCACCCACACCCGTTACATCCTTTTCCTTAATTTTCTTTATAGTACTTCATAACACCTGAATTTATGTTGCATATTGGTTTGTTTACATGTTTTTTCCCCATCACAGAAAGTAAATTTCATGAGGCTGGAATATTGTCTGTCCTCTTTACTGCTATGTCCCAGGGCCACTCAGTAAATATTTATTGAATGAATGACATTGAAGCCAGAAATTAGAGTTTAACTTTACTGGTAATTTCTGCGAACCTTCTGAGAACTTTCTGGAATGTTCACAGTGATTTTTTAAAATTCTGTCACTTACTACAGTTATATCTATGCTTTTTCATAAATAGATTCATTCTTATGGCAGAAAAAACCAGCAAATTTCTTTTCCCGTGAAGGACTTGTAAAGAATTAGATAACCACCCACACTCAGAACAATGCATTTAATACATCCTTCTGAAATATGCAATCATAAACAGTAAATCTGTGGTAGCAGCTGACTTACTATTCAGCTACATGCACAGTCAGCTTCAGGAAGCAATAAGTTAACAAGTTTGGTAACTGCCATACTGTTTCTCTGTGTTAGCAGATTAATCATACATAGGTTTTAGTGGTGGGCTTAGATTTGATTTTTTGTGGTTGGCATGGTTTGTTGTTGGATGAGTTTGTTTTGGGTTATTTTGGTTTAGGGATGAATCAGTCAAGGTCTAGTCAGGAGCCAGAAACCACACCAGTAATTTGAACAGAGAAATTTTGTTTTATTTTTATTTATTTATTTATTGAGACAGAGTTTTAGCTCTTGTTGCCCAGGCTAGAGTGCAATGGCTCAATCTCGGCTCATTGCAACCTCCTCCTCCCATGTTCAAGTGATTCTCCTGCCTCAGTTGCCCAAGTGGCTGGGGTTATAGGCATGTACCACCACACTTGGCTGAGTTTTTGTATTTTTAGTAGAAATGGGGTTTCACCATGTTGGTCAGGCTGGTCTCAAACTCCTGACCTCAGGTGATCCACCTGCCTCGGCCTCCCAAAGTGCTGGGATTACAGGCATGAGCTACTGCGCCTGGCCTATTTTTATTTTTTTGAGGCAGTGTTTCACTCTGTTGCCCAGGCTGTAGTGCAGTGGCACAATCTTAGCTCCCTACAGCCTCTGCCTCCTGGGCTCAAGTGATCCTCCCATCTCAGCCTCCCAAGTAGCTGGAACTACAGGCACACACCACCACACCCAGCTAATTTTTTTTTTCTTTTTTTGTGACAGGGTCTCGCTCTGTCGCCCAGGCTAGAGTGTAGTGGCGCGATTTCAGCTCGCTGCAACCTCCACCTCCCAGGTTCAAGTGATTCTCCTGCCTCAGCCTCCCGAGTAGGTGGGACTACAGGCACGTGCCACCACACCCAGCTAATTTTTGTGTTTTTAGTAGAGACAGGGTTTCACCGTGTTGGCCAGAATGGTCTTGATCTCCTGACCTTGTGATCCGCCTGCCTTGGCCTCCCAAAGTGCTGGGATTACAGGTGTGAACCACCATGTCCAGCAGATTTTTTGTATTTTTTTGTAGAGACAGAGTTTCACCATGTTGCCCAGGCTGGTCTAAAATTCCTAGACTCAAGCTGTCTGCCCACCTTGGCCTCCCAAAGTGCTGCAATTACAGGGGTGAGCCACCACGCCTGGCTGATTTTTGTATTTTTTTGTAGAGACAGAGTTTCATCATGTTGCCCAGGCTGGTCTCAAATTCCTAGACTCAAGCTGTCTGCCCACTTTGGCCTCACAAAGTGCTGCGATTACAGTGGTGAGCCACCACGCCTGACCAGAAATTTTAATATAAGGAGTTATTAAGTAGTAATAGGGGATTAACTACTAAGAGGTAAAGAGAATTCGTAAGAATGCAGGAATAAAATATAGGGAGCAACTACTACCTCTAGGGCTCAGGCATACTACCTAACAAAGAAGCAAACTTGGAAGAGAGCCCCTTCCCAGATCTAGGCTGATTCAGATCATGTTGGAGAGGTGTTGTGGCCACTGGATGGCATCGAATTTCAAGAGACCAGAACTGGCAAGCAGTAAACTGCCTGCTGGAGTGCTGGCAAGACTTGCTAGGAAGCCCCCCACTAGGATGGCCGTGAAACTTCTAGGGTGCTAGTGAAACTTGATAGGAAGCTACCACCTGGGGTACCACTGAAACTTTATAGATAGCACTGCCACTGTGGTCCCACACACCACCATTAGGTGCTTACCACAGGAGCAAGAAGGAGAAAGTACACCAGAACTAGGAAGAGAATACACTTTCTACTGCAGTGTTCCTTCAGCACCTTTACTGGCAAAGCTTAATATTCTGCATTTTGGCAAAGGAGAAATGTTTATAAGGGCCAGTTCCAGTATCACAAAGCAAGACAGAGAAGGATAGATTTGGAAGAAAGAAGTACTGCATTGATAACAGAGGGGTTAGGTAAGGTAGATCACACGGATTCTCGGATATTTTCTAAATCTTTACCCTTTGGAAAATTATTTCTAGTGCATATTAGATTTGTTAATTCAGGAAGTAGATGTAAATTACATATTCCTGGGCACAAATTGCAAATTAGCCATCCTCATACTGTCCAGCCAGTATAAATTCCTGGGTCTTGCCAGCATTGCTTCAGAGAATGGACTCAGCTGCTTGTCTTGTTTAAACTTACTTTTAAAATACTTTAAATAACATTATTAATTTTTTTCAGTGGAACAAAAGTTTATTGAGTATCTCAATATAAAAAGCTACTATAACAGGCAACATCTGGGCAGCAACATTAATAAAACATTGACATGGTCCCTAGGAACTTATATTAATAGTCTAATACTGCAGATAATTTTTAAAAATCAAACTGGTCCACAATGCCACCAACCAGATGGACATTATCTTAAGTAAAAGTTATGTATATACCGGGTACGGTGGCTCATGCCTGTAATCCCAAAACTTTGGGAGGCCGAGGCGGGCGGATCACCTGAGGTTGGGAGTTGAAGACCAGCCTGACCAACATGGAGAATCCCCATCTCTACTAAAAATACGAAATTAGCCGGGCGTGGTGGCGTATGCCTGTAATCCCAGCTACTTGAGAGGCTGTGGCAGGAGAATTGCTTGAACCTTGGAGGCGGAGGTTGCCATGAACCGAGAGCGCACCATTGTACTCCAGCCTGGGCAACAAGAGCAAAACTCCGTCTAAAAAAAAAAAATTATATATATATATATATTTTCCAGATAGTACAGAAAGGAACAAAATGCAAAGTAAAAGTTCCCTTTTCCACCTTCACCCCATTTCCTCTGAACCATTGGTTTCCTTCCTGGGGAAAAGGAGTGGGAATGAGGGTCAGGGGCCAGGGAAGAGTCACGCATTACTGCCAGCACATGCAGATAAAAATTTTCTTTTTTTTGGTGGTGGATCACTTGAGGCCAGGAGTTCGAGACCAGCCTGGCCAACATGGTGAAACCCCATCTCTACTAAAAATACAAAAATCAGCCAGCCATGGTGGAGTGTGCCTATAGTCCCAGCTACTCAGGAGGCTGGGGAAGGAGAATCACTTGAACTCAGGAGGCAGAGGCTGCAGTGAGCCGAGATCACGCCACTGCACTCCAGCCTGGGTGACAGAGCAAGACTATGTCTCAAAATAAAAATAAAAATAATTTTTTTTAAAAGTATCGTTTTTAACAAAAACAAACCATTTACTCTATTTTCACACCTTGATTCTTTCACTTAGTGGTACATCTTGGTCATCCTCTCATAATAGCACATATACCTAATTATTTTTAATTAATCCATTTATATTTGTAATGAAAAGATGGTATATATGTACCTACTATTCTCATATGAGCAGGATATTTCATTAGCCCAGATGAAAGGTTATGTTTATCTTTTAGAGTTTTATTTAGTGTCAGAGTGTTCAAGGTTTCCCACTTGTAACATCGCCTGTCTTAGATCCTTTGGAATTTGTCATGCGACAGCCACCACAAATTATTTTTTCCCCTGGATTGTAAGCCTACAGTTCCTTCTTACTTCTTTCCACTTTTACTAAGTAACATGTAATTCATTAACTCTTACGGAAGCCTTCTTTGAAGGTGGTACCTTAACAGCCAGGTTTAAATTCTTAGGATTACTTTTACTGTGAAAAATAATGTAATCTTTTATACTTATGTTTGTTGTTTATATGGTACTTTCATTTTCGATTTCAATTTATTAGCTATGCCAAGCCCTGTGCTTATATCTGTTTCAGAGTAATCACAGATTAGTAACACATAATCCCTTACCCTCACGACACATACTAATGGCCTTTCATATCCATTGATCAGCTGTTGACAGTAGAGGAATCGTTTCAAAGTTGATGAATAATAACATTGGGCTACTCATTGATTTACTTATGCCCTTTGCATTTAAAGATTATGTTTATTAAATTCAGAGCCAGAGTGTATACTGAGAATATGTAAAGCAGGGGTTCATGTCTAAAGGTTACTTTTTTAGAAGGAAAATAATAAAGTAAAACCCAGTAGAGCAGAAATAGAACCACAGTAGCATACTTTTGTATTATTCCTTCCCAACAATAGCAGTGAGCAACAGTGAAAGTCATGGCCCCTTCACCACAAGCCACCATTTAACTTTTTTTTTTTTTTGAGATGGAGTTTTGCTCTTTTCGCCCAGGCTGGAGTGCAGTGGTGCAATCTCAGCTCACTGCAACCTCTACCTCCTGGGTTCAAGCGATTCTCCCACCTCAGCCTCCCGAGTAGCCGGGATTACAGGTGCCCACCACCACGCCCGGCTAATTTTTGCATTTTTACCGTAGAGATGGGGATTCACCACGTTGGCCAGGCTGGTCTTGAACTCCTGACCTCAGGTGATCCACCTGTCTCGACCTCCCAAAGTGCTGGGATTACAGGTGTGAGCCACCACACCCGGCTGCCACCTTTAACTTAATGCCTTCTCTCCAGTGACCCATGCACCTCAGGGTCACCCTGTTGTGGTTCTTAATAACCAGGGTATTCCAAAGGGTTTCCTGGAATCTGTCAAAATATGGCAAAGCCGTCCCATTACTTCTTTGAGGCACATCTGTTGGTTATTGATACTCAAAATGACTCCCAGGAGAGCTAACACTTTCTCCTTTGGTACCCTTATAGCCTGTGTTTACCCTGGGAGGAAAAATAAATACCCTATTCACCTTAAGTGCAATCATCCTGAAGTGAAGCCTTTCCAGATTCTAAAGATCCTCCACATGTAGTTGGCATTTGAGGAAGTTTTATTGATTGAGTTAGGTCTTACTTCAGAATAAGAGCGTTATTCAGACACTCATTCTCAGGAGAAACATATTTTTTCTTCAAAATTCTCCATTCAACATTTAAAAATTTATTTTCTAGTATCTAGCCATTCAAAAGATTTGTTTGAAGAAGATTATTGAAGTATAATTTATATATCATAAAATTCACCCATCTTAAGTGTGTGTATTAGTAATTTTAGTGTTTTACAGAGTGGTAAAACCATCACCACAGTCTAATTTTAGAACATTTCTCAAAAACAAAAATAAGTAAGTAAATAAATAAATAAATAAATAGGCCAGGAGTGATGGTTCATGCCTGTAATCCCAGCACTTCGGGAGGCCGAGGCAGTTGGATCACCTGAGGTCAGGAGTTCAAGTCCAGCCTGGCCAACATAGCGAAACCTCCATCTCTACTAAAAATACAAAAATTAGCTGGGCATGGTGGCACACTTCTGTAGTCCCAGTTACTTGGGAGGCCGAGACAGAAGAATCTGTTGAACCTGGGAGGTGGAGGTTGCAGTTAGCCGAGATTACGCCATTGCACTCCAGCCTGGGTGACAAAGTGAGACTCCGTCTCAAAAATAAAAAATAGAAATAAATAAATAAATAGGTAGAACATTTCTGTCACCCCAAAAAGAAACCTTATGCCCATTCTCAGTTGCTCCCCATCCCCAGGCAACCACTAATCTGCTTTCTGTCTCTATAAATATGTCTTCTCTAGACATTTTATTTAAAGGGAATCATACAATATATGTTCTTTTGTGTGTTGCTTTTCTCACTGAGCATAAAGGTTTTGAGGCTCACCCATGTTGTTAGAAGATTTCGTTAAGACTGCTAATTATTAAGAATTTTCCACACCTGGAGTGCTTAGGTAACCTGTATTATTTCAAAATGTGTCTAATTCAGTATATAATATACAATTAAACTAATTCTCTTATAAATATATTAGGAAAAAATGTGAGATGTACAACATGACTCCTCAGTTTAAAGAAATATAAATTTACATTTCTACCTGATTTTATAGTTATTTAATTTCTTTATTGCTGAATTTTAACTTTGGCTTATACATTCTACGTAAAGACCCACAGGTTTATCTGGCTGTAAATAAAATTTTTAGACCTAGTTATTATTTCCATTTCAAAATATGAAAGCCCATGGCAAGTAAATTCAGGGTAGGGTAATAGGAAAGTCTACCTGGAAAAAGTAATCTGTGTCATTTGTATGAATCTAACTTACCTAATCAGAGAAGCAGTTAGAAAAGTCACTTGTGTCATTTGTGTAAATCTAACTGACCTAATCAGTTGGTGACATTAAAGTGCAGAGAGTCACAGCATTTCCTGAGCTAGCTAAGTGGTGACCTTCCTGCCACCATCAGACTCTAGGTATTCCCCCAGCCGATACTCCCTAACATGAGTAAAGTAAAATCTGTGTTTTTCATGTCAAAGCCTGGTGTTTCTCATGTAAGTTCATTTACCTAACAGAACACAGTAAAGAATGGGAGTCCAGAGGCAGGTGATAGGAATAATAAAGAGAGCTAATATTTACTGAACTTTTACTATATACAAGATGCTACGTTTGACTTGCAGTACCTAATCTAACCCAGTGAAATTTTATTCCATTTTAAGGTGAAGGAAATGTGGCTTGGAAAGAATCTATACTACCTAGCTAGTAAATGTCAGAACAGGACTCACTCAATTCTGTCTGATTTCAAACCTCAAGTTCTTTAACTATAATAGAGTTCTTCAAATGAGTTCCAATTTATGAAGCATACCTCTAGAAACTTTTTTTTTAATCTTTTTGCTTAGAGATACTGAGTTGACATCACTCCTGCCCTCTAATTTCTTCAGGCATTTTCACACATATAACCAGCAAGGATACTTCATTAAGTTTTGGCTTAGAGGGGGCAAAGTCAAGTTGTTATGGTTTACCCTTTAATCGTTACATAGTATTATTTATAAGTTTCAAATATTCATATATTTCTCTTTTTTTTTTTTGAGACTGGTTTTTAGCTCTGTTGCCCAAGCTGGAGTACAGTGATGCCATCTCAGCTCACTGCAACCTCCACCTCCTGGGCTTAAGCAATCCTCCCACCTCAGCCTCCTCAGTAGCAGGACTGCAAGCATGCACCACCACACACAGCTAATTTAAAAAAATTTTTTTCTTTTGTAGAGATGACATCTCACTGTATTGCCCAGGCTGGTCTCAAACTCCTGGGCTCAAGTGATCCTCCCCCTTGGCTTCCCCAAGTGTTGGAGTTATAGGTATGAACCACCATGCCTGGCCATTTTCACGTATTTCTAATAGGGAACATAGTTTTCAAAATTACACTAAATACACTTTTGTATTTCACTAATAATTCAGAAGTTCCTTGAATACTGGCTTTGCCTTAGTAATTAATATGGATCCTGATTGTCCTTCTATAGATACGAGAGTTTGTAGGTAATTCTGATGGAATACAAATATGCCGACTTTCATAGTATTGAGATTGTGGCTAGAAGAAAAATCTTATAGAAATATAAAAAATAGATATTTCCTAAGTCATCACTTTTAATTGGTAAATGATAAGAGGTCTCAAAAATTTACAAAATAGGAAAAGGATTTTGTTTTTTTTCAGACTTCGTGATCTGGATACATCGCATTTCCTACAATAGGTCTCAAGGGATTATATTTTTGACCACAAAAAAAAAAGATAGGGGAGGGAGTGGGTGATGAAGGGTTTTTTTTCATCGTTTTTTTCTGCTGTAAACCAAATATTAATCTTAAAAATAAATTAGTCAGCAGAAAAATGTTTGAGAGTGAAGACAAGCATCAGTGCTGGCTGAATCCACATTTGGCCTGGAAAAGATGTGAATGTGTTTATTACAGCACATCTTTCCAGCACAGCAGAATTTTAGAATGGTCAGAGAATTAGTGTCTTGCTTTTATTTCCTCCCTTCATTTTCTTCTTGTTCTTTAAGACAGTTTAGCATTCCTCCTCCTCCTCTTCCCTTTCAGCACAACCTCTCCTGGCTTCTCCCACTTTTCCTTTCTAGTTTTGAAAAACTGTTCCTCTATCCTACTGCTCCTGAAAAACTTCTGCTTCTGAGAAACTATGAATTATTATAATTAGTTTAGAACTAATGTTCTTTATTAAGATTAGTTTATATATACTATTTAAACTAGTGATAGAAGGAAACTGGGGCAATTTACTCAGAAGCTCTAGAACACTTATTGTGTTCTTCAGTGAATAATTAACAGTATTTTTAATCTTATTAAATTTATTTTTATAATAATTACTAATTTTTAATTTTATGAAATATTTTTCTGAACTTATCAACTTTTTTTGAATGATAATTAACTTTTTTCATGTGATGGACAATTTTTTTTTATATGATGAAAAAAAGGTTTGGACCCTTTTGTTCATTCTTCAGAAAAATGAGGCAGCCTACTAAGACTATTTCTTTGTCTACTCCAAAAGAAATATAGTACAGTTCAGTTCAGTAGACATTGATGTCCTATGCTACCACGTCCTGAGTATTAGGACTACAAAAGCCAACAAGTCAAAATCTCCAACCTTAAATACACACGCTTACAGAGAAGATAGATTAGTCAAACAAATTATAGCATGTGTATTCTAAAACAGATACAATCTAAGTACTGTAAGAATACATTAGTTCCTGGTGACCCAAGGAGGAACAGCCCCCAAAAATTGTGACATGTGTGCCCATGAATGATAAATGAGCATTTATCTTGCAGGTGGGAATGAGATAAAGAGTGGGTGAAGTATGAGATGACATAAATATTATAGGCAAAAAAAAAACACATGAATCACTTACTGGGAATTGTGACTGGAAATGGAGGCAGAAGGAACACGATGGTGCTACTGCACTCCAGAGCGAGACTTCGTCTCAAAAAAAAAGAGGCAGAAATCCACTTTTTAAAGATTTCCTAATTATTAATAATAAAACTAAAACCAAAGAACTACAGGCTACCCGTAGCTTGGACTTCTATGTGGATCTGTCCAGAAAACAAGGAAAATTGCAGAATTTTAACTTGAAAGATAAGTCCAGCTACAAATATAAATACAAGAGGCTTCTACAGAGAGATGATTACAGAACTCTGTTGGAAGAAGAGAAAAAAAAGAATAGAGGTCAGAAACATGGAAAAAAAATCTATGGAATAACAAAATGAAGAAAAGCTAAAGAATGAGACAGCACAGGAGAATCATGTGAAGATCAGGTGAAGTTGCAGAATTTCTACTTTGGAATAGAAGTTAAAAGAAAGTTGCTAATTTGAGCAGTCTTTAGTAGGTTATGTAGTGCCATTAAAAATCAATTGATCATTTATTTTGCAAGAAAACAGTGAGAAAGGAAACATAATTATGACTGAGCCAGCCTCTAATTTATTCTACAGTAGCATGGAATTTGATTATTTCTGTTGGCCCCTCCAAGTACATTTTCTTTTTAGAAGATTGTAACACCTCCCACAAACAGGTAAAGGGACCATGTGTTTGACAAAAGGAACAATGCCCTCTCTTCTAATTCTGAGACAGTAGGAGGTGAAGGCCAAGATCGTACTGAAGGGAGAACGCATCCCATCTCCTAGAAAGTCATGCCAGAAGATTGGGGGGCAACGCTACGGAGGTTGTCCTGTGTGAGTCTGTTTCAATTCTGTTTCTGCCTTGGAAACAATCATCCTGGACCCTATTGCAGGAGGATTCCAGGACCATCAAATAATTCCTGACATACACATTTAAAAATAAAATTTTTACAACAGAATAACTTAATAAAAACGTAAAAATTTTTATTGAAATTTTTCATCTTCCAGAAAAAAAATAGATTTCTTCCAAAAGTATACCTCTTCTTACTTTGCTATCACCATGTATAGAATATAATATAAAGTGTCCCCACTAAACCAAAAAAGGAACTAGCAAGCTTTAATGTCTACTGTGATTTTTCTCAGAACCAGTAAGATTATTGCTGTTTCTACCCACTGTCTTATGTCTTGTAAAACTTGAAGAAGAAAAGATCGTGAAGTATACAGACCTAGACTTGAAAGAGTTTTGTTCGTGGGCAACGTGAGGGTTGGAAGAAAGTATTAGACAATATAGATTTAAGTTTTTAATAATATTTTTAAATTTTCAAATAATACAATGAAGAGTTCGTCATGAGCCACTGAAGAGTATTGACATCATGTTCAATAATGGGAAGTAATTACACTGGGTTTTTTTTGGGGGGGTGGGGTTTTTTTTTTTTTTTTTTTTTTTTTGGAGGAAAAGTTTCACCCTATCCCCCAGGCCAGAGTGCAGTGGTGCAATCTGAGCTCACTGCAGCCTCCGCCTCCCGGGTTCAAGTGATTCTCCTGCCTCAGCTTCCTGAGTAGCTGGGATTATAGGCGCCTACCACCACGCTCAGCTAATTTTTGTATTTTTAGTAGAGACAGGGTTTTACCATGTTGGCCAGGCTAGTCTCGAACTCCTGACCTCAAGTGATCCGTCCGCCTCAGTCTCCCAAAGTGCTGAGATTACAGGCGTGAGCCACCATGCCAGGCCATAATTACACTATTTGAATGTCTAGGTCCCAGAAAGCTTTCTTTGGTTTATGGATTTACTGCCTTAGATTGTTTCCATGAAATGTTGAGAATGTGTTTACATGATTGAATATTTAAGTTATTTTGTTAGGTTTTCCTTTCCCAGAATATTACTTGGAACAATTGGAGAAGAGTGACTAATTTAGCCCAGAAAACACATGGGAGAGTCTAAGCAGAAAGTCAGAAATGGTACAAACTACAGTGCCTCCCATAAGACTTGAGCAGATAGGGACTCTTCTGAGCCAAGGTTCTAGTCAGCATGAGTATTTTGTGCACCCACAGCTCTGTGGCAAATGCTTGACTTCTCTTCCGTTGTGCTCCAAGAAAAGTGAAATTTGCAACCTTAGGATAAGGAGAAAGTACGCCACCAAAACTGTAGGAGGAAAATGCAGTTAGAGTCAGCTTCCAATGGAGAAAAGCAGGGGGAAGGCTAATGCAGTATAGTAGGAATTCCTAATGCCAACCTGCTTTCCTTTTGTTTCTTTTACATATATTGAACTTATATGTAAGATTTCATTTTTAAAAGCTAAAACCACATTTTTTTTAAAAGTAGGAAAACCACTCCCATCTTTAAATGATCAGACTCAAAAACTAAAGGTCCAGATTATTGGCTCCTCATTCTTCATGTTATGGTATCTAGCATAGAGCATTTCACAAAAACAGTTTCTTGAATTGAATTGATGATCCAGTATTCAATACAAGAGCCCAGGTCTCCTGATTTCAGATCTGTTATTGCTCAATATGGGCTCTAATCCTTTGACCTGGACCCATGATTCTTAACTCTGCTGCACATTAGAATCACCTGGAGTGCTTTTAAAGACAACAGATGCAAAGCCTCCATCAAAGGGTAGTTGAAAACAAAATCTCTGGGGCTGAAGCCATCAGTGTCTTAAAAATTCCAGAAGTATTCAAGAGTCTCAGAACCCTAAGAGTCTGTCATTCACTTCTGTGTAAATGCTGATGATGTCTAATACAGCTTAATGTCATACTTCACCAGTAGACACTGGTTATAAAGACAGTACTCTCCAGGCTGGCGTGGGGGAGTGCTTGGAGATTCTAGCCTCCAAAAAATAACTTAGGGCCCCTTTTTTTCAGGTCTGTAAGTTTAGGGTTCTAAAAGCTTAATGAAAAATGAGGGATACTTATTTTTAATTTATCACACCTGTTGATTCAAATCAAAAGTATTTATTCAGCTCTTTCTTGTGTTAAGAACCCTTTGGTAGTCTAAATGAGGAACCTCAACATCGAAGACCTAGCCTCTGCCTTTGAGGAACTTGTGATTTATTATCATTGAGTTTAGGAAAAATAACTCATAAAATATAATAATAATGATGCCCAGCATTGACTGAACACTTCCTAGGTACCAGATACTATGCTAAACACTTCACATACACACGTGAGGATTTAATCCTCACAATCATAACCTTGAGAGTTAGTCTGATTTCAGAACCTATTCCCTTAACCATCAGTCAATCCATAGACTAGTGAGAGGTAATAAAATGGTTGTTTTGGGGGACAGAGCTGGAGGAGGCACCTGCAGTCCTCTGCTATGTCCTGGGTATAAATTTATTTTAATCAATTTAAAATAAAAAAATACAGTGGTTGTTTTTAAGCCACTAAGTTTTGGCTGTTTTTTTTTTCCACACAGCAATAGATGGTAGAAATACTGGTACATAGTAAGTGCTATTGACATCTTAGCTAATATTGCCATTATTATGCAGATCTTTGATGCCAGGTTGTAAAATCCAGATATGTGATCAATAGGGAGCTTTTTTGTGTGTCTGTTTTTGTTTTTTTGAGACAGAGTCTCGCTCTGTCGCCCAGACTGGAGTGCAGAGGCATAATCTCGGCTCACTGCAACCTCCGCTTCCTGAGTTCAAGCAATCCTCCCACCTCAGCTTCCCTAGTAGCTGGAATTACAGGAGTGTGCCACCACATCTGGCTAATTGTTGTATTTTACCATGTTGCCCAGGCTAATAGATAGCTATTTTAGGTGCTTGGGCAAGAGAAGCAATGTGAATTAAACGATATTTTATTAAGTTTGTAGTGAAGTATGGCTTAAAAGAAATATTGATTAGTGCAAGAGAAGATAATGGGTTTTTTTTGGTGGTTTTTTTTTTTTTTTTTTTTTTTTTGACTCTGTCACCCAGGCTGGAGTGCAGTACCGCAATCTCAGCTCGCTGCAACCTCCACCCTCCTGGGTACAAGTGATTCTCCTGCCTCAGCCTCCCAAGTAGCTGGGATTACAGGCGCCTGCCACCGCGCCCAGCTAATTTTAGTATTTTTAGTAGAGACGGGGTTTCACCGTGTTAGCCAGGATGGTCTCGATCTCCTGACTTTGTGATCCGCCCGCCTTGGCCTCCCAAAGTGCTGGGATTACAGACATGAGCCACCATGCCCGGCCGAGAAGTTATGTTTAAGCACTGTATCAGAAGTTTCACAAAAACAGAACTGTATGGAAGTGCAAATCAGTGGTTCAACACTAAATTACATATTACAGATATCTGCTGAAGTTAGACAATTGTATACCTTCTGTGATTTAGGATATTGTGTCACCATTAACAATTATTCTTCCTCATGGTAACAATAAAAATTTTACTGGCTTCATCCTAATCTTGTGAATTTTGTAGGAAATTTTCTAAAAACAACAAAAGTACAAATGCAGAGTTTTCAAGGTTAAAAAATTATGAAGAGGTTTGTTTTCACTCAAGCAAGCCCTAGGATACATTTTCTGAAATGTTGTCTGGTGACTGCTTGCATTTTTGCTGTCTTTCAAGTTAAGGTGACATTTGTATTGGTCTGGAATTGTTGTCTCTTTACTAAGTAACTGTTTTCCGAATTGCATGTTTAACAACTTGACTCATTATGTTGTGTAAAGATCTGTGGTGTTACAAGGAGAGCTGTGGAAAAACAACACATTTGTGCTTTATTTTTCTTTTTTTAAACACAAGGTCTCACTCTATCACCTAGGCTGAAGTGCAGTGGCAAAATCATGGCTCACTGCAGCCTCAAACTCCTGGTCTCAAGGGATCCTGCTACCTCAGCCTCTTTAGTAGCTGGGACCACAGGTGTGCACCACCACGCCCAGCCTATTTCTTCTTCTTATTTTTTTTAGAGATGGGGTTTTGCTATGTTGCCCAGGCTTTTATTGTTTTCCTTACAAAATCAACTTTATTTGTTTAATTGGGGGGGGATGGGGAGTGTTGTAGAGACTCTACTTGGCCAAAGCTAAAATCTGTTCTCTTTTCCATCCAAGAAGGCTAGCTGAAGCTGACATGACTTCTGGGAAGTGCCTTGCAGCTGAACTCTGGGCATGCTCCATGCCAAAGTGTTATCATGAGAAATCAGTCCACCAGGAGTGAGATTTGAATCCTCTAGAAGGATTAAGGCGGGGGAAAAGTATCTGGACAGTTTCCCCTTATTTGGAATTAATAAACTAAATTTTTATAGCTTAACTCTCTCTGTAGTTATGAGAGATGAGATGCGTGTAACAATTAACAGTTACTCGTTCTTCCTAAAACAACTGTGTTATCAGTTTCACTGGCTTCACCCCAGCGTTTTGAGCCTCATATGTGATAGTACATTTTAGAATCACCATCCCAGCCCCCAGCAGAGTGCTGAACACATCTTTGGAATTCTGAAAAATGTTCATGGTTATAATTTATCCTTAGGTATCACTGCTGTGCCAAGAGCTTTCTGTCCAAATACAATTCTTACTTTATTTAATCACTCATTCGGTTCATTTAAATATTTTATCTATCATCCTATTTTTGTTGTTGGACTTGAAGAAATGAGATTCTATATCCAAAAATGCCTTTTTATGCTATAAAAGGGCAAAGGAGCACTAGTATCTCTGTGAGTGGCTTGTACATAATCTTAAAACCACCATTGACTCCAGATCTTTTTGTTAAGCACTTGCCAGAGTCTTCTGTAGGCAGTAAAAGGATTAAGGCATGCATTTCTGAGGCTGGATATAAATAAATTATAGGTTTCCTTTTCCTCCTTCTTAAATTTGAAAATCATATTTCTTGTGATCCAAGCCATTGATTAAAATGCTGACAGGGGCAGAATTTTGTAGCAGGCTACTAGACACCCCCTTCTAGGATAGCTGCAATCCATGCAGTCATTAGACAAGGAAAATATGACAGGAAAAGTAATTTGAAATCAAATCACAGAATGTCTAGAATGTCATGTTAAGGAGTTTAGACTAATATTATTCTCTGGTCACTAAGGAGTACGTAATACCATACTCTTGAGTAGGGCAGTGACGTGATTGTTTCAGAAACAAACTAGAGCAGTGTAGAAGATAGGAAGATGAGGGGTTAGAGCAACAGAGGCCACTTAGTAGGCTAGTATAATAGACAAGCACTGATGAGGGTACTTAGAGATCCACATAGAGGTAGCAGAAGTTACAAACCAAATCTACAGGGGCCAAACAAATAACGCAAATGAGTTAGCAGGCCACATGAAGAGCACATGTCCCATCTAAGGGGCAGCCTCTGCTTAGCTTCAGCAGTTGTTGCCATACAGGGATGTAGGAACATTGCTACCACATCTTTAGGCTTTTCAAAAGAAGCGCGAAATTTAGATTGTATGTAAAACCTCTTCAGTTTAAAATGTTGGCTTCATTTTTCAAAAATCCTAGACAGCCAAAACAAAACACATACTCAGCCAGATATAGTTAATAACATGCAAGCTTCACAACCTCCAGCTTTTAGCTTCTGATTGTGAATTGTTGTTGTGTGGTATAGTAAGGAAAAGGCCTGAACTCTGGGGCCACAGAAAGATCTGGATTTGAATCTTGGCTCATCCTGAGATCTTTTTTTTTTTTTTTTTTTTTTTTTTTATGAGACAGAGTCTCACTCATTGTCCAGGCTGGAGTGCAGTGGCACGATCTCATCTCACTGCAACCTCCACATCCCAGGTTCAAGCAATTCTCCTGCCTCAGCCTCCCGAGTAGCTGGGAATACCGGTGTGCACCACCACACCCAGCTAATTTTTGTATTTTTAGTGAAGACGGAGTTTTGCCACATTGGCCAGGGCAGTCTTGAACTCCTGACCTCAAGTGATCCGCCCATCTTGGCCTCCCAAAGTGCTGGGATTACAGACACTAACCACCAAGCCTGGCCTCATCCTGAGATCTGAAACAAATGTTTAACTGTCTGAACTTTTATTCTTCTACTCTAAAATGGTGATAACTAAAGATGAAATTATTCATGTAAAGCACCTAACCTAGTGCCTGGCATATAGTACGTGCACAGCGAATATTTGTTGAATGAAAGACAGGACATGAATTCAACTATAAATTGAATGTCTGCTTCACCAGTCACTGGATATACATTGACAAATAAAACAGACACAGTCCCTATGCTCACCAAGCTTAGCCCAGGTCCTCCAGCTGGCAAATGGCAAAACCGATGATGATGCATGTCAGCATCCTCCACTTTTGGGGTTGGAAGTCACAGGGCATACTTGATTATGTTGGTTTTTAGTGGACTCTAATATTTTCATTTAGGGCAAGGACTTTGTAGCCTGAAGATAGGAATTAGAATACTTTTGATAAGATACAGCCTAATAACATAATTGAGAAAAGAATGGAAAATGCAAAACTCATGACTCGTGAATAACAAAAGCAAAGATTTTAATAACTATGTGTCCCTAAAAAGAACTTTATGAATAGATTATTATTCTAGTTTAATTTTGCTTAGGTGGCACTGTTTCCTTTGTATTAGCCAGCATTGTTAGCATTTTTGAGAAGTCATAGATTTGATGGGGATTTGTGGAGGAGCTGCTAAATTACAGAAGAAATTATTATGGCAGAAAATCAATTATGTGGTGCTATAAATACTTGATTCAGTAACTCAGCAAATTCCCTTTATGTCCAAAGTGCAAACATTTTGTACCTAAGTCAAAAGGTCTGTTTTTAATTTCTGCAGCTTTGCAGTTGTTCCTCTTTGTCACTGATAGATTTTTACATGATAAGAGAGACGTAAAGATAAAGAGGGGTCACTTTCAGAGGGAGTTTTAAGTGTTGGGGAGATGAAAGCATGAGCTTAACCCTCGGTCATAGGCATGTTTCAGTACTGATAGCAGGAGATTACCTGGAAGAAGTCAGAGAGCCATCTTGAATGACTGTGGAGTTAGCTGGTTTTATTATACTCTTGGGTGACATTTCCAGCTAATAAAATTAGAATTAAAATTATAATCTTAGAAGCAAGCCTCTGGGAAATATGTAATTAACCTTTTGGAATTTAACAAGCATTGTGTGTACCTCCAGTACCTATATTTAAGATGCTTTAACCTAGCATTTGAATTGATGCCAAGATGTGCAAGACATGGTCTCTGCCCTCAAAGGCTATTAAGAGACAGACTATATGTACACAGATTTTTTTAAATTATTTAGGTTTAATTCATAAAAACCCTAGAAGAAAACCTAGGCAATACCATTCAGGCCATTGGCATGGGCAAGGACTTCATGACTAAAACACCAAAAGCAATGGCAACAAAAGCCAAAATAGACAAATGGGATCTAATTAAACTAAAGAGGTTCTGCACGGCAGAAGAAACTACCATCAGAGTGAACAGGCAACCTACGGAATGGGAGGAAATTTTTGCAATCTGCTCATCTGACAAAGGACTAATATCCAGAATCCACAAAGAACTTAAAGAAATTTACGAGAAAAAAACAACCCCATCAAAAAGTGGGCAAAGGATATGAACAGACACTTCTCAAAAGAAGACATTTATGCAGCCAACAGACACATGAAAAAATGCTCATCATCATTGGTCATCAGAGAAATGCAAATCAAAACCACAATGAGATACCATCTCATGCCAGTTAGAATGGCGGTCATTAAAAAGTCAGGAAACAACAGATGCTGGAGCGGATGTGGAGAAATAGGAATGCTTTTACACTGTTGGTGGGAGTGTAAATGAGTTCAACCATTGTGGAAGACAGTGTGGTGATTCCTTAGGGATCTAGAACTAGAAATACCATTTGACCCAGTGATCCCATTACTGGGTATATACCCAAAGGATTATAAATCATGCTGCTATAAAGACACATGCACACGTAAATTTATTGTGGCACTATACACAATAGCAAAGACTTGAAACCAACCCAAATGTCCATCAATGATAGGTTGGATTAAGAAAATGTGGCACATAAACACCATGGAATACTGTGCAGCCATAAAAAAGGATGCGTTCATGTCATTTGCAGGGACATGGATGAAGCTGGAAACCATCATTCTCAGCAAACTATCGCAAGAGCAGAAAACCAAACACCGCATGTTCTCACTCATAGGTGAGGATTGAACAGTGAAAACACTTGGACACAGGGCAGGGAACGTCACACACTGGGGCCTGTCGGGGGGTTGGGGATTGGGGTAGGGATAGCATTAGGAGAAATACCTGATGTAAATGACGAGTTGATGGGTGCAGCAAACCAACATGGCACATGTATACCTGGGTAACAAACCTGCACATTGTGCACATGTACCCTAGAACTTAAAGTATAATTTTAAAAAATTATTTAGGTTTAATTAATGATTTCATGTTTAGTTTTTAAAACCTAATTGTTGGCATTTTAAAAATATTATCTCTTAATGAGCATACAAAAATAGGAACAACACAGGAACTTACTTCATATAATACATTTCCTTATAAAACGGTAGAGTATTATTTATTTTTTAAAAACTCTACCTTGATCATCATTGTTGTCATAGAAATACTAATACTTTGTATTGTTATTATGGCTGCTATTTTATCTTGTATCAAGCCTAAGGAAGGTTGTAGCATAGCATTTCAGCACATTCTAGAGCAAAAAACTGTCCTAAATGTAATACAAAATAGAATGAAATAATTGTTAAAGAAGTATAAACAAAGTTCTAGGCCAGGCATAGTGGCTCACGCCTGTAATCCCAACACTTTGGGAGGCCGAGGTGGGTGGATTGCTCGAGGTCAGGAGTTTGAGAGCAGCCTGGCCAACATGGTGAAACCCTGTCTTTACTAAAAATACAAAATTTAGCTGGGGATGGTGGTGGGCGCCTGTAATCCCAGCTACTCAGGAGGCTGAGGCAGGAGAATTGTTGAACCAAGGAGGCAGAGGTTGCAGTGAGCCGAGATTGCCCCACTGCACTCTAGCCTGGGTAACAGAGCAAGACTCCATCTCAAAACAACAACAACAAAGTTCTACTTAAGATAGTGTCATAGTCTGCTTAGGCTGCCATATCGAAATACCACAGAGTGGATATTTTAACAACAGAAATTTATTTTCTCAAGATCAAAGTTCCAGCCAATTCACTTTCTGGGAACGGCTTTCTTTCTGGGTTGCAGATGGCTGCCTTATCACTATGTCACGTGGCCTTTCTTCAGAACGTGGGGCAGTGGGGAGAGAGGGAGAGAGAGAGCAAGAGCAAGAACAAGCTCTCTATCTCAGGATACTAATCCTGTTGGATCAGGGCCTCACCCTTATGACCTCATATAACCTTAATTACTTCCTTACTACAAATATGGGCACGCTGGATGGAGATAGGGTTTCAACATATGAATTTAAGGGGGACACAAACATTCAGTTTATAACACATAGTAAATAAAGAGAGAGCAAACAGGGAGGGCATTTTGAAAGAGGTATCATCTGAATAGGCCCTTGGAGAATGGATTTTAACCACTAGAGATTGGAAGGAGGGATTCCAAGTAGATGAAACAGCTTGACCAATGTCATGGCAGGGAGAAAGCAAAGAGTATGTTTAGTACACAGAGCATTCAACTCGTTCAACTGTGGGATACACCTACAGGAGTGAATAGTATTCAGGAAGTTGAGAAAGGGAGGATGTGACCAGATCGTTTAATACCTTATAAAACATCTGATGCTGGCTTCAGCACTGCTCCGTCTAGCTGTATGACCTTTGTTATGTTTCTTTTCTTCCGTTTATCTTGGCGTTCCCATGTATTAGTGAAAAAAAAAAAATCTCTGAGGTTTATTCTAACTCAGTGAGTTTACACTTAATAACAAGTTAAGTGATTTAAGTTTAACGAGTGTTATGTGTTTGTGTGTGCCTGCATACTTTCACATTTGTGTCTCACACCAGCAGATGTGCAGCTTCTGCAAATTTTTGATAATAGGCAGAAAAATCTATTTTGGCTTCCTAAGTTGAATTTCAATTTCTCCTACCCCTCCATGAATTGGGAAGCTTATTCAGCATATTCCAAGCACCCAAACTGGACCTTGCAGGGAGGATTGACCAGGCAAATAGAGAAGATATATGGCTGACCCTGCCTTGTTCCACACCCTTTTTTCCACTTCACTGGCCCTGTTATTTTCTCCTGCTTTTGACTTCATTTCCCTCACAACTGGTCTTTCTATCCTGTTATGGAAACTTAATCCCAAAGCCTTCTTTCATATTCGGTTATGGACAATTAGGTAAAGGTATCCTCAGGCCTGCAGTAACATTTGTTTTGTATTAGGAAGTAGGCCTTAAACTGTACAAATGAAACATAAATAGCAAACCACTAGACATTAATAAAAAGAGGAGCTCGTGGGTAGGAGGAAGGTGGATTTTATGATGTTCCTAGAAGCCTTAGAAGTGAGAAATGATCCTCTGGAGCTTGAAAACCATCTGCAGTCCTAGAACAGTTTAATGTAACTTTATAGCTATTTATTCTTAGCACTGGATCTGTCTTGGTTATTTTTAACCAGATAATTACTGCTGTTTACTCATTTTCTAGAATTCTAGGCATAATTATTGGCTTAACCATGCAAATACTTGGAGAACTTTGTGACCCAGTCTATATGATTTGATAGATAATTCTTCCTGGGAAATGGCCACTAGGTAAACAGCTTGTCTCTCATTCTAGAGGCTCAGTCTTAATCAATCTTTCCAAAATAAATACAGTCTATAAGTTGAAGAGCTGTTTTCCTCAGTAACAGAGGCATATTTCTCCTCAATAAATAAATGTTCTTATAATCAGCTTACAATGCTGTTTTTCTTCCAATAATAGGTTGGTCTCCTTTCTCTTCATATAACATTTTAACTTTTTGTACTATTGGCTCTTCAAGGTTGATAGGTTAGTCTACTTTTAGCAGATGTACATGCAAGTCAAGAGGTGTTATTTTAATAATAAACTTAAGCTAGGAGCTTAGGTGACTTATCCAATAATATTCTGTAAGTCAGAGCCTCTTCAAGGCCCAGCCCCATATTTACTGCTTTGTAGCCTCTAATTTGTGTAGGCAGTACCTCAGTGAATCACACTGGCTGGCTGTCACTCATTCTCAGAAGACCACAGCATCAAAATAAAACCCTTAGAAAGTGTAGGCACTGAAGTAACAGTTACAGTTTAAATGCACCCACAGTTGACTATATCATGGAGGCATCCTACAATTTGAGTCTTTATTTGGTCATTGACAAGAGTCTTAAGCTTTTTAGTCAAAATGTCAGTGAAATTTGGAAAATTGGGCCCCTAAAAGATATTGATTTTCTTGTTTATAGGAAATGCTTTTAAGACTTTGCTTTTTGTATCTCTGATAATTTTTTTAGGGGTCTCTGGAAAAGTTGAGTAGATAGAAACTAAGGAAAGAAGAGACATACTATAAAACTGTAATTCAGTAGTACTGTGATTTCTGCCTTCATCTAGTAAGAAGTAGAAAATAGTGTAAGGAATAAGTTTTTACTTAGATTCACTATTATGTACTTGGCAATAAAAATTCAAGTTAAAAATGACTTAGAATGAGAGCTTCCTAATTATGTTTTTTTCTAGATTCTCTTTGTCATTAGTCTCTAAGATAGTAATAATATCATGCAGATTTAATGAGAGGATTTAAACTCTAAAGCTCAGTCACACAAGGAAAGAAATATGCTCTTTTTTTTTTTGAGACAAAGTCTTGCTCTTGTCTCCCAGACTGGAGTGTAGTGGCTCAATCTCGGCTCACTGCAGCCTCCATCTCTTGAGAGACCACGGGTTCAAGCGATTCTCTTGCCTCAGCCTCCCGAGTAGCTGAGATTACATGCGCCTGCCACCAGGCCCGGCTAATTTTTGTATTTTTAGTAGAGACGGGGTGTCACCATGTTGGCCAGTCTGGTCTCGAACTCCTGACCTCAGGTGATCCACCCGCCTCGGCCTCCCAAAGTGCTGGGATTACAGGCGTGAGCCACCGTGCCCGGCCAGAAATATGCTCTTTCAAGGGACTTACTTTTGTCTTTTCTTTAAATCCTAATATAGTGCTGAACTACTAAATGAAAGCTCTTTGGAGCTAAATAATAGCCAACTTTCTAGGTATATGCCTCCTCACTGCTCATGCAGATCCCTAAAACTGCTCACTGTTCCTCTACCTAGGCAGATACTTCTATTTCCCAGTTATCTATGTCTGCCTATGTGGGTTTCCTGCTGTTGTACCATGACCTTGTGCAACTATGCTGCTGCCCCCACTATCCCTTGAGCCCCTGGCTGCTGCTTCTGTTTACTAAATACATATTAAGTGGATCTTCTTACTTTCATGTGCTAGAGCTGCCCTGAAATGAAGTTAGCAGCATACACCATAATCTTCTTAGCTTTGTTTCCATAACATATCTTTTGAATTCTCAGACTGTGGTGAATGACTATAACCACCATTTGTGGTTGTGAACCAATATTTTTATGCTGTACTAATCCATATCACTTTAAACCTTTGTGACAAACTACATAGAGCATTTTTTAGTAACTTTTTTTTTTTTTTTTTTTTTTTTTTGAGACAGAGTCTCACTCTGTCGCCCAAGCTGGAGTGCAGTGGTGCGGTCTTGGCTCACTGCAACCTGCACCTCCCGGGTTCAAGCGATTCTCCTGCCTCAGCCTCCTGAGTAGCTGGGACTACAGGTGTGTGCCACCACGCCCAGCTAATTTTTTGTATTTTTGGTAGAGACAGTGTTTCACCGTGTTAGCCAGGAAGGTCTCGATCTCCTGACCTCATGATCTATGGCATATATGTATACATTTCAGAAATATAAAGATTACAGTTTATTACAAAAACAGAGGTCCCTGTTCTTCTTTTATGATGTACTTTTCAGACACAACTATGTTGAACTCTGAATTCAGAGGTTTCTTTTGGTTATTTGGCTTAGCATTTATTATTATTATTTACTCGAACTCCTGATCTCAAGTGATCTACTTGCCTCAACCTCCCAAAGTGCCGGGATTACAGATGTGAGCCATTGCACCCAGCCAAAAATACATTTTTTCCATAGTACTGCCATTTTATATTCTTTTCAGCAGTGTATGAGAGTTCCAGTTCCTCCGATCCACACGTCAGTGTTTGTCATTTTAGCCATTCTTGTAGATATGAAGTAGTAGGTTATTGTGATTTTCATTTTCATTTCCCTAATGACTAATAATATTGAGTATCTTTGCATGTTTGTATTTGCTATCAATATATCATCTCTGGTGAAATCTCTGTTCACGTATTTAGACTTTTTAATTTTTACTTATTTTTTTCTTCAACCTTTATTTTAAGTCCAGGGGTACATGCAGGATGTGCAGGTTTATCACAGAGGTAAATGTATGCCAAGGTAGTTTGCTGCACAGATCATGCCACCACCTAGGTATTAAGCCCAGCATCCATTAGGTATTCTTCCTGATGTTCTGACAGGCCCCAGTGTGTGTTGTTCTTCCCTATGTGTCCATGTGTTCTCATCTTTCAGCTCCCGCCTATAAGTAAGAACATGCAGTGTTAGGTTTACTGTTCCTGTGTTAGTTTGCTGAGGATAATAGCTTCCACCTCCATCTATATCCCTGCAAAGATCATGATCTCATTCCTTTTCATGGCTGCATAGTTTCCATGGTGTATATATACCACACTTTCTTTATTCAGTCTATCGTTGATGAGTATTTGGGTTGATTCCATGTTTTTACTATTGTTAATAGTGCTGCAATGAACATATGCATGCATGTATCTTTATAATATACTGATTTACATTCCTTTGGGCGTATACCCAGTAATGGGATTGCTGGGTCAAATGGTATTTCTGCCTTTAGATCTTTGAGGAATCACCACACTGTCTTCCACAAGGGTTGAACTAATTTACACTCCCACCAACAGTGTAAAAGTGTTCCTATACTGTGCAACCTCACCAACATCTGTTGTTTTTTTACTTTAATAATTATCATCCTGGCCGGGCACGGTGGCTCATGCCTGTAATCCCAGCACTTTGGGAGGCTGAGGCAGGCGGTTCACGAGGTCAGGAGATCAAGACAATCCTGGCTAACACGGTGAAACCCCGTCTCAACTAAAAATACAATAAATTAGCTGAGCATGGTGGCGGTCACCTGTAGTCCCAGCTACTTGGGAGGCTAAGGCAGGAGAATGGCATGAACCCAGGAGGCGGAGCTTGCAGTGATCCGAGATCGCGCCACTGCACTCCAGCCTGGGCAACAGAGTGAGACTCATCTCAAAATAATAATAATAATAATAATAATAATAATAATAATAAGCGTCATCCTGTCTGGTGTGAGGTGTTATCTCATTGTGGGTTTGATTATCATTTCTCTAATGATCAGTGATGGTGAGCTTTTTTTCATATGTTTGTTGGCCACATGTATGTCTTATTTTGAGAAGTGTCTGTTCATGTCCTTTGCCTACTTTTTAATGGGGTCTTTTTTTCTTGTAAGTCTACTTAAGTTCCTTGTAGACTCTGGATATTAGATCTTCGTCAGATGGATAGATTGCAAAAATTTTCTCCCATTCTGTAGGTTTTCTGTTCACTCTGATGATAGTTTCTTTTGCTGTGCAGAAGCTCTTTAGTTTAATTAGATCCCATTTGTCAGTTTTGCTTTTGTTGCAATTGCTTTTGGTGCTTTCATTATGAAATCTTTGCTCATGCCTATATCCTGAAAAGTATTGCCTAGATTTTCTCCTAGGGTTTTTGATAGTTTTGCATTTTACATTTTAGTCTGTAATCCATCTTGAGTTACTTTTTTTTTTTTTTTTTCAGACGGATTCTCACTCTGTTGGCAGGCTGGAGTGCAGTGGCGTGATCTCGGCTCACTGCAACCTCCACCTCCTGGGTTCAGGCGATTCTGCTGCCTCAGCCTCCCAAGTAGCTGGGACTACAGGCGTGCGCCACCACACCCAGCTAATTTTTGTATTTTTAGTAGAGCCGGGGTTTCACCATGTTGGCCAGGATAGTCTCAATCTCCTGACTTTGTGCTCCACCCACCTCAGCCTCCCAAAGTGCTGGGATTACAGGCATGAGCCACTGTGCCCGGCCAGGTTAATTTTTGTATAAGGTGTAAGGAAGAGGTCCAGTTTCAATTTTCTGTATATAGCTATAAGCACCATTTATTAATTGGAAATCCCTTCCCCATTGCTTGTTCTGTCAGGTTTGTCAACGATCAGATGGTTGTAGGTGTGTGGTCTTATTTCTGAGTTCTGTATTCTGGTCCACTGGTCTACATATTTGTTTTGGTACCAATACCATGCTGTTTGGGTTCCTGTAGCCTTGTAGTATAGTCTGAAGTCAGGTAGCATGATGCCTCCATCTTTGTTCTTTTTGCTTAGTATCATCTTAGCTATTCAGGCTCTTTTTTGGTTCCATGTGAATTTTAATATAGTATTTTCTAAATCTGTGAAGAATGTCAATGGTAGTTTAATGGGAATAGCATTGAATCTATAAATTATTTTGGGCAGTATGGCCATTTTCACAATACTGATTCTTCAAATACATGAGCATGGAATGTTTTTCCATTTGTTTGTGTCCTCTCTGATTTTTTTGACCTGTGGTTTGTAGTTCTCTTTGAAGAGGTGCTTCACTTGCCTTGTTAGCTTTATTCCTAGGTATTTTACTGTTTTTATAGCAATTGTGAATGAGAGTTCATTCATGATTTGGCTCTCTGCTTGCCTGTTGTTGGTATATAGGAATGCTACTGATTTTTGCACATTGATTTTTGTATGCTGAGACTTCGCTGAAGTTGCTTATCAGCTTAAGAAGCTTTTGGGCTGAGACAGTGGGGTTTTCTAGATATAGGACCATGCCATCAGCAAACAAAGATAATTTGACTTCCTCTCTTTCTATTTGAATACTCTTTATTTCTTTCTCTTGCCTGATTGCCCTGGGCCAGAACTTCCAATACTGTGTTGAATAGGAGTTGTGAGAGAGGGCATCTTTGTCTTGTTCCGGTTTTCAAAGGGAATGCTTCCAGTTTTTGCCTATTCAGTATAATATTGGCTGTGGGTTTGTTATATATGGCTCTCATTATTATGAGGTATGTTCCTTCAATACCTAGTTTATTGGCAGTTTTTAACATGAAGGGATATTGAATTTTATCAAAGGTCTTTTCTGCATCTATTGAGATAATCATGTGGTTTTTTTCTTTAGTTCTGTTTATGAGATATATCACATTTATTGATCTGCATATGTTGAACCGTGACTAGCCTGGCCAACATGGCGAAACCCTGTCTCTACTAAAAATACAAAAATTAGCCAGGCATGGTGGCATGAACCTGTAATCCCAGCTACTCGGGAGGCTGAGGCACGAGAACCACTTGAACCCAGGAAGCAGAGGTTGCAGTGAGCTGAGATCGCGCCACTGCACTCCAGCCTGGGTAACTAAGCAAGACTCTGTCTCCAAAAAAAAGAAAAAAAAATTTTCAGGGAACTCTTATGGATAGATTTTTTGGGAGGGTTTGTTTCTAAACAGATTTAAGAATAATTTAATAGTGAATCGAATATGTTTTAAAATTTATGGGTTGATAGAGATATTAATTTTTAAAAACCAAACTAATTGGTTACCTGTGGTAGACACTAGAAAAACAACTTATTGCTTTTAAAATTGTTAAACAAAGGGATAGAATCAAATATTTATCCTGCTTTTCTAATACAGGCTATGCCTGTGGTTCACCAACAGTTGATAAGGGAAAGTTTCTCTTGATCGAAGTACTCTAACTAATGAGTGAGGAAGTAATGCTAGAATTAGAATATCACAATTTTACAACTTCTAATATTAACAAATCTGGGCATTGACAATCAACATCCTCTAACATAACAAAAGGAGAGACAAACAGATGTGCCCGGTGAGTGCTACCCCTCAGGCTAGTACTGTCTGAAGTACTCTTGCCAAACAAGCCTGAGTCTGATCAAGCATCTAGATTCAACTACTAATTTGTAGGAAAACACAGAGGACAAAAGAAATGTGTCAGATGTCACCACTGGGATGCAGTCAGACTGATGGAAACTTTCTAGGACAAATGATCCGGTTTCTTCAGCAAATAAATTGCAGGTGGAAAAAGAAACTAGAATAAAATTGATGCTAGCAATATACAAACTAATGGTAATATGTAGACCTTATTTGACCTTAATTCCTACTCAAGTTAAGCAAACTGATTGTAAAAATAACAGAAAAACAAAGACAAACTTTTTTTTTATTTTTATTTATTTATTTACTTATTTTTTTGTCTGTCACTCTGTTGCCCAGGCTGGAGTGCAGTGGCGCAATCTCAGTTCACTGCAAGCTCCGCCTCCCGGGTTCATGCCATTCTCCTGCCTCAGCCTCCCGAGTAGCTGGGACTACAGGCGCCCGCCACCACACCCGCCTAATTTTTTTTTTTTTTTTTTTTTTTTTTTTTTTGTATTTTTGTAGAGACGGGATTTCACTGTGTTAGCCAGGATGGTCTCAATCTCCTGACCTCATGATCCACCCACCTCAGCCTCCCAAAGTGCTGGGATTACAGGCGTGAGCCACTGCGCCCCAACAACTTTTTTACATTTAAAAAACAATTGTAAATTTGAACAATGACTAGATATTTGATATTAAAGAATTTTTATTGTTACATAAGTATACATTTTTATGGGGTACAAGTGATATTTTGATACATGTATACGGTGTGTAATGGTCAAATCAGGGTAATTAGAATATCCATCACCTCAAACATTTGTCATTTCTTTGTGTTGGGAACATTTCAAATCTAGCTATTCTGAAATATACAATAAATTATTGTTAACTGTAATCACCTGCTGTGCTGTCAAACACTAGAACTTATTCCTTCTAAATGTATTTCTGTACCCATTTACCAACCTCTGTTTATTCCCCCTTCCCAGTAGCCCTTCCCAGCTTCTTGGAACCATCATCCTACTCTCTACTTCCATTAGATGAACTTTTTTTGCTCCCAGATATGTGTGAAAATGTGATATTTATCCTGTGCCTGGCTTATTTCGTTTAACATAATGACCTCCAGTTCCATCCATGTTGCTGCAAATGACAGGATTTCATTCTTTTTTATGGCTGAATATTATTCCACTATGTATATATACCATGTTTCCTTTATCCACTCATCTGTTGATGGACATTTAGGTTTATTCCATATCGTGGCCATTGTGAATAGCGCTATAATAAATGTAATCTCTTTGATATACTAGTTTTCTTCCTTTTGGATATATATCCAGCAGTGGTATGGTAGATCTACTGTTAGTTTTTTAAGGAATCTCACTACTGTTTTTGCATAATGGCTATACTCATTTATATTCCCATCAGCAGTGTACAAGCATTCTCCATTCTCTGTGTCCTTACCGGCATCTGTTACTTTTTCTTTTTTTTATAATAGCCACTTTAACTGGGACAAGATAATATCTCCTTGTGTTTTTCAATTTAACTGGGACGAGATAATATCTCCTTGTGTTTTTTAATTTGTAATTTTTGTGGGTACATAGTAGGTGTATATATTTATGGGGTACATGAAATGTTTTGATACAAGCATGCATTATGTAATAATCACTTTATGGAAAATGGGGTATCCATCCCCACAAGCATTTATCCTTTGTGTTACAAACAATCCAATTATATACCCTTTTAGTTATTTTTAAATGTACAATTAAACCATTAATTACTGTAGTCACCCTGTTGTGCTATCAAATACTAGGTCTTATTCTATTTTTTTGTACCCATCTCATTGTGGTTTTGATTTACATTTCCCTGATGTTTAGTGATGCTGAGCATTTTTTAATATGCCTGTCGACCATTTTTATGTCTTCTTTTAAGAAATGTCTGCTCAATCATTTGCCCTTTTTTTGTTTGTTTGTTTGCTATTGAGTTGCTTGCATTCCTTGTATACTCTGGTTATTAATCCCTTGTTGGATGGATGGATAGTTTGTAAATATTTTCTCCCATTTTGTATGTTGTTTCTTTAGTTTGCTAATTGTTTCCTTTGCTATGGAGAAGCTTTTTAACTTGATGTAATCCCATTTGTCTATTTTTGCTTTTGTTGCCTGTGCTTTTTGAGGTCTTGCCCAAGAAATCTTTGCCCAGACCAATGTCCTGCAGCATTTCCCCAATATTTTCTTCTAGTAGTTTCATAGTTTCACGTCTTACATTGAAGTCTTTAATTCATTTTGATTTGATTTTTGTATATGGTGAGAGATGGAGGTCTAGTCTCATTTTCCTGCATATGGATATCCAGTTTTCCCAACACCATTTATTGAAGAGACTGTTATTTCCCCAGTATCTGTTCTTGGCACCTTTGTGGAAAATCAGTTGGCTATGCATACATAGATTTATTTATGGGTTCCCTATTCTGTTTTTTTAGTCAATGAGTCTGTTTTTATGGCAGTACCATGCTGTTTTGGCTACTATAGCCTTATAGTATATTTTGAAGTCAGATAGTGTGATGCTTCCAGCTTTGTTTTTTTTTCCTCAGGATTGCTTTGGCTATTCAGGGTCTTATGTGTTTCCATATGAATTTTAAGATTGTTTAAGGCTAGGACTTCCTGATATTAAAGAATTATTGTTAATTTTTTGAAATAGTGGATTTGCAAAATATTTGCATGAAATAATTTCTTATTAGAAAAATAACCAATATGCAATAACCCCAAAATGCTTATTGGTATAGATAACAATGAGAATTACCACATTTACTGGGACCCGTGTCAAGTACTTCCAGGCCCTACTAAATGGTACTGAAACCAATAATTAATAGTTGGCAGTTGAAATATATGATGATATTTATGCATCAGTGTTTATAATAGCAAACAGTTGGAAATAATACAAATGTCTATTAACAGAAACAAGAAAATGCTGTATATTCATACCATGGAATTCCATACAATAGTTAAATTGTGCAGTAGTTGAAAAACAAGACTCTATAAGCCAAACTGGCTGGGTTCAAATCCCATCTCTGGCTCTGTCACTCCCTATCAGTGTTCCCTTGAGCAAATTACTTCTTTTTGCCTCAGTTTCGCCCCCCAACGCCTCCCGCCTTTTTTTTTTTTTTTTTTTTTTTTTTTTGAGACAGTTTTGCTCTGTCATCCAGGCTGGAGTGCAGTGGCACAATCTTGGCTCACTGCAACCTCCGCCTCCCAGGTTCAAGCAATTCTTCTGCCTCAGCCTCCCAAGTAGCTGGGGATTACAGGCATGTGCCACCACACCCAGCTAATTTTTATGTTTTTAGTAGAGACAGGGTTTCACTATGTTGACTAGGCTGGTCTTGAACTCCTGACCTCAGGTGATCCACGTGCCTCAGCCTTCCAAAGTACTAGAATTACAGGCATGAGCCACTGCGCCCGGCTTTTTCCTCATTTTTAAACAGGAGAAATAATGGTACTTATCTCAGTGGGTCATAAGATTGTTGTGAGGACTAACTGAATCAGTAAATATTTATACTGAGAATGTATTATACTCAGTACAGGTTGGTTATAATAATTTTTTCTTATTTTAAATATTTTTTACAGAGATATTTCTAGTTGTCAGATAATTCTCATTACCTGAATAAATCTAACAACATAATGCATGAAAAACCAAGTTGCAGAATGAAACACAACATTGTACTACTTGTATAAAGTTGTCCAGCCTAGGCATCATAGTGAGACCCCTATCTCTACAAAAATTTTGTTTAATAATTAGCCAGGCATGGTAATGCACACCTGTAGTCTCAGCTACTCAGGAGGCTGAGGTGGGAGGATCACTTGAGCCCCAGAGGTTGAGACTGCAGTGAACCAAGATTGTGCCAACTGCACTGTAGCCTGGGCAGCAGGTGAGACCCTGTCTCAAAAAAAAAAATAAATAAAAACTGGCCAAAAATGGGGAGGATTGGGAGAATTTAGATTATATCTTATATTTTTGAGACCACCAAACCCAGGCAAAGGACTTGACAACAGTCTTGGATTTGATGTCTACCAATTTCTGGACCACAAAGGAAAGAAATTGATTTATCCTCTGAACTCTTAATATTTACTAAACAACTTAAGACACAGAATCATTAGAAGGCTAAATGGTTTAAAAACAGAGTTCAACTGGGCCTGGTGGCTCATGGCATTAATCCTAGAACTTTGGGTGGCCGAGGCGGGAGGATCACTTGAGCCCAGGAGTTTGATACCAGCCTAGGCAACAAAGTGAGGCCCCATCTCTACAAAAAATACAGAAATTAGCCAGGCATGGTGGTGTGTGCCTGTGGTCCCAGTTACACAGGAGGCTGAGGCAAGAGGATTGCTTGAGCCCAGGAGGTCAAGACTGCAGTGAGCCTTGTTTGTGCCACTACACTCCAGCCTGGGTCACAAGGCGAGACTATGTCTTGATAAAAAAGGACTTCAATCCATTCATCCCAACTACTGACATTTATAGAATCTGGCACATCAAGTGAATACTGGACAATGCTGGTGGATGAATATACCTCTCGTGCAGAAATTGTATGCCTTGATCTGAGCAATCTAGAAGGGTTATAGACCATTCTGAGTTTAAGGATACTTGTACTGTTCAATCTGAGTATCAGGTAGTAAAACAGGAAAAACTGTAGAAGATGCTTATAGTCATCCCATTTAACTAAATGGATTACTCACTATTCTGTAAATCCCACTAACTAATGAGCATAATATCCTAAATACTCATTGCTTATAGGCCATTCTCTTTCTGCTCCTGCTAACTGAGTTGTATGTTTACATAAGCCAGTTGTGTTTTGTTCCTGATTAATTATATAGTTGTTAGATGTCACATAAATAGATGAAATATGAGTTATATACATGAAAAGCATCAATAAGGGATAGAATAAAACCTGCAATATAACTTATGTATTCTTTATGGACATACACAGGTAAAAAACAAAATGGGAATGATAATATGTAATTCATGATCATGGTTACCTCTAGGATAGGAGAGAAATAGAATCAGGAGAAGTATACAGTGGACTTGTATGTATTGTATGTCCTTTCTTTAAAAAAAAAAAAAAAGAGAGAGAGGGAGGGACAAAGCAAATATGTTTAAGATTTGATAAAGCCAGGTTTTGGATACAATTTTTTCTATTCCTGTCTTCCTTTTGTTTGTCTCTCAAGACTAAGCAAAAGAAAGACTCCCAATTTCATCAGAAAATGCTCTAAAATTAATTATTAAAGTGATTTAATATCTGGACTTGGTCAGGCCAGAGCAGAATCACAGGAGGACTTGCTAGCACCATCCCTGAATTGTGCAGTTAGTTAGGTACACTTATATTCCAGGGACCAGAACTAGATAGGAAATCTCCAGCAATTTAGACAATGAATCTCTCTATTATTCTTTAAGACCATTACATGTTTATGGAAAAGACCTGCCAGCTAGCCTTCTTTCCTGAAATCTGGTTTTCCCTGAGCTCCCAAACGAGAGCCTTGAGCTTGGGGAACTAACATGTCTAGCCAGACAGGCCTTCAACAGGCCCCTCATGCTGATATCTTAACCTTTCCCTTAACCATCTCATCTCTCAGATGATTTGCATCCTTTATTTGGATTTGAATCTGGCCTGCTGGTTGGTGAGCCCCATGAGTTTATTCTTCATATCCTGTCCCATGCTGGGTTTCCTTTGAAAGCTTTGTGGAAAATGAATGGCATTGCTTAATCTAGTACCTTCACGGGCTGTTTTTTCTAGATAAAGAAGGAAGTCAACACATTCTTAAACATCTCATAAAATTGCATGGCACAATACCACTTTTTTTTTTAGGACAGAATCTTAAAAATTATTATGAAATGTAAATATTGTTGCCAGAATTGAAGAGAATGAAAGAGAGATGTGATTTGACAAAAGCATTCCCAACCAGCACCACCATCTCACACCCTCAGTATGAGTTAAATCTCATCTTTGTGCAATATTAAAAGATTATGATGCTAGTATACAGACCAATTTGTAAAACCATCTTGTCTTGGGAAAGTTTTTCTTCAAACCAGAGAAATTATTAGAATCAAAAAAATAAAATAAACACAAAATAATAAAAAAAATTTTTTTAAATAAATTATCACAATCAGAAGATAGTTTTATCCATAGATGCTTATTTTCTCTGTTTACTAAAATTACTGCTACTGTCCCAGGTTATACTGAATTTGAAACCCTAAAGTCTCATTACATCTTTCCCTACATAATTATATTACAGGTTTGTTTTGTAAAATATGTTCATTTTGTATCTTACAGAAACAACGTAGAGTAATGGAAAGCTTTATTTCTGTTCCCATCTGTTCTACTCATCTTACCATATGACCCTGAACAGTTCTCTTTCTTTATAGATTCTCTCAAATGCACAGTGAACACCTGAAATATTTACCTTACCACCCACTTTCTAGCCCAAGCTGACTGCAAAGTTCCATTTTTGCAATTTGTAGATCAAGCCATGATGGAGTCTAGGCAGAATAAAGTGATACTGCCCTCTGCTGGTCCTGAGAACACCCATCAGTGGAATGGCCCTGCCCATCCTCACTGAGGGACACAGTGCTCCCTGCTTGTGGTTGACCAGACAAAGCAAGAAACCACAAAGAAAGAAGGCAAACTGCATGTCTAGAAAAAGAATAATATTTTAAGTATTTGGGGGTTAATGATTTCTAACGCACATATCAGGAGATCATTTTATCTGCAGGCACTTATTTTCTCTGTTTACTAAGACTACTGCCACTATCACAGATGCCATAGCCGTTTGTGTCTGTCTTGCCACCAAGTGTTTGTACTATAGTCACTTCACCCTGCTGTAATGCTCACCTAGTAAACAGGCTGTGGGTTCTGACCCTTTGGGCCACTGTCACTCTGTCTTGCACCGTTTTTCTTCCTTGGAACATATATAGTCCCACTTTTGCTCAAACTATTTAGATTAGTTTTTGCATATTCAACTTTTAGTTTGTGCATAAACATGAAGATACAGGTTGAGTATATCTAATTCAAAAATTTGGGCCACACTTGGTGGCCTAATCCTATCCCAGCACTTTGGAAGGCCGAGGTGGGGGGATTGCTTGAGGCCAGGAGTTCAAGACCAGCCTGGGCAACATAGTGAAAACCTGTTTCAAGAAACATTTTTTTTTTTTTTTTTTTTGAGATGGAGTCTCACTCTGTTGCCTAGGCTGGAGTACAGTGGCGCGATCTCAGCTCACTGCAACCTCCACCTCCCAGATTCAAGCAACTCTCCTGCCTCAGTCTCCCAAGTAGCTGGGATTACAGGTGCCTGCCACCACACCCAGCTAATTTTTGTATTTTTAGTAGAGACGGGGTTTCACCATATTGGCCAGGCTGGTCTTGAATTCCCAACCTTCAGTGATCTGCCTGTCTCAGCCTCCCAAAGTGCTTGGATTACAGGCGTGAGCCACTGTGCCTGGCCTCAAAAAACATTTTTTAAAATTAGCCAGGCATGGCAGTACATGCATGTAGTCCTAGCTACTCAGGAGGTTAAGGCGGGAGAATCCCTTAAGCCCAGGAGTTCTAGGCTGCAATGATCTATGATTGTCATCAGCCTGGGTGACAGAGTGAGACCCTGTCTCCAAAAAGAAGAAAGAAAATTCAAAATGCTCCAAAATTCTAAACTTGTAGTGGGCTGGCATGATACTCAGAAGAAATGTTCATTGGAGCATTTCAGATGTCAGATTTTCAGATTTAGAATGCTCAACCAGTAAATATGATGCAGATATTCCAAAATCAGAAACACTTCTGGTCCCAAGTATTTCAGATAAGGGACATTCAACCTGTAATGTCAACTCAAATGTGCCAAGGAAAGCAAATATACACCATCAGTGTGAAAAATACTGAAGAAAGGTGGGGCTTCATTACACCCTCAGATTCCTGTACATCTCTGTTAAGTTTTAATAAAAGATGTTTAATTAATAACTTTTTTGGCATGCTGATTATCCTAAAAGTACTTTGTGAGAATCTGATAAGGATTTGTTAAAAGCTCAGTTTTTTGGAGTTTATCTATATGAATATAATTTCAAGACTTCAACATTTTTAGAGTTGCCATTGATTATGTTATGCTGCATTTGTAAGAAATGGTACTGCCCTGAGTATACTCATGGTAAAGGCAGTTGAGAATTACAGTTTTATCTCATTTGAATTTAGTGCCTTTAAAATCTCTTTCAGGCTGGTCATGGGGGCTCACATCTATAATCCTAGCACTTTGGGAGGCCAAGGCAGGTGGATCACTCGAGCCCAGGAGTTCAAGACCAGCCTGGGAAATATGATGAAACCCCATCTCTACAAAAACCCCATCTCATCTCACTGCAACCTCCACCTCCCAGGTTCAAATTTTTCTACAAAAAAAAGCTACAAAAATTGCTGGGTGTGGTGGAGCACACCTGTAGTCCCAGCTACTACAGCTACTAGGGAGGCTGAGGTGGGAGGATCTTTTGAGCCTGGGAGGTTGAGGCTGCAGTAAGCCATGATCATGCCACTGCACTCCAGCCTGGGTAACAAAGCCAGACCTTGTCTCAAAAAAAAAAAAAAAAAAACTGTTTCAAAATAGGCTTGTGTACTGCTACTGAAACAATTGTTGGTCCTTACAGTAAAGGACTAAAAAATGAAGGAGGAAAAAGTGTGTAATCCATGTCCCAAGTGTCTTCATGCAGAGTATAGAAGGAGCTTGTGATTCAGTGTGTGTGGCTTCTGCTTACGCACTCACAAAACCACACACATTTTGTTCATGATTTCCCATAGGTAGACAGTAACTGTTTCTTAAATGAGCAGATAGGCATAATGAAATCCAACAATGATCCCTGTGCACCCTCAAAGAACTCCTGATTTTTGCTTCATAGCCACAACTTACAGCCACTTAATAGGGAGAATTGAGGTTATAGCCAGTTACCTCAGCAGCAGTAACACAGTCCTATCTTGAAAGGGTCTTACAGATGGCATGTAGTACACAGAGACTCTTTAAGGCAAAATCACAACCACCCAGCTTCTAACTACACAGGTACTACATTTCGTGGTATGCAGTTCTAGACCAAAAAGGAGATTAGCATGTATTGAGCGTGTAATTTTTACCAGATGTCTTATATATCTGGTATACGTCCCTAAGAAATGAACCAACTTTTGTTGTGTAACAGTTATATAACCTTAGTAATCATCTTCAGTGTCCAGCATTTCAGGAGAAGACACTCAGCTTATTAAATTGCTTCGAAAGAAAACTTATCAGAAACTTTAGTTCTACTCACAGAAAACAGATGAACTCAATTCCAAAGAATAAAATGGGCCAAAAAATGTTTATTGAAAATGGTACCTACTCTTTCTTGGAAAATTATGAATTTTTAAAAATTTGAAACATCCTTAGCTTTTAGAGGTGGCAGAAATAGTTTTGGAAAGTTGACTCAAGTCACTAACTGAAATTTGGCAATGTAAATTATCATTAAAATTTAAAATGCAATGTTATACAAGTTTTTTTCAGAGGTTCCAAGGTAGAATATTACTTTGGGAAACAAAATCATAAAGTGAGGGGAAAACAGAAGTGCTAATTGGCAGTTAATTTGGCATTTCATTTATTTTGATTTACTTTCAGTTCTTTTGAAAGACAATTTGGTGTTATAAAAAGAGCAGGGGTTTTGGAACTAAACAAACTTAAATATATATGAAGTGCCTTCTAAATGCCTGCAGAGTTCATTTTCCTTCCCTCTGTTGTTAATCACCTCTTAAGTTTACTCTTACGCTGAAACCCAGCAGGAAGTCCCTGAAAGGAAGGAGGTTTGGTTTGTGTTTATCTTTCCCTGCACAAATTTGGTTACCAGAAAATGCCCTTGAAGCCCAGGGCAGTCTTCTAGAGAGTATGTGAGCCAGGCAACAGCTTTGGCGGGGAGGTAATGGGCTGGAATGAGCAGTAGGAAAAGTGCAGTTCTCCTGAGTCCCTAATTCATGCTATATCCTCATTCTGTGTGTAAGGCCAAGCTGTAGGTTCACTCATATTTCAGTTGCTGTCTCTTTAAAAAGAGTACCCTAAAGCCATAGAAGAAATGTTAAATTATCTGGAGTTTTATGTTTACATCGTGATGGATTTTATTATATGCCCTAATTGTAATAATATTCACTAAACCTACAGTGCCTCCTTTTCCTGTATTTTCTAATTGATATAATAACAGCTTTGATTTTTAGCTGTTACTAAAATACCCATTTTGATAAAGTGACTGAGACTCTCAAGGATCCAACAGCAAGCCCACAGTTGCCAGTTAAAAAGGAGTAAGTTGCTGATTGCTAAGCCTGTACTACCATACGATATTCTTTAGAGAAATCCTTTGATCTCATCTATGATTAACTGTGGCCCCTGTGACCTTATGAACTGTTATAATTCTGCCAGCCCCATGATGATGTATTTTGTGTGTTCTCACAGAAACTTGCCCCTGGAGTCAGCCAGTTTGCTTACACGTGTGTACAAGACCACCCCATTTGGACAAATCAGCAATTTTGGGAGACAACCTTTTACAATGCAGTGCAGGAACAGGTTCGCTCCCTTTATCTCTCAGCCAAGGAAGACAATCATGCCCCGCATCTGAAGCAAAAGGTAAGAGAGAAGAAAAGAACTCTAATTGTGTGGGATTAGGATTCTGGCTTTAAGGAAAGCAGATGTTCCCAGGGCAAAAAAAACTCTAGCTACTTCCTGCCAGTGTATTTGGGTTTTATTTAGGGAGCCCTGTGATATCTTTCCTCTGTTGATTTCAGACATTATGTTTTTCCATAATAACTTCTTAATACAGTTCTTCAGCACTAGGATTGTTTTAATATACTTTAATAAATAAGAATTTCCTGGAAATGACTATAGGAAGTTGAATAGAAAGAACAAACCTAAAATAACAGGCATACTTCTCTATGCAACTAACTTCCCTGGAGGAATGTCAAATTAAAGTTAATTAACTCCAAAATAAATGTAAAATTTGGTAGTTGTATTAAAAAAATGCCAGTAATAAATCTAGGTCTTCTTCTAGGAATATTCTACATGTTTCTCTATGTTTTATCAGCATAAAATATTTTTATGAAAAATATCAAAAAAATTTAAAAATCAAGAAAATTGTTTTTAATTTGAAAGAGTAGTTTTAAATACTCTGAAAGTTTAAAACATCATTTACTAGCTCTCTGGTTTGGGGCAAGTCATGTTACTTCACTGTGCCTTATATCTTCACTGGTAAAATGGATATGATTATTATGAGATTTTAGTGTCTCATATATAAAGTGCATTGAAGAGTACATGGTATGCAGTAATAATAAGTGTTAGAAACTATCATCCTCATGAATTGAACTTAAAGCAGCCTTAACGGCTGATTATCATTCTACTCCAGAAATTTACTGGGCTTCGGGGGTGCTTTTGATCATTTTTTAAGCAGATGTAATGTTAATATTGACACATCTCGAAAGCATTCATAGAGCAAACACATGTCACTGCTTCTTTGTCAGCCATTCTAAAGAAGTCTATCCCGGAGCCAGCCCTAGGTTAGGTACAAGTGAGACCATAGACATACCAGCTCTTCACAAGCTATAAGGTGCTTTGCTGCTGCTTCCTGAGGTTTGTCACATAGTTCCACTCAAGGCCTGTTGGATCTGGGAAAGAAGACTAGGTTTTGTTTTGTGGTTGTTATGTTATGTTTATGTTTTCATTTTTGCTGATTTAAGCATTTAATAGAATAGTTATTTAAAACATCTATGTTAGGCCGGGCGCGGTTGCTCACGCCTGTAATCCCAGCACTTTGGGAGGCCGAGGCGGGCTGATCACAAGGTCAGGAGATCGAGACCATCCTGGCTAACATGGTGAAACCCCGTCTCTACTAAAAATACAAAAAATTAGCTGGGCGTGGTGGCAGGTGACTGTAGTCCCAGCTACTCGGGAGGCTGAGGCAGGAGAATGGCGTGAACCTGGGAGGCAGAGCTTGCAGTGAGCCAAGATCGTGCCACTGCACTCCAGCCTGGGTGACAGAGCGAGACTCCGTCTCAAAAAAAAAAAAAAAAAAAATCTATGTTTTTTAAGCTCACCTGAAGTGATGGTTCTCTTTTGGATTGTGTTGCTTTATTTTTTAGGATAAGCTTCCTGATGACCATTATCAGGAGAAGACAGCAATGGACCTGGCAGCTGAGCAACTACGCCTTTGGCCTACCCTGAGCAAGTCAACTCAGCAAGAGCTAGTGCAACATGAGGAAAGCACTGTCTTTAGTCAGGCCATTCACTTTGCAAACCTCATGGTGAACCTGCTAGTTCCACTCGACACAAGTAAAAACAAGCTCCTAAGAACATCAGCGCCAGGTGACTGGGAGAGCGGAAGCAACAGCATTGTCACAAACAGGTACCAAAATGTGAACACACAGACCCTCCTCCTACTCTTCTTGGGGCCAGTCTTGGCTTGACAGATAATATTAAACATTTTGAGCAAATACTGCTGTACATATTTCAAAAGTTAACCATTTTTCCTCACCTTTGGACTTGCTCAGCTTTTCTTTCTAAAAGATTCACTTCATCCTACTATTCTTAACCACTTCCCACACTTTCTTCTTTTTTATGACCTAATTTTTCCAAATGTCTCACCCATTACTGATCCAGCCCTTCAGTTACTGTCTGCCAAAGCAATTTACAGAAATCATTCCAAAGAAATTAGTGAGCACCTTCTTGCAAAAGTGGCTGTTTGTTTCTCAGCCCTCCTTTTCCTCAACCTTGTAGTCATACCCTCAACCATGCCTTCCTCTCTACCCTCCAGTAACTTCTCATACCACTGAAACTAAAACCCAGTGTTTACCATGGCCTGCAAGGCCTAACGGAATCCGTCCTCTGGCTACTGCTCTGACCCCCTATTTCCTATCACTCTTCTGTCAACCAAACTGGTCTCCCTGCTCATGCTAATCCTCAGACACTCCAAGCATATTCCTGCCTCACATCCTTTGTACTGGTATTTTCATTCTGGAATATTCTCACCTAAACAGGCCAAGAATCACTTCCTCACTTTATTTAGGTCTCTGCTCAAATGTTACTTGCCTCAAGAAGCCCTCCTGACTTCTGCATCTTAATAATACCTCTCCCTCTCCTACTTTGCATTGTCTTTCATGTCATTTTTTACAACCTGATTTATTTTCATATGTTTGCTTGTTATGTTTCCTTTGTCAGTTTTGTTCATTGCTGTATTCCTAGTGTCTTTGCATATAGTACTCAATAAATATTTGGTTGAACAGATGATTAAATGAGTGAATAAATGAACTTATCAACCCAACAGTAGTGAAATTCTATCCTTAGAGCTTCAGTGATGGGTGCCGCAACATCCTGGTAGTTCGAGCTCGCATAAATTCTTCTCCTCATGCTCCTTCAGGCAGCTCCTCTTCTCTTCCCATTCTCAATTCCTCTTCCAAGCTCTTCTTACTCTGTGGAAGACTCATCCACAAGCCTAAATCTCTGGCCCAAACCTTTTAATCTTGTTATCCTAGGTACTTCATTTTTGTCAGGGACACCTCAGAGTTTCTGGTCTTCCAGGCTAGACAACTTGGAATCAGCATTTCACACCATACAGTCAACTGCACAGATCTCTTACCCCCACCCATATAGAGTTTCTTGTTCATCCTCTGGTTATTTAATGGGAACAACATAGTCTGGCCTTTATCACTTCAAGCCCTAATTATAACAGTCTCTTAGTTGTTTCATTTTTTATTCTTCTTTCTACTGCCAAAAGGATCTTCCCGAAATGATGCTTTCCCATTCCTTCACTACTCATAATTCCACAAGACTCTGTTTCAATACAGGACCTATCTGTTTAATTTGTAAGATATTCCTTAGCTGTCACAGCTTTATCTCCATTCTCCATTGCCAGTGACGTTCATCTTCATTATAACAAGCAATAACTATATTTTACATTTCTTTTAAAGTTTTGGACCAGGCATGGGGCTGACTACCTTATAATCCCAGCACTTTGGGAGACCGAAGTGGGAGGATTGCTTGAGGCCAGGAATTCAAGACCAGCCTGGGCAACATAGTGAGACCCTATCTCTACAAAAAATAAAAATTAGTCAGGTGTGGTAGCACACACCTGTAGTCCTAGCCACTTGAGAGGCTGAGGCTGGAGAATCACTGCTGCAGGAGGATTTCTTGAGCCCAGGAGTTTGAGGTTACAGCTAGCATCGCTGCACTCTCGCCTGGGTGACAGAGTGAGACCCTGTCTCTAAAATAAATAAATAAATATAAACAAATAATAATCATTATAGATGACAGTGCTCTCTCAAAGTCTGCATGTTGATGGCCATAGTCTCTGCTTAGCTTTACTTTAACAATCTCTAACACTGATTCAGCTAATGTGGTTGGCTTTGCAGAAAAGAGAAGTTAATAGGAACAGACAAATGAGTCTTTTCCCAGAGTCTGATGGGTTGAACAGTAAGAGCTGAATAAGCAAGAAGGGCAGAGATTGAGCTTTCACATCTGTTCCATTTCAAATTTGTTCCCTTCTCTTGCATGATTTTATCATCTACAGAAGAATGCTGGCTTCAAAGTGGCCAAATGGGTTGCAGTTAACTCAGAGAGTGATAAATCCTGGCAAGAGAAGGGACAGTTTGGTCCTTACATATGGAAGAGTACGCTTGTTGCTGAGAAAAATTCTCTTACTTTGCCTACCAGGGAACATGTTCCTCAGTTGCCAAGTAGCCAAAGATAGCTGTATTACTTGTTCTCTATGTAATAATTAACTTGGGAGGACAGGTTGCTTTAGAAGGCCCAGGTAGTCCATAATAAATGAAAAAATCCTCTTTTGCTTTATTTTCTGTGGTTCCTGCATTCCTTTTGGGAGAGTGACTAAAGGTATTCCTTACAGAAACAAATCTGGGTCCAAACAAATTTCCTTACAGAAACTTACTGCCTGACAGTAGTTTCCAAATGTAGACTAGTAGAACATTGTGTTTTATCACCATCACTTACCAAGGAGCCATGGAGTTAAGTGAGCCTTCTACTTGAGTAGACATCACTTTGCTCATGTTTCTGTCGCTATGTAAATTGACTACTATATAGTAGTCATTTGTTGCATTTAAGTACTGACCATGATTTCTTTCCTTGACTGTCTTAGTATTGCAGGAAGTGTAGCTGAGAGCTATGATACAGAGAGTGGGTTTGAAGATTCAGAGAATACTGACATTGCCAATTCTGTTGTGCGGTTCATTACCCGATTTATTGACAAAGTTTGTACAGAGAGTGGAGTTACTCAGGATCACATCAAGAGCCTTCATTGCATGATACCAGGTAATCACTCTGCAGATATTAGAGAATCAGAATATTGGAGATTATTGAGTTTCAGCATAAAACCTGGCAATACATGTCTTCCATTATAGTTCAGCCATGCTATTTATTTATTTTCTGATTAGTTTTTAAAATGTTTTTAAATTGTTGTAAAATACATATATAACATAAAATAATCTAAGTGTACAATTCAGTGGCATTAATTACATCTACAATGTTGTGCAGCCATCACTGTTATCTATTTCTAAAACTTTTTTATTACCCCAAACACTCTACCCATTAAGCAGTAACTCCTGTTTCCCCTGGTAACTTCTAATGTATTTTCTGTCTCTATAAAGTTGCCTGTTCTAGATATTTCACATAAGTGGACTTAGATAATATTTGTACTTTTGGGTTTGGTTTATTTCATTTAGTATAATGTTTTCAAGGTTCATACGTGTTGTGGCATGTATCAGAATTTCATTCCTTTTTATGGCTGAGTAACTTTCCATGGTATGGCTGTCCCACATTTTATCCATTCATCTGTTGATGGACATTTGAGTTACTTCTCCCTCCCTTTTAGCTATTATAAATAATAATACATGAATATCCACATATAAGTATCTGTTTGAGTCCTTTCATTTCTTTTGGGTATATATGTAGAAGTGGAATTGCTGGGTCATAATGGTAATTCTCTTTAACTTTTTTGAGGAACCAGTAAACTGTAATTAACTTTTAATTCTAAAATATCCAGAATTTGTTTTTATCCTGCTTGTCTGTGTTCTTTCATTTTGAATACTCTGACTCATCCTAGGAATTGTAGCTATGCACATTGAGACCCTAGAAGCAGTACATCGAGAAAGCAGAAGACTTCCGCCTATTCAGAAGGTAATTCCAGACTACATGCTTTCAGGGTATAGCCTCTCTTCTTAAAAACAAACAATAGACTGCTGTGTGCCAGGAAAGGATGTTCACCTAACCTTTGACAGACACTAACTCCAGTTTTAATGATATGTTAAACTGTCAGAGAAGTGTGTCATATAGAACCTTATAAAAAGGATACTGAAATAGGAACAGAATCTTTTCTTAGATTCAACAAAGGAGCAATAATAACCTCTCATTGAGTCTACTTTTATAGGCAGGGCATAAATTAGGAACATTTCTAACCTCTAAGCCCAACCCAAGATTTTATACTGTGCCTATTTTCTCCCCCTCCCCCACCACCAAAAAGGATTTAAGGCAATTATCATAAAAAACCCAGGTTTCTGAATCTGACTATACATCCCAAACAGCTGGAAAGTCTATTAAAAATTCAGAGTCCTGGACCCAACCCCAGCCTCCTGAATTGGAGTACCCCAGAACATGTCTGGGAATCTGTATTTTAACAAGGCTCTCAGATGATTACTTTGTAGTCTGGCGCCAGTAGACTATGGTTCAGGACCCTCTTGCCTATATAACAGAACTTTATAATAGAACAAAAACAAATTGAGGCCAGGAGCCATGGCTCACGCCTATAATCCCAACACTTTGGCAGTCCGAGGCAGGCAGATGACTTGAGCCCAGGAGTTTGAGACCAGCGCCTGGGCAACATGATGAAACCCCATCTCTACAAAAAATAATGTAAAAGTTAGCCAGCCGTGGTGGTGTTATCTGTAGTCCCAGATACTCAGGAGGCTGAAGTGGGAGGATCACTTGAGGCCAAGAGGTTGAGGCTGCAGTGAGCTGAGATCATGTCATTGCACTCCAGCCTGGGTGACAGAGCAAGACCCAGTCTCATAAATAAATAAATAAATAGGTAAATTCATTCATTTAGTCAAAGGAGTGAGCGGAAGGCAGGTAGGTAGGAATATAATTCTATCAGAAACCTGAGACACAGCGATTATTATACTTTGGCTTTACATTTAGCTCTAAACTCACTAGAGCCAACAAAAATAATAGTGCTGATTAGTTTTTATTGCTTAGTAAAAAATAAACATATTAGACCTTCAGGAGAGATTTTTTTTTCCTAGCCCTAAACTCTTCAGAGGAATGTATTATATGGTTACTGAGTCAGAATTTCCTGAGTTGTGTAAATGTTCATTACGTGGCCAAGGACAGGTCTAGTTAAAAGCTCGTCCATATTTTTTGTTTTCTTGAAAAACAAAATAATGTGCAAATAATTTCAAAAGTAATAATGTTCTTTGTATAAATTTGAGCATAAAAGAAATACACATTGTAGAAAGTGAAAGTCCCCTGCAGTCCTCCCTATACTACCTCCACCTCCACCCTTAACTGTGATACCATTGCCTTTAACAGTTGGGTTCACAGTCTTACAATTCCTATTCTTTTTCCAAAAATGGGATTATAATGTACATTCTGGTTTCTAACTTGCTTTTTTAACTAATCTATGTATTCTGGGTTTTTTTTTGTTGTTGTTTTTTTTTTTTTTGAGATGGAGTCTTGCTCTGTTGCCCAGGCTGGAGTGCAGTGGCACAATCTCGGCTCACTGCAACCTCCCCCTCCCAGGTTCAAGCGATTCTCCTGCCTCCGCCTTCTGAGTAGCTGAGATTACAGGCGCCTGCCACCATGCCCAGCTAATTTTTGTGTTTTTAGTAGAGGCAGGGTTTCACTATGTTGGCCAGGCTGGTCTCGAACTCCTGACCTCAGGTGATCCATCTGCCTCAACCTCCCAAAGTGCTGGGATTACAGGCGTGAGCCACTGCACCCAGCCTTCTGGATATTTTTCCATGTTAACACATATAGATCTATGTCATTTTTTAAAGGTTACAAAATGTTTCATTGAATGAATATTTCAGATATTTGAGTTATTTCTCAATGACTTTACTTTTACACAATTCTGCAAAGAATCCTCTCACATTTGGGTATATAAACTTCATTTCTGCCTCTTACCAAATCAGGTTTCTCATGTGACTATCTGGGAAGTCTGGCTTAAGTTTTTTAGGTCTGTAACTGAAAAGATAACCATGGACTAAGTATTAGAAACTCCACAAAAGTTGTGTTTAAAATACTTTTCTATGGTGGCTCATGCCTGTAATCCTAGCACTTTGGGAGGCTGGGGCAGGTGGATTGCTTGAGGCCAGGAGTTTGAGACCAGCCTGGGCAATGTAGCAAGATCCCATCTGTACAAAAAAAATTTAAAAATAAGCCAGGCATAGTGGTGCATGCCTGTAGTCTCAGCTACTCAGGAGGCTGAGGTCAGAGGATCTTTTGAGCCCAGGAGTTTGATGCTGCAGTGAACTATGATTGCACTACTGTATTCTAGGCTGGGCAACAGAGCAAGACCCTGTCTCCAAAAATCAATCAATTAGTCAATCAATCAATCAATCAATCTTTTTCTGTTGTAAGCCCAAGATTCTTAGACCTGCTCTGCTGCCAGGAGAAGAAATTGTCTGTGAGGGTCTTCGAGTCTTGCTGGATCCTGATGGAAGAGAAGAAGCTACTGGAGGTCTTCTTGGAGGCCCTCAGCTCCTGCCAGCAGAAGGAGCCTTGTTCCTCACCACATACAGAATTCTCTTCAGAGGAACACCCCATGATCAGTTAGGTATGACTCGATATGCCATCAGAACATGGGTATCTGTGTGGTACATGAGGTCTCGATCCCATCTGTGCACAGTGATTTGCAGATCATTTTAAATCCAAAGTCAGCTTTTTGCCACACAGGTATTTTGGTGAAATACTTTAGTCTGACAGAGCTAATGATAATTTGGGTCATAGTTTTTTACTTGAAGAACAAAGTGTTATCTTCTAAACAATAAATCAAGGGTTCATTTGCTGAAATGATCATAATTTCATTTCATGAGGCAGAGTGTTATACCCTAGAGATATTCACTCTAACTGCTGAATATATCCCTTGCTGGTTTGTCCACGCTTTCTGAGTCCTACAGTTAACTGTAAAACTAAGGTCTTGCAGATACTTGAACCTTTTTGTGGAAGGATATGCTAACTATCACAAGGTTGTCCAGCACCAACTAATCCCACTTCCCTCTTATTCCATTCCAATTAACTCCACTTCCCTTTTAGCAGACAACTTCTCTTCTACTTGCCAAACTCCTATAACTTCTGTTTCTATTTTCTACTATTCAGTACAGCCTTCTATATTGGAAAGGAATAGCATGCCCTACCAGAAGTAATCTACATTATCTTCTTAAATTCACTATAGTCTATATGTAAAATGCTCTTGTTGATAGGAAAAGCACATAATTAAGACTTTGGGCAAAACAACAGGACTCCAAGTCAAAGCTCAGTGACTTAAATCACTTAACCTTTCTGGACTTTATTTTCCTCTTTTATAAAATTGGGAGATTGGGCTTTCATTGGTGATAATTCAGTGGTTCTTAATGTTGGCTGTATATTTGAATTATCTGGGAATCTTTAAAAAAAAATACCAGTTTCTGGGCCCAACCCTCAAACAATTGTATTAGAATCTGAAGCAGTAGAAATAGGGAGACCCAGGCATCTGTGTATTTCTTTAGCCCCACAAGTGATTGTGATTGAGAACCACTGGGCTAAATGGTCACGAAAGTGCCTTTCTCCTTTGAAATTATGTATGCAGTAGCATTTGATGAGTATGCACTATGTGCTACTCATTGGTTGGACAAGTGAATTCAGATATATAAAATGTATTCTCTTTTAAATCTTAACAGTTGCATTATTCCTAGGTTGAATAGAATCAAGATGGCTTAGTACATCAGTCATAAAAGACTGCTTACCATATAATGCGCAACAGTTCATAAAATTAAATAAGGAAAGATGAATTTGTAAGAATAGTTTTGCTTATTTTGAAAAAGTGAAAAGGAGAAAAGTGTCTTAGCCCGCTCCTTCATATTGCTATACACAAATTGTATTTGAAAGTAAACGTATTTTTAAAAGAAACTATGCAGTACTTACAATTTTTTATAGTAGGACTTTTGTGAGGTTAATGGCCATAAACACACATTTTGGACACGTAAACGTGATACTTATGTGGTCATTTAAATTGCTGTAATTTATTTATTTTGAAGTTATGCGTAGTGTGAAATCTCATATTCTCTGCCTTTTCCTTGCTTATGTGGTCATTTAAATTGCTGTAATTTATTTATTTTAAAGTATGCTTAGTGTGAAATCTCATATTCTCTGCCTTTTCCTTTCAAATTTTGAATTAATTTCACTTAGGAAAATTATTTTTGTCAAAGAAAATCTTTTTATTTCCTTTTAAATTTCTAATTTAAAATTTATCCTTTGATGACACATAGAAATATTATAATTTTACATGTTATATAAATGTAGGTGTTAAATACATCCTAGAACTTAAATCCTATGTACATCCTGACTTTGCTTAGCCTCTGGATATGAGCTTGATGTAAGAATATAGTCAGAATTTTTCTAGATTACAGATTGATAGATCCAGGGAATTAGGATTCTGATTATAATAAATGAAGAAATGTATGAGCTGTTAAATAAGATGAACCTAGTTCAGATCTCCCCACCCCCTCCCCACCCTGGCTTACTAGCTGGGAGGCCTTGTTCATTGCCACTCCTGTTATGTTCCTCTACCACTGCCTAAAATGCTCTTCCTTTCCCTTCTGCAAATCCAGATTCTACACTTCCTTTAAAGCTCCATCTTCTCTCTCAATTCTCCCAAAAATCATTTTCTATCCAGCTAGCATGCAGAGATCCTTCTCTGAAATATTTAAATCCCTGTAGACTGTTCCCTCAAACGTAGGAGCTAACCACATATTATTATATTCTGCATGTGACTCTCCTCCCACGGGAAATTGGAAGCTCTTCAAGGGAGGTCTTGAGTGTGCTACTTTTTTTCTAGACTCTCATCTTCATAACCTCAGGTACTTGATAAATAATTATTTATATTTTCCCATGTTTGCTTTAATAAACTCCTAAAAGTCTTGCGCTTAAGTCCAGGCTTGTTTTCCAAAGGCACATATATATAGTATAACATCTTTTACATATTTCGAAACAAACTTTAAAAACCTATTCTCTTTTGCTTTATCCTTATATTAAATATCTTGGATGTCTTTTCAATACTTGAGGAGTATTTTTTTTTTTTTTGTAAAACCTCCCTTCCTATAAAATTGCCTTAAACCAGGTGATCTTATGTGGCACACAGTAGGTTGGGGAGATAGAAAGAATGAAGGCAGTCAGGCTGTGACAGTTTCTTCACTCGAGGAAAGGACTCTGTCTCAGGAGTGGCAAGTCACTTGTCTCTAACTTCTCAGATTTCCAAGAATTCCAGTTCTTGCCTCATTCCTTCTAGTCAAGGATCCCTTCTACTGCTTCCTGTGCTAGTTGTGTGAAATGTAAGTCACTTGCCACTCCTGAGACATAATCCTTTTCTGGAGTGAAGGGCACTTTCTTTCACTGCATCCCTGGGCAGTGTCCTCTTCAAATACATTTCTCTAGCAGAGACTGATGAAGTAAGCAGTAGACACTCTAAAAGTGAGCTATAAAGTGTTGTTGCTGAAGCTGTGTCCTGTCTATTTACAGTGGGTGAGCAGACAGTTGTGCGGAGCTTTCCCATTGCCTCCATCACCAAGGAGAAGAAGATTACAATGCAGAACCAGCTACAGCAGAACATGCAAGAAGGACTGCAGATCACATCAGCATCTTTTCAGGTATTAAAAAAGGAAGCCATTGTTTTACTATTCAAAAATTTTCAAAAGTCAAATGATATTATGGCCATTTTGTGTGGTCATGTGCTCAGAAGTTAAGAGGATGAGAATGGGGAAGATCATAGGGTCTGAGAGGGTAGTCATCAGCTGAGTAAACTCATGAATAGTCTTGGATTTAATCCCTGGAGCCCCTTAGCCAACTCAGAGTACCAGCAGATACTCAATAATGAGTGATCTTAGAAACTTAGACAAGTACGATTGGTTCTTATTCTCTGCCAAGTTATACCTCAATACCTGTTTGATGAAGCCTTTAGATAAAAAGCAATTATCTTGTCATCTGTTTTGAAGGAAATGCCCTGTGGCTGTTCTATGGAAAGGTAAACAGTATAGCTAGGGCTAAAGTTCTATTGGTACTAGTTGCATACCCCTGATAAAGCAAGAGGTTTTCCAGGGGTTTATGACTGTATCAGAACTTTGTAGAATTACTGCAATAACTCAATAATTATTGAATAATGCAAACCAGACCCTGGAAGAAGTGACCTTTTCTTAGTTTTTCCTGTTCTTAAATTCTCAGTTTGCAATATTTTGCTTGTCTTATTCTTCATCACTTCTCAGATTTCTAAGAATGCCAGTTCTTGCCTCTTTCCTTCTAGTCAAGGATCTCTCCTATTGGCTTCTATGCTAATTGTGTGAAATGTAAGGCTGCTGATCTTTAGGCTCCAGACCTTCTCTCATCACCTGAAAGCATTGGCTGCCTAAGGATTTCCTCACTGTCCCGACTACCAAAGAACTCCACACTCAAATATTGCCTAGCTGTACTGATTAGGATTCTAGTCAAATGGATTTCTTTTCTTCCTACATTTGTTGTATCTGGGTAGGAAGAGACCTTATTAGGCCAAATTCTCTATCTGGAACCAACCAGTTGAGAAATGAGAAGGGCGTGTTTGCTATACAATTCCCTATCCCATTGTAGAAGAAATAATCTTAAAGAAACTGACTTGAAGATACATGATTTTCCTTGCCAACTAGCCATTTATGGCAAGTAAACCTTTTTGAGCCTTTTTTTATTTTTAAAAATTTAAAAATTGTATTGCATGTTATCCAAAGTCCCTTTGACCTCCAGTCTTGCCATTTTGTGTTATTATATTCTGTTGTTTGGGGGAAAGTTGCCAGGAAATCCTTAATGCTTCTTTTGTGTTTAATCTCTTTTGCTTCTAGTTGATTAAGGTAGCATTTGATGAAGAAGTCAGTCCAGAAGTAGTAGAGATCTTTAAGAAACAGCTGATGAAGTTCCGTTATCCTCAGTCCATTTTCAGTACCTTTGCTTTTGCTGCTGGACAAACTACCCCACAAATAATTTTACCAAAACAGAAGGAAAAGAACACTTCTTTTCGGTAAGAAGAAAGACAAGTCTGTTAATTTCAGCCCTCCCGTAATTGATTGCAAAAGGAGTAACCTATCCTTTGTGTCCAGGTGTAAGCGATTGCTGTTTTCATTCACTGTTCTGTTTCTGTCAAGCCCATGGGGCCAAGATCATAAAGTTACGGAACAGCAGCATTGATAAATGTAGCAAGTTTCAAAAACTAAAAGCTACCAGAGGCTTTGACTGTCATGTCCATTGCTCACAATGCATTTTTAGAATGTGAAATTCTATTTTCTCTTTTTTCCATATTGATCACTTTCTAAATGCTTTTGACCAATCCCTTCAGCTTTTATTAATATCCAGGCCCAGTGGACAGATTTGCTTTTATCTAGAAACAGGAGGCTATATTTTCTGTTTTTCATAACTCTTGAACATTTCAAACTTACTGAAAATTCATAACAGTAGAACAAAGAATTTCTGTATATATTTTACCCAGATTCACCAGTAGTTTCTACTTTGGTCCATTTGTTTATCATTCTCTCTCTCATATATACACATATTTTTTTTGAGCCATTTGAGTTAGATATAAGATGTCCCTTTATCCTTAAGTACATCACAATATGTTTCCTAAGAACAAAGACATTATCTTTTTATGTTTTTTATTTTATTTTGTTTTTTAAATTTATTTATTATACTTTAAGTTCTGGAATACATGTGCAGAACGTGCAGGTTTGTTACATAGGTATACATGTGCCATGGTGGTGTGCTGCAGCCATCAATCCATCATCTAGGTTTTAAACCCTGCATGCATTAGGTATTTGTCCTAATGCTATCCCTCCCCTTGTCCGGCATTATCTTATATAAGCACAGTAATCAAAGCCAGAAAATTTAATTAATATAAAACTTTTATCTAACCCAGAGTCTATATTCACATTGTGTTAATGATCCTTTTTTAGTTTAGTACCTAACTTTTTTATTCCTGGTCCAGGATCTAATCCAGGATCAGGCATTGCATTTAGTTGTCATATTTCTTTAGTATGAACCCTTATTTTCTAGAAAGTTTTTAGAAATTTATGTTGAAAGTTTTAAACTTCAGTTATGACGAAATAACAATAGTTTTAAGTTATCTTCCATCGGTGATAAAATATAAGGGCTAAAATTTCATTCACTGTTAACCATGTAGAATTCGGGCATCTGCCAATACAAATTACAATACTAGGGAGAGCTTTGCAGACTTTGGAAAAGAGGCCCTTCCTTTGCCTGAAAGAAGGGTAGATTGGGGATTATAGAAAATTTGAGGTTCCAGACAGTATATTATTTCTCAGTTGCACAGCTAGCCACCTGTCTAGCTTTGCTTACCAGGTAATATCCAGGTATGGTATGCTGAAGCATGAGCAAGTTCCTAGGGATTTACAGCAGTGGACCAAGCATCTTGTCTTAGCACCATAGGGTCGGAGAGGAGCCTATGATGTTTGTTATCTCAGCCTTCAATGGAAGAGACAAAGCTTTGTGTGGTATTTTACATTTAGAAACTATCAGAAACATGTATATTTATATTAGTTTCAGAAATATATACCTGTATCAAGCCTGTTATATCAGCTGCAACAGAGATGTAGCAATTTAAAAATTTTAAGAGTTGCCTGGGTATATGAAACAAAAGATATATATAGCTTTAGCTGGGAAAAAATTTCAAAAATCCCATTGAGTTTAAGTTACACCTAGTGTTACAGCTCTTTTAGAATTTGTCTAGCAGACTTTCCAGTTTTTGCCAGAAAGCCCACTAATAAAAATTAAAAAATAAAAGTTACACAAGTGATTTACAATAAGTTTAATTTAGGAAATATCAGTATTTTATGATTCCCAGCTGTTATCTCAAACATGTTTCATAACCTTCAGGTTTACATTGCAAATAACTAAAGATGGAGTCTGGTGAAACTATTTGATAATAAAAGAAGCCTTATCACTTTTTACTGAATGGCAAGAAAACACCAGAAGAGTTCTTTGTGATAGAGAAGAATATAATCAAGAACAGTCTTCAGAGTCTTCACCTCCATCTGATTAGTCAGGAAATAGGTTCTCTGTTTAATTCTCTGGATTGCCTAGATTTTCTGTCAGCAAGAAGGGTTAAATTGTTTGAATAAATAAAGTACTTCTAGGTCCATTACATCTTAGTTTCCCTTTAATTAAAGCTGATTCTCAAAAGGATACTCAAGTTTCTGATTTCTTATTTTTCTCCTTCAAAAAAGGGGAATTATATTATTTTTCTATGCTTCTTAAAGTTTACAGCTAATTAGAGTCAGGACATCACATATACACACTTAAAACAGTTAAGAAATAAGCAAATGTGTTGCCAACTATGAAGGCCATATGATCTCAAAGAAAGGCTTGTGAGTTGGTAGAAAGAGAGTTTGAGTAAGTAGAGAAGTGGGCAGGCTGGCTTTCCATGTAGGAGGACTCCAACAAGCATGCTTTGTGGGAACTGTGGTAGGGACAGTGGCATGAGGATAACCAGAGTGGGTTCAGGGCAGTCCTCCCCGACAAGCTAAACCAAGGAGTTTAGATTTGGGGTGATAAGTAGTTTGTGTCTCACTTTACATTTTCCTGCACGTTTTTCCTAAGACAGTATCCTGATGACAGTGGTGTTTTATGGGAAATTAGTCTACTGCCATATTAAAAGTAACCTAAAGAAGGAGAGGCTTAACAAGAGTCTGGACCAGTAGTGGCTGTGGGAAAGGAGAAGAAACAATTTGAGCTAAGTAGGTGTCAACAATACAAGTAGTGCTTTTATATTAAGTTGACATTCTCTTTGGTTTTATGACTTGTAGTACCTTCTCAAAAACAATTGTGAAAGGTGCCAAAAGGGCAGGGAAAATGACAATTGGGCGGCAATATTTACTGAAGAAGAAGACAGGGACAATTGTGGAAGAAAGAGTAAATCGTCCTGGATGGAATGAAGATGATGATGTATCTGGTATGTGAAAACTTGAATTTCCTTCATTATTCAACTTTATTTCTTATATGAATAAGAGACTCAGATGTAGTTGCACTTACATCTTGATTCACAAAAACCTAGATCTCATGAGAAGATGGAAGCACTTACCAGCTTCTTAGAACTGGGGGAAAAATATTTTCCCAATATCCCATTGTTCAGGTAATATTTTGTTAAATTATACTTCTTTACTAAATTCATACAGCTAATTGGTCATTTTTATGTGTGTCTCATTAAAAGAAGAAAGAAGGGAACCCCACTGCATGGGAAATTTAGGTATAGAGTAGTCCCCTGTATCTTATCCTTCTAGAATAAGAATTTAAGGTAAGGACATTGAACATTTCAAGTTGAAGATTTCAGTTTTTGGTAAGAACATTGTTGGTGCTCTTAATCAAAATGGGGGACCTAAGATGAAGGAATACTTAGGTCATAAGAAAAAATACTTGCTAAATATTTGAAAGAACAGCTACAATATCTCTCAGTGGGAAAAATAGAGGCAGAAAGCTAGTAGCAAAATCTCTGAGTGACTGTTTCCCATTCTTAACCCAGTATCAAATATGCTATGGAATCAGCACTACAGAGAAGCTGATATAATGGGAGGCAGAATGCCATTACACCCTTTTTTTCCCCTCAGGATCTTAGAATCAGTCACCGGTGGTTTTGCAAAAACTACTACTAACAACAACAACATTTTAAAAAAGAAACCTCATCTTCAGAGAAAGCACTGGCTAACCGGTCTCCATTTTCAGTTGCTGGGATAAAGAACCTATGTGGGCCAGGCGCAGTGGCTCATGCCTGTAATCCCAGCACTTTGGGAGGCTGAGGCAGGCAGATCACTTGAGGCCAGGAGTTCGAGACCAGCCTGGCCAACATGGCGAAACCCTGTTGCTACTGAAAATACAAAATTTTAGCCAGGCATGGTGGCATGCGCCTGTAGTCCCTACTGCTCAGGAGGCTGAGGCATGAGAATTGCTTGAACTTGGGAGGAGAAGGTTGCAGTGAGCCGAGATTGCACCACTGCACTCCAGCCTGGGTCGGACAGAGCAAGACTCTGCCTCAAAAAAAAAAAAAAGAACCTATGTGGTTTTGTATGTATGTATGCATGCCCTGGGTGAGAACATGTACATACAAGCTTGCCTTTGGGGCAATGAAAATACCCACCATTATATCACTGAAATAACACCACACCCATTTGTTGGAACCCTGATCTTTTCACAGTCATGTGTCAAACCATAAAAATATTATCGCTACCCATCACTATTGACTCTTCTAACTCAATTTTTTTTATATTTCATGGAACAAAACCTATTATTCTATGATAATTATTCTACTAAAAGACCAAATTATATAATGTTCTTTGCTCCTCTGAAAATTAAAGGCCAACACAGAATTGATACCTGATGATATTGCATTGTGAAGTTCACAAATGGAAACATGAATTGAAGTTCACAAATTGAAACACTTAATTGTTGATGTTCTGCTTTTTTAAAATATATTTTAATGAAAGAGGGCCATATCTTTGCCTGCACATTAGTACTTTGAGTACATTTTCAAAAACTTTGAAAGCTTGATTTGATGTCTCTTACTTTCAAAATAAATAGGGAAGTAAATTAGGACAGTTTTTAACATGGATTTTTTTTTTCCCCAGTTAGAACATGCAGTACCAATTAGGAATGTTCTTTAAAAAAAAAAAAGCCTCCCTAAAATATTTGATTATTGAGTAAATTCTTCCACATCTAAAATTGTAAAGGATTCTGTAACCTGTGATTGTAAAACTGTGAGGGGATTTCCCACGTACACCACATCCTCTAACAAAAATATTTCCAGGAAAAAAGTGTAACTCCTTTATACCTCTCTGAGGAAATAAAGTTATTTTTCCCTCTAGTGAACTTCTGGTTAATCCAGAAATTTCTAATAAAAGTTTATAGTCTGAAAAGTAAACTGAAATCTGGATGATGAGTTTGTATAGTGATTTTATGAAAGATAAATTTTACTGATGGGTTAGCCTCTGACAAACTTTGGGTGTTTTTATAGAGTCCTAAATAGAAATCACTGCAATTTGACAATAAGCAAGCCTTCATGAAACAGAACAGTGTAGGTAATGAATTCAAAATTATATTGTTTTTAGAAATTATTTAAATGGTATTATTTTCCTGACATTTTTTAGTTGAATTACTGATATTTTATTTCTTGACTATTCATTACACTTTTAATTTATGTTTATTTAAGTGTGATTCCTCACAGAAGTTACATGATTTAATTTGTGATATACATAATACTTGTCATCCTAATATAAACCTGTCTTGGTGTAAGAGTCTTCTTCAAAAGTAGCGGGTTTGTTTTTTTTTTTTTTTGCGGCTGGGGGCGGGGTTTGAGACAAAGTCTCGCTCGGTTGCCCAGGCTGGAGTGCAGTGGCACGGTCTCAGCTCACTGCAACCTCCACCTCCCGGGTTCAAGTGATTCTCCTGCCTCAGCCTCCCGAGTAGCTGGGATTACAGGTGCCTGCCGCCACACCTGGCTAATTTTTTGTATTTTTAGTAGAGATGAGATTTCACCATGTTGGTCAGGCTGCTCTCGAACTCCTGACCTTGTGATCCGCCCACCTCAGCCTCCCAGTGCTGGGATTACAGGCGTGAGCCACCACACCCAGCCCAAAAGGAAGTTTTTAATCCTGTGCTTTGAGCTAATCATTTCTTCAATATCTGTCTCTACCATCCCAGTTTCAGATGAGAGTGAGCTCCCCACAGGTACTACCCTGAAGGCCTCAATTGCTTTGAGCTAATCATTTCTTTGATATCTGTCTCTACCATCACAGTTTCAGATGAGAGTGAGCTCCCCACAGGTACTACCCTGAAGACCTCAATTGCTTTGAGCTAATCATTTCTTCGATATCTGTCTCTACCATCACAGTTTCAGATGAGAGTGAGCTCCCCACAAGTACCACCCTGAAGGCCTCCGAGAAGTCTACAATGGAACAGTTGGTGGAAAAAGCTTGTTTCAGAGACTATCAGCGTTTAGGTTTAGGAACCATAAGTGGCAGCTCTTCCCGTTCAAGACCCGAGTATTTTAGAATTACTGCCTCCAACAGGATGTATTCACTCTGCCGGAGGTAAGTGTGTCAGTGGGCTCCAAAAAGAGGTCTTCCTTCCTTTCTTCTTATTTGAATCTTTAATAGGCCATTTGCATCCATAGCCCTGAGATAGATAAAAATGCCTGAAAATAAGAACAAGGTCTCCAGGATACGAGCAAGCATCTCATTGGCATTCTCGGAACAATTACCTTACTGAAAGTACCTCTAGTAGGTGAGAAGGTGAAAGGTAAAGTACTCACCCCCTATGAATTTCTCTTGTCTTTCTCTTCCCAGTTTGCTTCTTTTCTAGCATGACTAAAGATAACTTGAAGAACAGGATTTTCCCAGCCCAATAGAGGACATGAAAGTCTTTTGTAGGCTGGGGAGCCACAAACTCTTTCTATAAAGGGTCAGTTGGTAAATATTTTCAGTTTATGAGCCATAGAGTCTCTTGTTGCAGCTATTCAACTGTGCCGCAAAAGCAGCCACAGACAGTAAGGAAATGAGTAGGCATGGCCAGTTTTGGCCCACAGGCTATAATTTGCTGACCCAGGTGTAGGCAAGGCTTTCTTATGCGGTCTAATTGGAATGTTTTCAAGGGAATATTACTTAAAGGATGTAAATAAAGAGGCATTTTCTTTTTTCAGTTCTTGTCATCTCTCACTGTTTTTCAAATATGTTGAGTCTTATTCCATGCTTTACTATATGTAAATATATATTTTCTAAAATTACATTTTCACCATCCACAAGTTTAGTCATTTTCATCTCCAGGTAAGATTTTTCTTTGCATTTATAAATTCCTGCTTAAACAGCTCTGAAATCACTTTGTAAATTGTAAGCTTTGTACATATTTTAGAAAGTTATCTTAATGTTACTTTCAACCCTGTTGCTCTTGAAGATAGATATGTCATTTTAAATGGCAATTTAAGTTTACAAATATTAATATGAAACTTCAGAAACAAGTTGGGAATATAGTTTTGAGATTGTGGCCAAATAAACATTTTGCATGAAGTTCTGAAAAATTGGCACTCTGAGTATGCAGTAATTTTTCTGGAATTCTCCGTCATTCTAACTAAATTTTCTCTGAAGATGAGTCATGTTGTCGGGGTGTGATGTCCTGCTGTTTGGAAAGTTTGCTATCAAAATTATGCCAGCCATTGAGAAAACAGACTCATTTATCATTCCAATCTGTCAGAAGTAAAATAAAATTTTAATAGATGACTTATTAGAACACTGGTTATAAAGCATTTATGATGGTAAAAAGTAATATATATCCATTAAGTTATTAGCAGGAAGGAAATGGAATAATAAAAAATAATCCAAAAGAAGGCAAGAAAGGAAAAAAAAGGGGACATAGAACAAATGGAATAAATAACAAGTAGTAAGATGGTAGATTTAAATTCAAATATATCCATAATTGCATTAATTATTAATTGACTAAATGTTCCAATTCAAAGAAAGAGATCAGGGTTTGCTTTAAAAAAAAAAAAAAAAAAAAAGTGGCTGGGCTCAGTGGCTCACGCCTGTAATCCCAGCACTTTGGGAGGCCGAGGCAGGCAGATCACGAGGTCAAGAGATGGAGACCATCCTGGCCAACATGGTGAAACCCTGTGTCTACTAAAAATACAAAAATTAGCTGGGCATGGTGGCTTGTGCCTGTAGTCCCAGCTACTTGGGAGGCTGAGGCAGGAGAATCACTTGAACCCTGGTGGTGGAGGTTACAGTGAGCCGAGGTCAAGCTACTGCACTCCAGCCTGGTGACAGAGCAACACTCCGTCTCCAAAAAAAAAGCTTTCTGCTGCTTTTAAGGGACAAATCTAATATACAAGTATATAAAAAGGTAGAAAGTAAAAGGATAGAAAAAATATACCACGCAAAACTACCTTTAAAAAAAGTTGTTGTCACTATATGAATATCAAAGTAGACTTTAAAAGCAGTAAGAAAGGATGGTTGATAATGACAAAAGGTTTATTTTACACACAGCAATTCATTAAGATCAAGTGGAGTTTATTGTAGGAATAGAGTACTGGTTTCACATCTGAAAATCAGTCAGTGTAATTTACCACATTAACAGAATTAAAAAGAAGTTTATTATATAAAGATAAGCATTTTGCAAATGCAAAGTACACTTATGAGTTTTATTTATGTAAATTTATTTATGTAAATTCTGTATTTTTTGTCACATTTGTGATCTTTAGAAAAAAGCTCTCAGCAAAAGAGAGTAAGAATGAGCTCCCATGAGTAGCGCCCTGAAGGCCTCAGAGAAGTCTACAGTGGAACAGTGGGTAGCTCCTTAATCTTCTGTCTTAAAAATCCTACACAGGAAATTACTTATCTTAGAAATAAATAAAATATTAAAAGCTTTTTCTCTGAAATCCTGACAAGGATGCCCATTATCACCATTTCTATTCAGTGTTGTACTAGAGGTCTTAGGCAGTGCAAAGAGACTAGAAAAGTAATAAAAGGTATAAAAATTGAAAAGAAAGAAATAAAACTGCCATTACTCACAGATGACCAAAATGCACATGTAGAAAATCTGTAGGAATCTGCCAATAAACTTTTAAAATTATTAAGTGGATTTAGTACAAGGTCACTGATAAGGTCACTAGTACAAGGTCATTTACAATAATTATATATATACTAAAAACATTATTACAAAATGAAATTTTCAAAAAGTGATGCTATTTTGGTATTATTCCTACTATTTACAGTAGCACTAAAAAACATTACTTAGGGATGAATCTAATAACCAGTGCAAGACCTCTACATGGAATACTTAAAACAATATTGAAGATCATTGAAGAGCTAAATAAGTAGATATTTCAGGTTCTTAGATTAGAATATTCAGTATTCTAAAACTGAATTTCCTGAAATTGTTCTATAGAATCAGTCCCAATCTCAGCAAAATGTTAATGGAAACTGAAAAGGTAATTCTAAGAGTTACATAAAAATGTGGAAGGCAGAGTAGCCAAGATAGTCTTACAGAATAATACTATAGGATGTCAAGAGTTTTTATAAAGCTACAGTAATTAAGACAGTATAGGACTGACACAAGAATGGACAAACGGACCAGTGGAGCAAAATAGGGAATATATTAAACAGAAACACCCCAACATATGTGGATACTTGATTTAAGATAAAAATAACACTTAAGAGCAGTGGATAGAAGATGTTTTTTCAATAAAGGATGCTGGGAAAAATTAATCTTGACCTATTCCCATTGACCTATAGATCTATATGTAAAAGGTTAAAACAATAAAACAATAGGTTTGTTATTAAGGTTAAAGCAAATAAGCTTAAAACAATAAAGCTTCTAGAAGATAAGAGAATGTCTCCATGACCTTGAGGTATAGGGAAAGATTTCTTGGGATAGGAAAAACATTATCTATAAAGTAAAAAATTGATAAATTTAGAACTTCTGTATATCAGGAGATATCATCAAGAGAGTAAAAAGGACTATAAATTGGTTAAATAACTTTGGAAAGTTGTCTAATGCTGTCTAAACATTTAAACATCTACTGAACATATTCATAACCTAATTCCTAGAAATTCTCCTCTTAGGTGGAGTAGAATTTCTAACAGAAATACATATGTGCTCCCAAAAGACATCTACAAGAATGTTCATGGCAACATTCTTAATAATTAAAAAAACTAGAAACTACTCAAAATCAACAAGAGAATAGATAAATGGTATCATACTCACACAGTGAAATACAGTAATGAAAATGAACAAACTACACGTGAGTACAAATAACACGGATGGATCTCATAAACATAATATTGAGCAAAAGAAGCCAAACATGAAAGAATAAACTCTGTTGATTCCCTTTATCTAGAATTCAAAAAGAAGCAAAATTCATCCACATTGTTAGTCAGGATAGTAGTAATCTTTTTTTTTTTTTTTTGAGACAAGGTCTTGCTCTGTCTCCCAGGCTGGAGTGCAGTGATGTGATTCCAACTCACTGCAGCCTCAACCTCCCTGGCTCAGGCGATCCTTCCACCTCAGCTTTCTGAGTAGCTGGGACTAGGCGCATGCCACCAAACCTGTCTAATTTTCTTTTTATTTTATTTATTTATTTTTGTAGAGAAGAGGTCTCACTATGTTGCCCAGGCTGGTCTCAAACTCCTAGGCTCAAGCCATCCTCCCAGCTGGGCCTCCCAAAGTGCTGGGATTACAGGTGTAAGCCACCATGCCAGGCAGGATAGTGGTAATCTTTAAGAAAGAAGAATAAATAGTGACTTGGAGGAAATACTAGATCTTGGATGCTTGTAGTGGTCAATTTCTTGACCTAGGTGGTAGTGATATCACCTAGGTTTTGAGCATTTGTATGTGAATTATGCTTGAATTAAAAAGTTTCCACAACAGCTTCTGAAGCCTAGTCTACCTCTTGAGAGTTAACTGTGGAGCCCAGAGCTGAAGGCTCTGAGTAGTGGGTTAGGATGGGTGGCAGGGAAATTGATATCTTTCATTACGAAATGAGACTGGTACTGGGAGTAGCTTCTCTTGGTCTTTAGGCTTCACACAATTTGCCCCAGCATGAGGGGCTCTCCAGCTGTCATGCAAGCCCATGTCAGGAAGCAGGAGAGAGCCATAGATCTTGTATGTAACAGAGGATGGTCTGTGTGTAGTGCTCATTCACAGTGGAAGGAGATGGCTCACTACAGGGGGCAGGGAGTGAAGGAGTGTGCTCGTTCTTTACCGATTATTGAAGTAGCTCCTGGAACCATTAAACATTATTTCCCTGTCTAATACACATTGTATCTTGAAGCAAGTTGGGAAAAACTGATATTCAAGTGGAGATAGAGGGTCCTAATTATGGAACTGCCTTTTCAGTCTTCATGAGTGATTATGTCTATAGCTTGGTCTTTTCATCAGTTTGTGGTATTACAAAAATTCAGGCCACAGCTTCCTAGATCACCAAAGCCCTAGGCTTTCAGAATGCTTCCAAGTTATCATTGGTTAAGTATGGAAAGTTAATTTGGCATTCAGTAAAGTAGTTGAAGGTTATGATTTATGTGACCATAAACTAGATTTCCTTTCCCTCCTGTCAGCACTGGTTCTTATCAAGATAAGGGATAAGAAGTTCTGGAAATGGATAGTGGTGGTAGTTGCATAACATTGGGAATGTACTAAATGCCACTGGTTTGTACACATAAAAAAGGATAGCATGAATCCTAGCACTTTGGGAGGCCGAGGCGGGCAGATCACCTAAGGTCAGGAGTCCGAGACCAGCCTGACCAACATGGAGAAACCCCATCTCTACTAAAAATACAAAATTAGCCAGGTGTGGTGGCACATGTCTGTAATCCCAGCTACTCAGGAGGCTGAGGCAGGAGAATTGCTTGAACCCAGGAGGCGAAGGTTGCAGTGAGCCAAGATCGCACCATTGCACTCCAGCCTAGGCAACAAGAGCGAAACTGTGTCTCAAAAAATAAATAAAAAATAAAATAAATAAAAAGATACCATGGGCCGGGCGCAGTGGCTCACGCCTGTACTCCCAGCACTTTGGGAGGCCGAGGCAGGTGGATCACCTGAGGTTGAGAGTTCGAGACAGCCTGACCAACATGGAGAAACCCTGTCTCTGCTAAAAATACAAAATTAGCCAGGCGTGGTGGCACATGCCTGTAATCCCAGCTACTCAGGAGGCTGAGAAAGGAGAATTGCTTGAACCCCGGAGGCAGAGGTTGCGGTGAGCTGAGATCACGCCATTGCACTCCAGCCTGGGCAACAGTGAAACTCCATCTCAAAAAAAAAAAAAAAAGGATAGCATGATAAATTTTATGTTAGGTATATTTTCCCAAAATTTATAAATCACCAGCTGGGCACGGTGGCTCATGCCTGTAATCCCAGCACTTTGGGAGGCCAAGGTGGGCAGATCACGAGGTCAGGAGATCGAGACCATCCTGGCTAACACGGTGAAACCCCGTCTCTATTGAAAATACAAAAAATTAGCCAGGGATGGTGGCAGGCGCTTGTAGTCGTAGCTACTCGGGAGGCTGAGGCAGGAGAATGGCGTGAACCCGGGAGGCGGAGCTTGCAATGGGCCGAGATCGTGCCACTGCACTCCAGCCTGGGCGACAGAGCGAGACTGCATCTCAAAAAAAAAAAAAAAAATCACCAAAAAAAAGATATAGGATTAGTGGTTAGGAGGTTATAAATATAAAATCTGTTTTGTGTAATATTTCTAATTAAACTAAAAAAAAGAAATGACTCTGAAACCTGCCTGTCTTCTTGCATTTATTAATCTGTGTGTACTCTTACATGTTATTTTCCCAGCATCATATCCTGTAACTTTATAAGCTAATCTTTTAAAATAAGTATCAACATGTAGTGTTATTAACTATTTAAACTCATTTGACATTTGAACAAATTGTTCTCATGCCAAAAATAATTTGGTTTTGGTTTTTAAGCCTTTCACCATCTCAGGCAGTCTAATATTGGCATGCTGTATTCTCTAATGTCATCTCAGTGATCTATGAATTGTTTACAATTTGACTTGTCATTCTCATAAAGTTGACATTAATCTGGTAATCTTACGATCTTTATTTCAAGTTGTGGAAAAGTAATGTATAAGGCAAGGGAAATAGTTCAACAGAGGCCTTTTAAAGAATTCTACATAATATTTTTATTTTCTAAGTTTATTCAACAGAAGTCTGCAATATCAGTGAATGGGGCTCTTTTCAAAAAAGACTACAGATCAGTGGATGAGTTAGCTATTTTCACCATCTAGGGATTTTCTTCTCAATCCCTGAAGAATTCAGAAGTTGAAACTAAGTTCCATATTTGAAATATGTTGGCCAGGCACAATGGCTCACGCCCATAATCCCAGCACTTTGGGAGGCTGAGGAAGGAGGATCGCTTGAGCCCAAAAATTTGAAACCAGCCTGTACAACAAAGTGAGACCCTGTCTCTACAAAAATAAAAATAAAATTAAAAAAGAAAATAAATATATCTTACCCTTCAACTAATATGTTTCTGAATCTTAGAAAATTACTATGATATTAGTATTCAATTTCTTATATTCTCTGTCTCCCTCTTCTCTCATTTCCTTTCCCCTTTTCTTCCCCTCTGTTCCTTCCCCCAATCATTCTCTTCTCTATTCTATGTCTCTGAAGCTATCCTGGCCTTTTAGTCGTACCTCAAGCTGTACAGGACAGTAGTTTACCAAGAGTAGCTCGCTGCTATCGACACAATCGCCTGCCTGTTGTATGTTGGAAGAACTCAAGAAGTGGTACTCTGCTCCTCCGATCTGGAGGATTCCATGGGAAGGGAGTCGTTGGTCTTTTCAAATCTCAGAACTCCCCTCAGGCCGGTAAGCATCTCTCTATAACACAATTACCACCCGTTCACATAAGGACAGTGCTAAAAATAAAGGAAGTAAAATCTGGGAATGGTGCCTTTTCATCAAGTCTTGTCTCACACACAAACTTTTCCACTTTGCTACATGCAACATGTACAGCTTAAACAAGAACTATACTTGATAGTGTGAGGCTCCACATTGAATTTGACATCTTAATATGTCTGGTCTGTACTTGGATTTTAATAGAAATTAATATAATAAAGTCTTTGGTCCTAGGCAATTTTCATTCCAGCAAACCAGAGTATTCACAGATGGAAACTAGGTTATACCAATCTTTTTTCTTTCTCCTGGGAAGCATCCAAATACATTTAACAGCTTCAGAGGTAAGATGAGCTTCTGTGCCATGTGATATGAGATATCCATCCTCACTCTTACAAGTCATACGCACACACAAGACAGCAAACTAATGACTGCAAATGCTGCTTCAGGATCTTTCAAGCAAAGAGGTTTTTAGGAAGCTAGCGAAATAATAAGTACAGCTGTCCCATATTCTGAGGATACTTGTGAGTACCATGTCTGAGGTCTTGAAGTCAGGAGCTGTATTTTGCTGACCTTTCTCATAGCTTCTGCCTCATAATAGATGCTCAAAAAAAATGAAACAGTAGGCCACTAAGATATCAGATCCGATTTAGGGATGGCTGCATTCTTCCACCTTTGGAAATGAAGTAAACTCAGAATCTGTGATTCACCAGGTACAACCATGTGCTTTTTGAAAGTCAGCCAATGTTTTGATCATTAGGTTGACTGAGGGCAGCCTTCCACCTGCCTTGAAGTCTCACTACTGGTGTAATTGAAGGCAATTGGCTGTTTACTATTTCTCCTCTGAAACACTGTGTGCTCCCAAGCCACCTGGTGGGTATGTTAGAACATAAGAAGGGGCCAGGTGCAATGGCTCATGCCTGTAGTCCCAGCTACTTGGAAGGCCAAGGTGGGAGGATTGCTTGCGCCCAGGAGTTCAAGACCAGCCTGGGCAACATGGCAAAACCCCATATCTACAAAAAAATACAAAAATTAGCCAGGCGTGGTGGCACGTGCCTGAGTCCCAGCTATTCAGGAGGCTGAGGTGGGAGAATCACTTGAGCCCATGAGGTAAAGGCTATAGTGAGCCACGATTGCACCACTGCACTCCACCCTGAGTGAAAGAATAAGACCCTGTCTCAAAAAAAATGAAATAAAATAATAGTAAAATAGAACACAAGCATATATGTTATGTAAAATGAGTGAATGATTTTGGGAGCACCGATAAGCGTATCACTAAGCTTTTAGTTGGAAAACAATTGAAACTTATTCCACTGGTTGCTGATTTTTTTAAATCTAATTTAAATTTACTATATTTCATATTCAACTTCCACATTTACTCACAACTAATATCTTTAGGGTTTTTTTGTTTTTTGTTTTTTGTTTTGTTTTGTTTTTGTTTTTTTTTTTTTGTTTTTGAGCTGGAGTCTTGCTCTGTCGCTCAGGCTGGAGTGCAATGGCGCAATCTTGGCTCACTGCAACCTCCGCCTCCAAGGTTCAAGCGATTCTCCTGCCTCAGCCTCCCGAGTAGCTGGGATTACAGGCGCCCGCCACTACACCCAGCTAATTTTTGTATTTTTAGTAGAGATGGGGTTTCACCATGTTAGTCAGGCTGGTCTCGAACTCCTGACCTCAGGTGATCTGCCTGCCTCAGCCTTCCTAAGTGCTGGGATTACAGACGTGAACCACTGCGCCTGGCTGACAACTAGTATCTTTGAAATTGCAATGCATCTTACAATTGATGTGATCAGAAAGAATAGTGTCATAGTTTAAATGGCAGTTTTTTAATTGATAAGCAGTTTTTATTGTTAGGCAATAAAATAACAGTGCGTCTTAGAATTGATGACATATTAAAGTTGATAAAATACAATAATGCTAATTATTTATTTTCTATTCAAGTTGTAAGAAAATTTATGAATATCTGTTGTCCTTGTAGTGAGTCCATCCCCTGTCCTCTTTAAACTGTCTGGGCCGATTTCAGTGATTCTGTTTTGCTTCACCCAAACCAGGCTTATATGCCCATCAACCCAGAATTGCTCTCACAATTGTGTATACTTTTTGCTCCTCATTTAGAAGGACCAGGGATTGGCAGTAGTTGCTCCTATCTTCTCCCCATCTTCTTCCACTCTTCCCTCTACAAATCTTTATAGGCTCATGTCCCCTGGTGGGCCTGTGTGGCAGAATTGAAATAAAGTTGCTGGTATTGGAAAGTTCTTAACTCTACCCATTCTGGGATGTCAAAGGAACCCACTCCCAAGCAATAACCTGGTCAGGATGGTTGGGGGATATCATCAAGGCGTTGTTGTTCATGAATCTTCATTTTGAGTTGCTTGGATAATGAGAAGCTATGCCCTGTGCTTTCAAGCCCAATCTGTGCTTGGAAGGGTAGCCCTGTGCTGGTTTTCCAGACCTGGGCTCTTTCTGGAAGCATAATGAGGCAATCAAGAAGTAGGTGTGGTAAAACCAGCATTACAGTGGAGGATTAGCCATTTAATAGACTGGCAATTTAAGTGGGGCTGGTTTCTATATTTGGGTGTGGTAACTTGTAGACTATATAGAGAAAAATAAGCATAGATAGATAGGTAGATAGATAGATAGATAGATACTTGTTTTGTTAACACAGAGACAGTTTATTTTATTCAATATATTTTCCTTTTATAGCTCCTACCTCCTCTTTAGAATCTTCCAGTAGCATAGAACAAGAGAAATACTTGCAAGCCTTACTGAATGCTGTTTCTGTCCATCAGAAACTCAGAGGCAACAGCACTCTTACTGTCAGGCCAGCCTTTGCTCTATCTCCAGGTAAGATTTGATAATACTTTTCTTCTTGACAGCTTCTAATGAAAGGTCAGTTCTGTTCCTAGGGTTATTTGTACTGTTATTTGTTATTTGTACTGTTCCTTCACCAAGACTTCTTAAAAGTTTTACCCTGAAGGGTTATAAGTTTAACTCCTTTTACTTAGAAATCTACCACTATTAATGTCTAGTAAATAGTAACTTAACTTAGAGATTCAGTTTTTTCTTTTTTGTTTTATTTTCTTTTTTTTAAGAGATGGGGTCTCACTGTGTTGCCCAGTCTGGTCTCGAACTTCTGGGCTCAAGCAGTCTTCCCGCCTCAGCCTCCCAAAGTACTGAGATTACAGGTGTGAGGTGTGAGCTCAGTTATTTCCTTTTCAAAAGAGTAATTGGAGAGGAAGTGGGGAATATAAATAAAGTCACCCTTTATTCCCATATTTATCATACCCAGCTCAGTTATTTCCTTTTCAAAAGAGTAATTGGAGAGGAAGTGGGAAATATAAATAAAGTCACCCTTTATTCCCATATTTATCTTTCATAGACTTTAAAATATTCTTATGACATGGAATATGTAAGTGGAACATGTTTGTTAAATGTGTATTTATTAAAATCATCATTTATAAGTTTGAAATTCCCAAAATATCTGCAGCCTATTATGATTTTCAGTACAATTTGTTTTCACTGGATTTGGATGAAGCCATTAAGACTTGTACTAATATTCTGTTTCAGTTATCATGTGATGGAACCCCAAAGGGTTCATGTAGAGGTAACCCTAATGTGTTAGACACAGGAGCATGTGACTTGAGAAGTTGGTCTCTTTGGCTTAATCAGCTATTTGAATTAGCTCAACATAAGCAGAAAGTGGCTTTTCTTGTAAAATAACACCATGCATGCCTTGCTCCATTTATCATTAAATTCTCTGATTGCACTTGCCAAACCTAACTCTCTATAATCTTGCAAATGTGTGTTATCTCTGATTAATAATAACATTGCCTTGTTATCTCTAATAAAGCTTTGGGTACTTAAAAGTACAATGTTTGGCAGCAGTTAAACATGCTACACCTGAAGATAACTTTTTGTCATTTGAGTAATGTTAACCCAAACAACATGGTTTTTGTTCTTCTTTTTGGCTGACTTTAGGGACTGAAAGGAGGACTTCAAGAATGTCCACTGTGCTTAAGCAGGTAGTGCCAGGACATTTGGATGTAAACCCATCCAATAGCTTTGCTCAAGGAGGTTAGTAAGATTGATTTTATAACTGAGCACTGATGCAAGCTTAAAAGCAGAAAGCATTTTTCTAGATAGTTGATATTTTAAATCAATTAATTATGATTCAAATTGTTCTTAATTACCCTCTTCTGAATGAATGGTCAAATGTATTACTAGCATGATGACAGATGAGCTTAGCCTTGTGGGACAAGAAGTATAATAATTGCTGATGTCATATATATTGATAAGTTTGGGAGCATTAAGAGGTAAGGGGAGCATGTCTAAATGATGAGTCAGCCCTGGGAGTACTCCCTGATACTCCAGATTTGCAGGGCAGAAAGACCAATCTATCACAGAAGTATAGATAGTTAAGGAGAAGTGATTCCAGATCGAAGGAACTCCAAGTCCTGTTATTTTTGCTCCTGTCCTCTGAAATACTGGTTTGGAGGATAAGACATCATGATATCCAGGTAGCTGCTGACATGAGGAAATAGAGAAAGGCTAAGTATTCATTCTTTTAAGCTCCAAAAGGTCATCCACTTTGTTCTCTGGAAGTTTATGTGAGATTCTTTTCACTCTGCAGAGGAAATTCCAGACCAGATTCTTTTTTTTTTTTTTTTAAGACAGAGTCTTACTTTGTTGCCCAGGCTGGAGTGCAGTGGAACTGTCATAGCTAACTAACTGCAGCCTCCAACTCCTGGGCTTGAGCAATCCTCCTGCCTCAAGCTCCCAAGGAGCTAAGACTACAGGTGTGTGCCACCACTCCCAGCTAAATTTTTAAAATATTTTTTGGGACAGAGTCTTACTATGTTGCCCAGGCTGGTCTTGAACTCCTGGCCTGAAGCAGTCCTCCCACCTGGGCTTCCCAAAGTGCTGGGATTACAGGCGTGAGAAAGCACCTGGCCCCAGATATCTCAACTGTGAAGTCCCACTGTCTCACAATGGAGTCACAGAATCTTAGACTCTTCCTCTCACCCCCATATAATGATGAATTCCCTTAAAAAGATACTAAGTAGGCCGGGCACGGTGGCTCACGCCTATAATCCCAGCACTTTGGGAGGCTGAGGCAAGCAGATCACCTGAGGTCAGGAATTCCAGACCAGCCTGGCCAACATGGTGAAACCCTGTCTCTACTAAAAATACTAAAATTAGCCAGGCGTGGTGGTGCACACCTGTAGTCTCAGCTACTCAGGAGGCTGAGACAGGAGAATCAGTTGAACCCGGGAGGCAGAGGTTGCATAGACCGGGAGGCAGAGGTTGCATAGAGCCAAGATCGCACCATTGCTGGGCAACAAGAGCAAAATGAGCCGAGATCACTCCAGCCTGGGCAACAAGAGCAAAACTCCATCTCAAAAAATAAACAAAAGTGTGTGTGTATATATATACATACACACACACACATACACACACACACACACACATATATATATATATATATACACACCACACACTAAGTAAGTAATCTTGTTTCTGCTTGAACATCATCAGTAATGGGAAACTCATTTCTTCCCCAAAATAATCCCTTACATTTGTGAGCAACTCTATGTGTTGCTTTCTCATATTGACCACCACTTTTACATATTGGCCCTAGCTCTATCCTCTGAGGTTAGAAAGTAAGTGTACTCTCCCACACGTAAAACCCTTCAGGAAAAACTCTTGTCAGGCTTGCTTTCTACAAAATTCACTTTTTACAAAATTCACTTTTTTCCCTTTTGAAAACCATACACATCTTGGTCCTTTGGATACTTTCTTTTCCTGCCTTTAGTTAACTCTGAATATCCCCAGTTGAAATGGTTGTAGTCCACTCACCATCCTTATCACTCTGAACACTCCACAGAATTGAACCCAGCACTCTAGGTGTTCTCACAGCCTAAAACTGCATTAGCTATGGGCAGCCCCATCACTAGGTTAACCCATGTGGAGATTAATATCATTTGAAATCCCTGTCTGCTTCACATGTGCTATTGTTCTTAAAAATACACTGGCCTTGATGGTTGCTTTTTGGACCCACTAGCAGTGTTACAACTAGGAAATTTCATGTTTTGGGGTGTGGACTGGTATTTTAGACCTTTGGACCCTGATTCTGTCTACCAGTGCATTTGCTGTTTTCAAGCCTTTTGTCATCCATACATTTGATCATTGTTCTCATGTGATTCTTCGTTTAAAAAAATGTTGAACAAGCCAGAGCTAAGGACAAAGACCTACAGCAAAATAATATAAACCCCTCTGAAGAAAAAGATCAGTCTGTTCATCTATACTGGTTATGAGTCTTCCCACTAAAACTCACCAGGCCCATATTTCTAAATCTCTGTCAATCGTTTTAATCCACTATTTGCCAGTCTTTCAAACAATTCACTGCATCACCAAGGGTTTTATGGTTATTTTGCTGTGACTTATTATACGAATCAGTGCTTTTTTTTAAAAGTAACTATGAATAGTCCATTGATACTCCATTCCTAGAATTTGGTTCAGAATCAACATAAAGATTCTACTTTACAAAATTCACTTTTTTCCCTTTTGAAAACCGTACACATCTCCTAGTGGTCATACTGGTTTTTTGGATACTTTCTTTTCCTGCCTCGTCAGAACTTTCTGTAATTGCAGGATTTCCTAAGAGCTTTCAACCTCCTTGAGTCATCTTTCCAATGAGTGTGTCAGGCCTTGAAGTCGTTGTATTGGTTTCCTAGGGCTACCGTAACAAAGTGCCACAAATTGGGTGGCTTAAACAACTATTGTCTCACAGTTCTGGAAGCTGGAAGTCCAAGATCAGGGTGTCAGGGAGTTGGTTCCTTCTGAGGGCTGTGAGGAGGAATCTGTTCCATGCCTTTCTCCTAGCTTCTGGAGGTTTGCTGGCCATCTTTGGCATTGCTTGGCTTCTGGAAGCATTACCTAAATCTCTGCCCTCATCTTCACATGGCATTCTCCCTCTGTGTCTGGCTCCAAATTTCTCCTTTTATAAGTACACCAGTCATATTGAATTAGGGGCCCATTCTACTCCAGTATGACCTCATCTTAACTAATGATATATATTCTGAGGCACTGGGGGTTGGGATTTAATATAAATTTTGGGAGGGGGACACATTTCAACCCATTACAGCCATATATATCATTTTTCTGAATTTTTAGAGTACTATTATTTTAAAGTTTAAGATACACGCTTCGTTCTTCTCATCATTTCTTTCTCAGTGAATTTGAACTAAAAGATGGTACAGTGATTTTTTTCCTAAGGTTCCTAGTATTTCAGTTGCTAAGCACTCTTGTCAGAATTTGGTTCGAGATTGCATTTCCCCTTACTGCTTTATTTACCATATGAAAGTTTACATTGTCAGCAAGGAAAGTCAGTAATTTTTCCACTCAACTTTTAGACAGTGCAACTTTCAGCAGATGTCTAGTTAATTGAAACCCTCCCACCCCACAACCTGATCTTGTATTTTGCCATTGTACACGTCACCATGTTATCCATTCCAACATTTGGCCAGGTGGCCTATAATATAAATTGTAGCTGCACAGTTGTCTCCTCCTATTATGTTGGTACTCAAGGTTCATAGATTTTCAACAATCTTTTTCTTTTTTTCTTTTTTTTTTTTTTTTGAGATGGAGTCTCGCTCTGTCACCAGGCTGGAGTGCAGTGGAGCGATCTTGATCTTGGCTCACTGCAACCTCAGACTCCCTGGTTCAAGCAATTCTCCTGCCTCAGCCTCCCGAGTAGCTGGGATTACAGGCACGTGCCACCGTGCCCAGCTAATTTTTGTATTTTTAGTAGAGATGGGGTTTCACCACGTTGGCCAGGATGATCTCGATCTCCTGACCTCGTGATTCACCCACCTCAGCCTCCCAAATTGCTGGGATTACAGGTGTGAGCCACTGCACCCGGCCTTAACAATCTTTTTCAACTACACTATCTTCTTTTTTAACACTGGCCTCCAACTCTTGGCTTCTTTTATACAAGGGAATTCCCAGTAGTGGTTATATTCTTATGACTCCATTCTTTGCTAATCCTAAAGGCACCCAGAAGGCTGTATTTACCTTTTCAGATTAAAATCTCCTATTTAACTTATGACCACTATGTGCATATCTGAGGCTATAAATATTATTTCTGACACCCTTCTCAAATACTTTCTGCTGAAAATTACTGTGAATTTGGCTTGTTTCCTTATGACAGTTTTTTACTCCTAACCAGGTGCTTGTCATTATGGTATCTTAAGCTAAAATCCAGAAACGCAAATCTCATTCTTTTACTCCATCTCTTAACTCTTCACTCCTAAAGCCTCCAAAACCTTGTGAAGTCCCAGTGATAAACTGGACAAAGAGATACTGCTGTTTCCTGACACCTTCAACATTCTCTGTGATCTCTAGAGCTGCTTTCTGTGTTTCTTCTGATAGTGTCATTCCTTCTCAAAGTAGGACGAATGAACTGAGGCAAGCAAGTTAAGGGTCTCAAAAGATTCTCTGTTATGTGAACATACCAGGCAGACACACATTTAGACTGGCCAGGGCAAGACTAGGTATAAACATGCCCATGCCTTGCAAGTAATTCATTTCCTTGTACCGACTCACAGTACAGAGTCTCTTCATTCTTCCAGAGTTAGATACCACTGTGAGAGGAGCCTCCTATCATTTAATTCTTCTTCTTCTTTTTTTTTTTTTTTACCCTAACCCCTAGTTCTTCTTCCTAGCCTTTTTCTTTTTGCTCCCCTATTTTCACAATTTTTTTCATTCTTTTCATTGTCGTACAGTCTTAGTTCCAAGTTTTCTTATGTTATTTCCACTGTGTGTCTCTCCTGGTCTGATGAGCCAGGGTTAAAATTGACCTTCACCTCTTTTTCAGTCAGGGTGATCACTTTGCATTCAGCATGCATGTTGGTGAGTTCCTAATACAAGGGCTGCATCCTTTTTTACCTAAGAATCATTTTAAAAGCAAGAAGTGAATAGATCACATTGTTTTTCATTTAAAATTAAAGTAGCATTTAAGCCCAATGGGGAAACACATATACTTACAACTTGGATAAATTTCTTTGTTGAGTAGAAAAATGCCTTGAGAAAATTAGTACTGCCTCTCAAATACCAAAATATAATAGCTGGGTATATTTGAGAAGTAGCCACTTGGAGGCAGCTTTTTAATTTTTCATCCTTTACATTTTAAGTTTTTCTCCATGTATTATTTTATTCTTGAAATAACCTCCAGGATATGTATTTAAAGAGGCCCAGGGAGATTAAGTGACTTGGCCAAGGCTGCATAGCAAATATTAGTATAACTGGGACTAGAATTAGTTCAGTGTTGCATCGTATCAGTGCAGATATATTTACTGAATACATCTAGTGTCTCATGCACTGGGCCAGGTATAAGATCACAGTGATCAATAAGGCCCCACATGTGACCTAAGCATCTCTTTTCCCTCTCCCCTTTCGTCAGAACAGAGTAGAGGAAATAACACCAGTGCTTAGGAAACACTAGTTCTCTGAACAGTAACGCATTCCTATGGGGAAAATGAACTGTGTCATATCTTCCCTGAAGCAGTCCCCTTAGCCGGTTCTTACTGATTGGGTCCAAGGTCACATGGTTCCTCAGGAAACAATACATTAAGAGTTTAGTGGCCGGGTGCGGTGGCTCACGCCTGTAATCCCAGCACTTTGGGAGGCCGAGGCGGGCGGATCACGTGGTCAGGAGATCGAGACCATCCTGGCTAACACAGTGAAACCCTGTCTCTACTAAAAATACAAAAAATTAGCCGGGCGTGGTGGCGGGCGCCTGTAGTCCCAGCTATGCGGGAGGCTGAGGCAGGAGAATGGCTTGAACCCGGGAGGCGGAGCTTGCAGTGAGCCAGGATCGCGCCACTGCACTCCAGCCTGGGTGACAGAGCGAGACTCCGTCTCAAAAAAAAAAAAAAAAAAAAGAGTTTAGTTACATTCTAATTCAAACCATAGTCCCACTACTTACTGTGTGATTAAGCAAATTAGGAAACCTCTTAATTCTCAGTGTCTTCATCTTTAAAAAATAATATAGACTTTTAAGGTAGTTATGAGGAATAAATTAAATAGTATATGTAAAACATTTAACTTAGTAACTAGCCCATAGTAGCATTTTAATAGATGTTAGTTGTCATTATTATTATAGTTATTGTTATCATTGCCATTGCCTAATACTCTGCTGAAATGGGAAGAAAGTCGACATTTGCATTTAAATTGCTTTGAGCCTTACTGATCTAAGGCAAGAGATAGAAGGCATATGCCCTAGGTTTAGCCAGTGACTTTCAAACTTGTTTGATCATGACTCGCAGTAAGAAATGTATTTTATATTTATATGTATATATACCCATTCATTTTATATCACAATTCAGGTAGTACTAAGGCACATGCAAAATGTATAATGTATACACTAAAACAAAAGTTCTGTGAAACAATATTCATCCGTACCACATGCAGTGCTCATTAGTATTTTCAACTGTAATGTTTAATTTTGAAAAAAATACTGATTTGACCTATTAGAGTGATTTCCCAAGCCACTAAGGAGGATCCTGCAGCTTGGAAAAACACAGCTTGAGACGTTTTGCTGGTGTTAAGTGCCCAGGACATCTAGAAATCATTCAGGAAATCTAAGTAGACCTCACCACCAACAACCAATGCGGTAGTCTAATTCCTTTGGTTAAAATGACTTCCAGATGGGATTAGAATTCTCAAAGCTCCCTGCTGGCCCCATATCAGTACTGGCCATTTTATCATTGCGGATTTTCTACTAATTGGCCAAAACTTGGCAGTTTTTCATTGATGAGCCTCTGTTTGGGGGAGTCCTTAATATTTTTTGTTTAATACCCCCTTTTCACTCTTTCAGTGCAAATAATTGGGTTGAAGATACAATAATGAGTCAGAACAGCTCACAATGTATTGGTTTGCAAAAAGTAAATAATCAACAAATTCTTTGAGTGCCTGTATTTCAGGCTCTCAGCATGGATACGAGAATAAACATGATTAGGTGCCTGCCCTCACAAGCACATGTAAACCAAAAAGTACCTGAGACAGGTCTCAATAAATTCAGAAGTTTATTTTGCCAAGGTTAAGGACTCGCCCTGGAGAAAGGTCTGTGCCTTTCTCCAACAATGATTTTGAGGGCTTTAATATTTAAACGAGAAAGAGGGAGGGTATAGTAATCCACATGTTGCAAGAAAAAAGGAGCAGGTAGGGGAATAGTCAATTATGTATTCATCTGTAAGGTAAAGTGAACATACCAGTAGCTACCTGTGGATAAGTTTAACCTTTTAACTGTAGCTGTTTGTTTAGGAACAAAAGGAAAAGCAGCGTCTTGTTATGTCTCACCTTTCAGCCTAATTTTTTCCTTTTGACGTAGTGAACTGGAGTCCTGAGTTTTTATTTTCCTTTCACACACACAATCTTGTAGAGTGAAAGAATATACAGATAATCGACACAATGTGATCAAAGTTCAAATAGAGCTCCTCAGCTTGGGAGCAGTCAGGAATGCCTTTAAGAGGTGCTAATATTGTATCTGGATCTTAAGGGTTAAGTAGGAATGTGTCAGGTAAGGAAATGGGGGAAATCATTCCAGGCAGTAAGACTAGCATAAGAAAGTGTGATGTGTTAAGGGAACAGTATCTCAGAATCAGGAACTACTCAAGCATCACTGTCATCATCTTAGTGTCCCATATTCAATAGGAAAGTTCAAAATTTTGGCAGAAAGGAGAGCAGTCAGCCAACACAGAGGAGGCCACACAGTGTGCCTTGGCCATGTCCCAAGCCTTCGTTCCATCTTGCAGTCACATTCTCTGTCTGTCATCAGCCAGCACCTCTGCAGCCCTTACTTTCTGGCTTCCTTTGGCCACCAGAGCCATCAGTGCCCTTCATTTTCTGCTTCCAAAGGAGTGAAGTGGGAGTGAAAACTCACTTGTAATGATTTTTGTTATGTCATATGTTATACACTTTTGCATTTTATAACTTAATACTACTATTAAAGATTGTAATCCTGAATAAATATAAAATCATTTCTTCTAATTGACTTGAGCAATTTGTTTGCTTGGAAAGTGCTAAAACTGCTCACAATTTTTGGTTTGCCATCATCATAAACCCCTTTCTGTTGGAAAAAAATATATTACTCAAATTACAAAACTATTATCTCTAATACTGCCTGTCATTTTGGTGCAAGTAGGGATTTTAAGAGAAGTCATTACTTCAGTCATCACAAGCTGTATTATTAGTGATATTGGGTATTGTCACAGGATTATGAATTTTTGCTGCTCGTAACTAATTATGGAAAATAAATATAATTTCCAAATGAAAAGAGAAGAAGGAAGATAGCGTGGCAATGCTTAATGCTCTACTGCAAAAACATGCCCTTAGTTATTCCAAATGGTTGCTAGAGCTTCATTGTTTCCTGGTGTGATGACCTTGCTCAAAGAACAAACGTGTTGTACAACATGCAGCATTCGCCATTCTCCTTCAATATGAGGACCAATGTATTCCTAACATTCACCCATACACACCCCAAATTCCTTAATTTTATTATAAAAATTTGTTTCTGACTGAATGACAATCTTCAAAAGCTTCTTCCATTTGGTATAATTTTTTAGTGGCACCTTCTGCTGTGTGCTGTCCATTTCATTGTGCTTATAGTATTTATAAACAGGTGCTGAAATTTCATTTAACAGGTACTCAATACATCTTTTTTTTGTGACTGTGCAGCTTTTTGTTTGTTAATTAAATCTTCTACTTTTATTATATTTACATTTTTCCCCTGCTAATTTTAAAAATTAAATAGCCTATTCTTCTCTTACTCAATCTGCTCTGACATTTGCTGCTATATACATTTTATTTCTCTTTCTGTCTTTAATCTTACCTACCAGTGCATGGGTACAGAGATAAATGTTTTACTCAGTCAAATCCCAAATCTTCAGCTAAGGGAAGAGTCCATAATCAAGGTACTGTATTATGTGTCCTGATATATCACTCTTTTAAACCATCTTCATGTGAAACTACATATGTTACAAGTAATTTTTTTGCATTTGTAAAATTATATCCTTTATTCTCATCTGCATTCTGAATTTCCTCTGATTCCATTTACAAAAAAATTAATAATTGCCATAATGTCTAAGAAAACCTCGTAAACTACGTAGAAAGATTCATGCAGCCGGGTGTGGTGGCTCGCACCTGTAATCCCAGCACTTTGGGAGGCTGAGGCGGGCGGATCACCTGAGGTCGGGAGTTCAAGACCAGCCTGACCAAGATGGTGAAACCCCATCTCTACTAAAAATACAAAAATTAGCCGGGCGTGGTGGTGTGCACCTGTAATCCCAGCTACTCGGGAGGCTAAGGCAGGAGAATCACTTGAACCCAGGAGGCAGAGGCTGTGGTGAGCCGAGATCACGCCATTGCACTCCAGCCTGGGCAACAAGAGTGAAACTCCATCTCAAAGAAAGATTCGTGCATGTGAAGCTGAAATGACCAATAAAAACTTTTCTTGGGAACTGGTCTCCTGACCCCGTAAATGCTTATAAAGAGAAAGAGAAGCAGATGTGACATCATGGTGACTTCTGGTCACCTAGAAACATGACTTTAATACTAGGAAAAGACTAAAGCTTCTCAAACAGGCTTTCTAGATCTAAAGAAGAAAACCCACTTGAGGGAGGCAGTAGGAAAGTCCTGTATCCCTGTGACCCCATCAATGAGATAAACACCACAGTTCTACAGGCATTTATGAGGGCCTCTTGATTTGAAGGTGATACAGTGCTAGTCAAATTTGAGAATTAGTACATGCCTTTGTGTCTGGATGTTTGATATTTAATAGTCTCACTTGCATATAGAAATCCTTGATTTTTCTAATTAATATAACTAAGGTCATCTTATCTCATTGAGACTCTGCTAGCATTTTAGCTTGCCCTTTCTCTTAGAAGGTATCTGCTTCTGGCTGGGCGTGGTGGCTCATGCCTGTAATCCCAGCACTTTGGGAGGCTGAGGCAGGCAGATCACCTGAGGTCGGGAGTTCGAGACCAGCCTGATCAACATGAAGAAACCCCGTCTCTACTAAAAATACAAAATTAGCCAGGCATGGTGGTGCATGCCTGTAATCCCAGCTACTCAGGAGGCTGAGGCAGGAGAATCGCTTGAACCCAGGAGGTGGAGGTTGTGATGTGCTGAGATCACGCCATTGCACACCAGCCTAGGCAACAAGAGCGAAACTCTGTCTCAAAAAAAATAAAATAAAGATATAGGCTTCTGACTGTACATTTTATTCATTTATTTTATTTTATTTTAGAGACAGTGTCTTACTCTGTTGCCCAGTATGTAGCGCAGTGGCGCTATCTTGGCTCACTGCAACCTCCACCTCCAGCGGTCAAGTGATCCTCCCATTTCAGCCTCCCAATACAGGTGTCTTTTTGTAGTTTTTTTTTTTTTTTTTTTTTTTTTGGTAGAGACGGGGTTTCACCATGTTGCCCAGGCTGGTTTCAAACTCCTGGGCTCAAGCGATCTGCCCACCTTGGCCTCCCAAAGTGCTAGTATTACAGGCATGAGGCACTGTGCCCATTACTAAACTTATAATTCTCATTCTTCATGGATACTGAAAAATATAATATAATCTTGTTTAGAATTACATCGTTTTGGCATGATATACAAATATTAATTCCAAATCCAGCTTCAGATTTTAGTAGACTTATGAAGTTTCTATTTCATATCTTTAAATGTCATGTTAAATTGACCAAATAAGCAGAAGAATGTTCCTTACTTTTTTCATGAAGCCCTGAGAAATTGCATAACTCAGCATTTGCCTTCCTAGACTTTATTAGTACCTCCTGCCAGCATGTTTTGTTTTCAGTATCAATGTACTGTTTCTGCTTAAGATCTTAGTATTTACTTTTAAATCCTGAATTTACATCAAAATATAAAATAGGATTGATTTGGGGGATTTGCTAGGTCATTCTGAGGCTAAGATTGTGTGATTTTGAAATGCTATATTGGATAATGTTTATGTTACAGAAGTAGCAAATGACCATATGACTTACGGTTTTTAGATTAATCAGCTTGCTATGACCTCTAAAACTGTAGCTCCAGAGCATGCACCTTTTTCCTTAGTTAGTGGCATTCCCACATTAGATTATCTCACTCCACGACTTTGGCTTTTGTGAAGGTGTGTGGGCAAGTCTTCGCTCTAGCACTCGCTTGATCAGCTCTCCAACATCCTTCATTGATGTTGGCGCCCGGCTGGCAGGCAAGGATCACTCGGCCTCCTTCAGTAACAGCAGCTACCTACAAAACCAGCTCTTGAAACGGCAAGCAGCCCTTTACATATTTGGTGAAAAGTCGCAACTAAGGGTAAGATTTCTTTTTTCTCACTTAGAAACTTTATGGATACGCTAGGGCTGTTGATAAAACCTGTATCACAAACCAGCTTTGCTAGAATTTTTTTTACAGCATGATTCTTAACCTGGAGTTAATAATCTCAAAAAATTTAGCTCTCCTTTTGTATTTATTTATATATATTAATTTTTATATCAATACATGTATATACATATGCATATTTATTAGCCATGAAAATAAATATTTATTCATAATAGTAAAAAATCAACATAAACATCAGGAAGCGTACATACATACAAAAAAAAGGAATAAGGCTTCATCAGGCTGTGTTTTCAACAGCCTTGATTCAGTTTCCACAGGAATCTGCCCATGGCAAAACAGATAGTTTTGTTATGGTAAACCTAAAGCAGGCTACAGAAACATAGAAGAATGGAGAGAGGAAGACTGTGGTACCATGTATGGAGGCAAGGCAAGGCCAAGTCTAGGTTTTCTGAGTAACACTTGTTAAAACTTCGCAAAGCTATATAGAAAGAGACACATGTCCTAAGATGTGTCAGAAAATTCAAAATACTAGATGCTAATCAACTTTATTCTTACTGTTAAATTGTTGCGCTAAAGAGCTTCACCATGCTGAGGGCCCATAAATTGTAAAGATGGTCTTTTCCTCCAAAAGCAACAACAATTCCTTGAATTTAATGTTTTGCAAGTCACACATTACAAAATAAATTTCATTACTACCAGTAGGTATATAGGACATGAAAGTTATCTGTTAACTCAGAAATCTCAACGTTTAATCCAGTGCTCCAGTTGGCACTGGACAACCTAGACAGACCTCTGGCTGAACCGTGGAGCAGAAACTGTGAGCAGGGTGCCATTAGCAAGATCCCACATGCTTGGCCCTTAAGATGCCAGTAACTGAGTCATCTCTTCTGGAGCAGGCTAGTGGCTTTGCTAGCTCTTCTCCCACTGCCTGGACTGCTGCAACCACTTAGTCACTAACCTTTAGGGTAGAGGGCATAAAACTGCTGGGTAATGCTCAAGTTTTAAATCTGCATATGTGTCTTCTGATACAGTAGATAATTTTATATCCAAAAAATAGAACCCTTTTCTACAGCAATCCAGGGTTGCTGGTGCCAGTGTCTTTTCCAGAGCACAGACTTTCCATGCTTCAGCACAACACTTACTCGTGATCCGAATCACTCTCCGAGGTTTAGCTCCTTAATACTCCCCTCTGCCATTCTCTTTGCACATAATTTCTCAGATTAGCTATGTGATCATACGTATTTGAGTAAGAAAGAGTTGGGATGCTGCCTTTTTCCTTCCCTCTCTTCCTCCTGCCCTCTTTTTCTTTCTGTCTGCCCTTCCTCAATAAAATATTATTATTATATTTTTTTTAAGTTTTTGAGATGGAGTCTCACTCTGTCGCTAGGCTGGAATGCAGTAGCATGATCTCGGCTCACTGCAACCTCCACCTCCCAGGTTCAAGCAATTCTGCCCCAGTCTCCTGAGTAGCTGAGATTACAGGCACGCGTCACCACGCCCAGCTTTTTTTTTTTTTTTTTTTTTTTTTTTTAGTTTTAGTAGAGATGGGGTTTCACCACGTTGGCCATGATGGTCTCCATCTCTTGACCTTGTGATCCACCCGCCCTGGCCTCCCAAAGTGCTGGGATTACAGGCGTGAGCCACTACACCCGGACAAGTATTATTATTTTTAAAAATGTAATCCCACCATTCTGGCACAATAGTTGTCAGCTATTCTATATATTCCATTCAGGTTTTATCTTTTATTCAATTTTGTATGTAGAATATGGCTCTGTATCTGTCTGATATGTGCCACATTCTAGCTTGCACAATGCCATCCAGTTACAATTCCATACCTTTTTCTCCCAACAAAGAAACATGAAAGCCAATAAATTACAGTGACTTATTCTGAAAATAATCTTGAATTTGGCCTTTACCTAGGTAAATTCACATACTTTAATACTTTATTATTAGGAACAAATTCCTTACAACCTAATGGAGTGTCTCAATACTTTGGTTAGTAACTCCTGGTTTATAAGATAAGCATACCTAGCTCATGTATAGTTGGGAAATAGGAATCTACCTTTCCTGAAAAGTAAACTATGTTTTGTCTATTATAAGTTTTTAAAAATAATAGAAAGGAACTCATGTATATCGCTAGGTTATTTATCTGAAGCCTTAACATTATGTTTCCATGTCATATAGTCTTCATAACTATTTTAGTCACTATTCATCCCATGTTGTTGGATGTTTAGGTTTCTTTATCTTCTGTATATAAAATTACAGTCACAATTCCAAGCAAATAAGTTATTTTGTTATTTTTTTTAATTGAGATACCATTCCCTGGGGGTTTTTTCCTATTAGATTATTTCCTTAGAATAGCTTCCTTAAAAATAGAATTATTAAGACAAAGGAAAAATTATAAAATACACATAACAAGATTTACCATCTTAACCATTTCTAAGTGTATGACTCAGTATTATTAAGTACATTTATGTTGCTGTGCAACCAATCTCCAGAAAGCAGTTTTAATCTTAGAAAAGCAGATGGTCCAATAGAGTAATTTGGGCACAATGAAAAGAAAGTGGAAACATTTTGAGAAAATTAATTCATTCTTTGGCATGAAAAGTTAGAGGACTTTTAAATCTTCTTCAGAGCTAGGCAACCAGGTTATTAAAATGAAATATACCAGTAGGCCATCAGTATAGCATTCTTTAATTGCAAATGCAACACTCATACCACACACAAAATAAATTCCATAAGGATTAAAGATGTAAATGAGAAAGTACTCAAATAAATATAGGTTGATACATATATTAAGTGAAAAAATATTATCCCAAAGATAGAAATGAACAAAGCCTTTCGTGGTTTTTTTATGTAATTTTTTTTTTTAAGGTGGAGTCTCACTCTGCTGCCCACGCTGGAGTGCAGTGGTGTCATCTCAGCTCACTGCAACCTCCATCTCCGGGGTTCAAGTGATTCTCCTGCCTCAGCCTCCCGAGTAGCTGCGATTACAGGTGCCTGTCACCACGCCTGGCTACTTTTTGTATTTTTAGTAGAGATGGGATTTCACCGTGTTGGCCAGGCTGGTCTTGAACTCCTGACCTCAGGTAATCTGTCTGCCTCAGCCTTCCAGACTGCTGAGATTACAGTCATGAGCCACCGTGCCCGACCATGTAATTTTTTATTATTGACTTTTAAGAAGTAGGACTGGGCGTGGTGGCTCACGCCTGTAATCTCAGCACTTTGGGAGGCCGAGGTGGGCGGATCACAAGGTCAAAAGATTGAGACCATCCTGGGCAACATGGTGAAAGCCCATCTCTACTAAAAATGCAAAAATTAACTGGGTATGGTGGCGCACGACTGTAGTCCCAGCTACTCGGGAGGCTGAGGCAGGAGAATCGCTTGAACCTGGGAAGCGGAGGTTGCAGTCAGTCAAGATCGCACCATTGCGCTCCAGCCTGGGTGACAGAGCAAGACTCCATCCCAAAAAAACAAAAAAATAACCACAATGTTGGTAGTCTTGGGGCAGTAAGAAAGTGATTTCTATTTCTTTCTCAATATTTATCTCTACCTTTTTTCATTTTTATTATGAATATGTTTTACTTGCATAATAAGAAACAAATATGTGCATATCTACAAACTTTAATACACGTACAGTCTGGAACTCCAACAGTGTGTTACCTATCCCTTACCATATACATCTTGGGAAGACTTAGTTTACACTGTTGGAGTAATCATACTGTCCATGTATCATTAGTTTCTCTTTAAACTTCCAGGTTCATGGCCTTATAATTGACTTATATTTGGTATTATGAGCTCCATCAAGTTCCAGTCTACCAGTAGGCTCTTCCAGTTCTCAGAATGAACGCATTCTTAGGCTAAGTAATCTACCTCTAGTAAGGACTAGATTTGCCATTCTGGGCAAACCACTAGCTTGTACTGAATGGCTGTTCCCACCAACACTGACACATTGCTGTACAAGATTGACTTTCTTGACCCATTGGCAGCCTCTGCAGCTATTTGGCCCCAAATAACTTTGTCATTATGCACTGCCCCATTGGAAACATCACTCTTTTACCTATAGCACTTCATCTGCCTAATTCTCTGAATCTTCATCCGCAGAACTTCAAGGTAGAATTTGCTTTAAATTGTGAGTTTGTTCCTGTTGAATTTCATGAAATCCGGCAAGTGAAAGCCAGTTTTAAGAAGCTGATGAGGGCTTGTATCCCAAGCACCATCCCTACTGACTCAGAAGTGACCTTCCTGAAAGCGCTGGGAGATTCTGAGTGGTTCCCACAGGTAATGTCTGAAGCAGCTTCTTTCTTTATAACTCAAAGAAACAGAGGCCCAAGTAGATATACAGAACTGTATTTGAGAAAAAAAATACTTTGTTCCCCTACTCCCCAACATTCTCCTCCTTCATTGTGTGCCATCAGTAAAGGCCTTTCAGACTAAGGAAATCATCTGGTATAGGAGGTGAGGGAGTAGAAGTCTTGATCGCTGGGTTTTTATCTCTGTGTATTTAAAAGTTTGGTATCTATAGGACACTAAGGAGAAAATTATTTTTAGATGGAAATCTTTGATGTAAATTTAATCAGCATGTATTTACAGGGCTCCTGCTCTGTTGTCAATACAGTAAGGATCCAGGGCAGAGGGCAACTTCTGCATGACTCCCAAGAGCTCTCACCTTTCATTTGTCTGCCTATCCCAGGTCTCTAGATTTTAGATCCACCCCACACTACCCACCAAAGGCACACTGGATGCCCCCAAGCCTACCTAAGGCTTGAAAAAAAAACACAGTGTCTATCATCTTTCAGTTCAGTCAACTTTGGGATATTCTTAATTGAACTTTTATTGAGAAATTAAAGGGCCTTGTCTTTAAGCCCCTTTATTTCTTATATTGCCCAGGCTGGTCTTGAACTCCTGGCCTCAAGTAATCCTCCCACCTTGACCTCCCAAAGAGCTGTGATTACAGGCATGAGCTGCCACGCCTGGCCCCCATTATTTGTTATCACCTTGCAGAAATTCCCAGTCCCCTGCCTCCATCTACCTCCAAGCATCCTGCCTCTTGTTTCCCACAGCACATTGGACTAAAAGGCAAAAAAAAAAAAAGGAAATGATGTCAGTACTCAGGGCTGTGACTGTTCTCAAGATACTTAAACCAAAGAGAAATGCCGCCACATAAATATTTGGCTATAAATGTATCATGCTGTGTTCATTATTATTAAGGCAATTTAGGGTGCTTTGCATACCCGTGGAAGGAACTGGTCGATACTCCCTTCTGTCCCCAGGCTATGAGCCCCAGCTCCAAACGGACCCCTCCACCCAACTTATCTATCCATGTTTCTGATACATTCTGTGCTCTACTCTTTGCTAGAAAGTGGACCTGTACCAAAAGATAGGGACTAAAGACAGTGGAAAATAATTGCCCACTTGGGATATTGACATCTTAAAAGTTAACTCTTAAAGCAAATTCTTTTTTTAACTTTTATTTTGTGTTCAGGGGTACATATGTAGGTTTGTTGTATAGGTACATTGCATATCTTGGGAGTTTGGTGTACAGATTATTTCATCACCCAGGTAATAAGCATAGTACCTGATAGGTAGTTTTTCTATCCTCACCCTCCTCTCACCTCCAACCTCAAATACGCCCCAGGCGTCTATTCCTTTCTTTGTGTCCATGTGTACTCAATGTTTAGCTCCCACTTATAAGTGAGAATATGCAGTATTTGGTTTTCCATTCCTGTGTTAGTTTGCTTCAGCTGTGTTACTGCAAAGGACATAAGCTCATTCTTTTTATGGCTGTGTAGTATTCCATGGTGTATATGTACCATATTTTCTTTATCCAGTCTACCGTTGATGGGCATATAGGTTGACTCCATGTCTTTGCTATTGTGAATAGTACAGCACTGAACATGTGTGTGCATGTGACTTTATGGTAGAACAATTTATATTCCTTTGGGTATATACTCAGTAATGGGATTGCTAGGTCAAATGGTAATTCTGTTTTAAGTTATTTGAGAAATCACCAAACTACTTTCTACAATGGCTGAACTAATTTACATTCCCACCAGAAATGTATATACATTCCCTTTTCTCCACAGGCTCGCCAGCATCTGTTATTTTTTGACTTTTTAATAATAGCCATTTCTTAGAACAAATTCTGAGCCCAAAAGAATTCAGGCCTGGTGATAGCTATGTTGTAGAAACAGTTACATGAGGAGCTTCTCATTACTGAGTAGGGCATTTGCCTTATTCCTGTGTTTAAAGTAGCCTAGCTCTGTTTAAGAGATGGGTTTTTTCATTTTTGTTCTTGTTCAGAGTTGGATTCAAATTGCAAATTATGTCTGATGATCATTAAAATATTTTTTAAAATTACAATGTTATACATCTGGTTTTAAAATCTATATACTATTCTCATACCTTAATTGTTTATTAAGGACTTTGAGCCAATTGATGTGGCTTTAAAAACTTAGCACAAATATATTGAAAGTTTTTTTCTCATTTAGTACACAGTATAGACAAATAGGAGTATCTTTTTTATTTTTATTTTTCGAGACAGGGTCTTGCTCTGTCACCCAGGCTAGAGTGCAGTGGCACAATCACAGCTCACTGCAGCCTCGATCTCCCAGGTTCAAGCGATCCTCCTACCTCAGCCTCCTGAGTAGCTGGGATTACAGGCAGATGCCACCACGCCTGGCTGGTTTTTGTATGTTTTGTAGAGATGGGGTTTTGCCATGTTGCCCAGGTGGTCTCAAACTCCTGAGCTCAAGCACTACTCCTGCTTCAACCTCCCAAAGTGCTGGGATTACAGGCGTTGAGCCACCACACCCAGCCAGGAGTTTCTTTTTTAACATATAATTCACTTACCATAAAATTTATCCTTATGATAAAGGTGCACAACTCAACGCTTTTTGGTATGTCCACAACATTGTGTAACTATCACCACTATCTAATTCCCAAAAAATTAAGAATACCTGAAATAGGCCAGGCGTGGTGGTTCACGCCTGTAATGCTAGCACTTTGGGAGGCTGAGGCAGGTGGATTACCTGAGGTCAGGAGTTCAAGACTAGCCTGGCCAACATGGTGAAACCTCGTCTCTACTAAAAATACAAAAAATTAGCCGGGTGCACTGGTATGCACCTGTAATCCAAGCTACTCGGGAGGCTGAGGCAGGAGAATCGCTTGAACCCGGGGGGCAGAGGTTGTGGTTAGCCAGGATTGCATCACTGCACTCCAGCCTGGGTGACAGAGCGAGACTTTGTCTCAAAAAAAAAAAAAAAAAATGTCTGAAACAAAACTTACTACATCATGGAAAAACAAATTTTAAATCCAATAAAATTCATCTGAATTTCCGTCTTTTGTTGGGAAGTCCACATAGAATCTCTGTTTTTTGTACTCTATGGAATTATAGCTCACCTACTTTTGGGGGAATCATGTAAGGTAATTTTATTTCATTATGTATTACTAGAATGTATTGTTTTAAAATGTGTCTACTTTTTTGAAGTGTCATTTTGTTGTTGTTTTCATTGAGATGGGGTCTTACTATGTTGCCCAGGCTGGTCTCGAACTCCGAACCTCAAATGACCTGCCCGGCTCGGCCTCCCAAAGTGCTGGGATTATGGGCATGAGTCATTGCATCCAGTCAAAAGTGTCATTGTTTAATCTTGATTTGAAAGAACTTTAGGTATTTAAAACATTATGTGGTTCTTTTGTGCAAGCGCTTTATCCCTAAGTCGTTTGATTATCCAGGGTTGAAAGCAACTCTCTCTGACTTCTGCACTCAGAAAGCGCTTGGTCTAATTGTGTTCTCCTTCCTGTCTCTTAGCTTCACAGGATAATGCAGCTGGCTGTGGTTGTATCAGAAGTACTTGAGAATGGTTCCTCAGTTTTGGTCTGTTTGGAGGAAGGCTGGGACATCACTGCACAAGTAAACTATTAGACATATTTTTTGATATTTTATATTTATATTTCCATTTGGTCATTTTTAAATTCTTCAGATGACTCTTTTGTATAATGACTAATGTGTTTATGGACAGAGAAAGTCCTGTGTTAAACAGCACCTGGTATCCATCAGAAAACTCCGTACCATGAGCTCTTAGCCCCTACGCAGCCTGGAGCTCTGGCTCCGGGCATCAAGCTCTCCCATCCACAGATGTACCATGCAGGCTTGCGGATGGAGCCCTTGACCAGCAGTGTGAGGCGTGGACCATCCTTCCTGGGTTTTGTCAGTCCATCCCCTGGCTCTCTATAAGCCCCGCCTTAACTCACTCCAGAGTGAAAAGTGTGAGTTCAGACTACATTAAGACATTAATCTGCATCTGCCAAAAAGTAGAATTGATTTTAACTGATCCTCTGGCCTCTGATTAACTTAGGAAAAGGTTGCTGTCAGCAAACTGGCCAGTTAAGGATTAAAGTCTCAATTCCCTGAAAGTAAACTTGTAGCCAAAATGAATTTGAGCTTTAGTTTTTACTGGCAAGTTTACAAAATTAATTTTATTGGCCATCCTGGAATGGTTAGTGAACAAATTTGCTGTCCAGGTAAATTTGTGAATTAGCTATCATCAGAAGGAAGTGCTTTTATCTTAGTAATAGGCCTTTTTCAGAACTAAAATTAATGACAATCCATCCTGCTTATGCCCTAGGTGACATCCCTGGTTCAGTTACTCAGTGATCCCTTTTATAGGACACTTGAAGGCTTCCAGATGTTGGTTGAAAAAGAGTGGCTCTCTTTTGGTCACAAATTCAGTCAGAGGAGCAGCTTGACCCTCAACTGTCAGGGGAGTGGTTTTGCTCCAGTCTTCTTACAGTTCTTAGACTGTGTACACCAGGTAAGTAGAGCAAGCTTGAGTTGACTTGATATGAAGGAAAGAACACAACATACTAGCATTGATGGAGCATTGCGATGGTGTGCCCGGTACCTTCCTGTCATAACTCTGATTAACTCAGCCACAGGACATGCTGAAATCTTAGCAGTAGACTCCTAGGAATGGAAAAGAAAAAAAATTAGTTGGTTTCTGAAACTAGGACAGCTAAGCTGGCTGTTGGGCTTGCCCCAAGTGAAGTAGCCAGCACTCTAAATGACCATCTTCAAAGAAGAGAAGCAAACTTGGGCTTATTACCTAAGAACAAAATCTCTAGGTAATACGGGTCCTGAAATCGAGCACATGGTCTGCCCAGTTTGGGAGGACCCCAGCTTGTGCCTGGGAACATAAGAGGTAAAGCCTAACCCCTGGAGAAATAATCAGGGCCCAGCCAGACAGGCATACAGGCTTGAGAACACTGGTCACTTCTACCACATGGAGAAACTGTGGTACATATATACCATGGAATACTATGCAGCCATACAAAAGAATGAAATCATGTCTTTTGCAATGACATGGATATAGCTGGAGGCCATTATCCTAAGCAAATTGATGCAGAAGCAGAAAACCAAATACCTCATGTTCTCACTTATAAGTGGGAGCCCAGGTATATCCATTCAAATGCAGTGAGGGTAGGGGAGATGTGACTGCTCTAGGCTCCCTCCTGCCTTCATCGCAGGCACATCAGATACAGACCTCTGGATGGGGCCTTGGTCAGGATTGGGTTTGAGAATTGGATGGCACTGAGCTTGCAAGTTGAAGACTGAATTGGCCTAGGAAAAGCAGGCCTATTTCCAGCTTTCATTTGACCACAATCCCAGGGTTGGATGAATGGGTTCTGGCATGTCAAACATTTGTGGGAATGGTGAGCCTCTTTGAAACACACTGGCCTCAAATATCGATTGGAAAGAAAGGCAGAACTATGTTTTCAGGAACCAGAGTTGAAACTAACTGTGATGACACCAAGTTAGTATGTGGTTATGTTTTATTTTGTTTTTATTCTAGTAATCACTTGATCAACTTTCCAGATCACTACATAATTTTTGTAAATAACAGCTTTATTGAACTATATATATCATACAATTCACCTATTTAAAGTGTTCAGTGGTTTTGAATCCATTCACAAAGTTTTGTAACAATTACCACAATCAATTTTAGAGCATTTTATCACTCCAAAAAGAAACTCCATACTCATGAGCAGTGACTTTCCAACCTTTCACCCCACACACAGGAAGCTATGTTTTTTACTGCTCTAATTTACTTATTAAAGACAAGACCGATTGACGAATTTCAATTGATCTGTCCAAGCAGTAACTGGAGGAGCTGGTCACAAGGTTAAGCATGTACCTTTAAACTCTTTGCAGCAAAGAGTATACTATATTTGTTTTCTGTTTGAATATTGGCCCTTTTATTCATACTCCTTTTGGCAAATAGATGAGGGAGAAGTTTGGAGACCATTGTCTCTGAAACAGAAAGCTTACCTGAGGCCAAAGGAGAGGAGCAAGCATCTATCTCTTCTCACTTCTAGGCAGGTGAAAGCATATGAGTTCTTCATGAAAGCACTTCTTATCTTGCTTTTTTATTATGCTTATCAATTGGACTAGACTATTTCCTGCCTCCGTATACCACCATTACTAACAATAATTACTAATTTGTGTCGACTGCTTACTATGTGCCAGGCACTGTTCTGAGCACTACACATGTTATTTTAGTTCATAATTCTTTGAATCTTTTGCTGACCCTCACGCTCCCACTTTATATGTATTTCTAATGAGTCAGGTATAGACTTCTTTGATAACATCTATAGCACTAAAGTATGTTTATTTGTATGTAACTATTGCCCTCTACTTAGTCTGAGAATTCTTGGGAACAGGGACTATGTCATACTAGTCTTCATATCCCTAGTATCTAACACAATTACAGTTTCAGTCTCTGGAATATAATAGACAATAAATAGATAATCTCAATGAATATATGAGAATTTGAAAGACCACAAGTCTTGTTCATGCTCTTACCACCCTTCATCAAGACCATCTAGAATATCCTGGTCGGGCGTGGTGGCTCACGCCTGTAATCCCAGCACTTTGGGAGGCCAAGGTGGGTGGATCACGAGGTAAGAGATCAAAACCATCCTGGCCAACATGGTGAAACCCCATCTCTACTAAAAATACAAAAAATCAGCCAGACGTGGGGGCGCACGCCTGTAGTCCCAGCTACTTGGGAGGCTGAAGCAGGAGAATCGCTTGAACCCGGGAGGCGGAGGTTGCATTGAGCTGAGAAGCCCCCACTGCACTGCAGCCTGGGAGACAGAGCGAGGCTCCGTCTTGGGGGAAAAAAAAAAAATCTAGAATATCCTAAGTAGAATTGCTGGCATAATCTTCCAAAAGCTCAGATACAATCCTTTTATTCCCCTCCACAAAAGTCTTCAAAGCAAACAAACAAAAACCTTCAGTGGCTCCACATTTCCTAAAGAATTACCCTTCCACATATCCGATTTGAATATAACTGGGGGGAACCCAAATGTCTGTCCTACAGTAGGTGAATGGCTACACAATCTGGGATACATCCATACCGTGGACGACTACTCAACAGTAAAAAGGAATTACTGGCACATGCAACACCTTGAAGGGATCTCAAGGACATTATATTGAAAGAAAAAAAAGGCAATCTCAAAGGGTCCAACTGAGTATGATTCCATGTATATAATTTTTTTTTTTTTTTGAGACAGAGTCTCACTCTGTCACCTAGGTTGGAGTGTAGTGGTGTGATCTCGGCTCACTACAACCTCCGCCTCCCAGGCTCACGCAGTCTTCCCACCTTGGCCTCCCAAGTAGCTGGGACCATAGGTGCACACCACCACAGCTGGTTAATTTTTTGTATTTTTGGTAGAGACAGGGTTTTGCCATGTTGTCCAGGCTAGTCTTGAACTCCTGAGCTCAGGTGATCTATCTGCCTTGGCCTTCCAAAGTACTGGGATTACAGGCGTGAGCCACCATGCCCAGCTAATATTTTAAAATGACAAGATCATAAATTATTGGTTGCCAGATTCAAGATAGTGGGGGAGAAGGAAATGAGTGTGACTATAAAGGGGTAGCATGAAAAACAAACCAAATGTCCATCAACCGATGAAGAGATGAACAAATTCTGGCATATTAATTCAGTGGAATACCACTCAGCACACAAAGGGAATGAAATATTTATATTACAAAGACTGACCAATCTTGTGATCACTATGTTCAGTGAAAGAAGCCAGGCAGAAAAGACTACTACATAAGTTTATTTATATGACATTCTAAAAAGGGCAAAACCATAGTGACTGAAAGCAGATCAGTGACTGCCTGGGACCAGTGACCAAGGGAGGGGATCAATCATCATGCAAAGGGCATAAGCAAACTTTTCAGCGTCAGGAAACTGTTCTGTATCATGATTGTGGTGATGGTTACACAACTGTGTACAGTGACCAAAACTAATAAAACTATACACTTAAAGTAGGGAAATTTTATTTTTAAATAACACTTCAATAAATCTGGAGGAAAAAATAATAATCTTTAATTAGTAAGTCCAACATCTCAGTAAACTAGAGTTCCAGAGAAAGAAAACAGCAGCTACCTTGTTTCTACGGAGAAGAATTTGTCTGGGGCCCAGAAAGTACTTGTAGGTCTGGCTGCTTGCTTTATGGAAACAGGGCAGGAAATAGGTCCAGGGAAATCCCAGTTCAGTAATGCAGGCTTTTCGTTTTTTCCATGCTATTTTCAGTGTTTCCACTAACCCAGTTGTGTCTGGTGTTCCCAAGTCTAGAGCTTATCAGGTTTGTTTTTTTGTTTGTTTGTTTTTCAGAAAATAAACCTCCGATCTGTTGCTCTGAAAAGGGTAATCATATGACTACATGGGGTGGGAAAGGACCTGGGGTCCTTTCCTGCCTCCATAGACTTCCAGCTAGTCCCACGATAGCCTCCATTTCACCCCTGCATTACTCAATACTTGGGCCTCTGTGCCCTGAGCCTTTCTGGGTTTACACAGCAAATCGTTACCTTCTCAAATCATTTTCCTCCTGGCAGGAATCCCAGTATAGCTTCTCCTCTTCTATCATTTACTGCTATTCTTCCTTCTATTTTCCATCTTTCAAAAATTTGCTGAATTGCTTTGGCCCAGTGCTGTGTTTCCTCCCATTCTCCCCACTCCCTTTTGGGTTTTTTACCTCTTAAAAATTCCTTTAATGTGGGAGGATTCCAGGGGAATGAGCTTGTACAGCCAAATCTGGCTTAAGTTAAATGGACTACTTAATATGTTAAATCTCTATGTTCAACTTGCAGAATTCTGCACACCTAAACATTAGGGTCAGCGAAATAATCCACTCACAATCAGTAAGAGATAGGAGGTTCTCATGTAAGATACACTGTCCTCAAAGATGGGAACATCATTGTCTCCCAAGTACAATAATCCTTACTTGGAATGAAATTCTTCTATTTTATTATTGGGGATGGGGCTGGGGGGGAGGAGTGGGAGAGGTCTAGATGCTGGAAGGTAACCTGTATTCTGTGAGTACCCCTTAAGTGGTATGATTAAAGCAATTTAACATACACTAAGATGTAGCATAACTTACATTCCTATTATCTTTAGAATACAATAGATGCTAAAACTACAAAAGGCTAAGTTAATTAAAACAATTTGGGGTATATGCTTAATTTCTGCTGTTTTGTTTTATTTACTAATCAGCTGAATTTAAGATTCATCTGTTTTTTTTTTCAAGTAAAGAGTTAAAATTCAAATGTTTTATATAAACCAGTTGATTCTGAAATCAAAAACAGAAGTTAACTTTTAATTAAAGTTCGATTATTTGTAGGTGAATGCTTCACAAACTGTAAAAAGTAATATTGTTCAGGATCTAGAGACCCTATCAGTATGACTTCAAATCTGGCTGTGCCAAATTAAAATTTTTTAAATTAAAACATAAATTTTTAAGAATTTGCCTGAATCCTCCTTTCACTTAATACCTCATACATAATAACCTAAGTGCAGACAAGTCATAGCAAAGCAAGCATATGACCTTAATTGCAGTAAGTAAAGCATGCTTGGCTACCAGAGGTATCAGCTTTGGTGATGCAAATTATTTTGTGCTGAAAAGGGATTGTTTATTCACTCAAAAACAGAGGAATCTAAGAAGACTATAGTTAGCAAATAGTTTTTCTGACTCTTGCTGACTTAATTATAAGGTAGTGTTTCATCATCTTCGACATACTGGTTTTAGGCATTAGAAAATGCCTTCTTTGAATGCCTTTCAAGTGAACACTAGTGCTTTACATGACTCTGGCTTTTACCAGATAATTCGAATTAGTGCTGCCCTCAGTCTCTCAGGGACACACAACAGAACTAGGCCCAGAAACATCAAAAAAACAGGTTCAAAATTACACAGCAGCAAGTGAAGCTTTCCCAGATGGAATGTGTTCCCTGCTTATTAACCATTTCTAACATTGAATGCCAAAAGGCAGTCCATGGACATATGCCTAGGCTTGTCCATTAGTACTAATAAAGTTACAAGAAAACAGATGAAGCACTGAACTTAAATTAGAACTGCCTCATCATATAAAAAGCCATTGTTTACGCCAGTATATCCAGGTGTCAAATGAATTATAAATGCTAGCTCACTGTTTCATAATAGCAACATCTGGCAGATTTTTTGCTTCTAAAAGAAATTGGCTTAGCTCAAATGATATCATTACAGGACTCCCTTTTCTTAAAATAGTTGAGCCAAATTAAAAAAAATCCAATATACAAAGATTAAATTTTTATGTAAACTTTCTTTTTAAAATATAATATCAGGAGAAAACATGAATAGTATGAATGAAAACGTGAAGAAAGCATCCCCTTTATTTCGGCATTAGAGTAAATCTTTGAGGGCATCTTAGAACTTTTTCAGTATTTTTTACTGTGATTTCAAAGTTTATTCAAATTGTAAATTGATTCACTTTGGTCTGGCTTTATGTGATTCTCCTCATGGTTACCTTATGACAGCACTATGCTAGGTCCTACCCCAAAGAAAAAAGCTATTTGCCTTTTGAAGATATGAGCCTTCCTTGTGAGCACATATGTGAGCAGCTAAGCTGCCCCCACACAGGTTGGTTATTCTAAAATTTATCCAGTAATATTGGCAAAATAGCTGTAGCTAATGGATTGTTGGTATATTCAAGAGTTTCTGCTGTCTGCTGCCTATTCAACTGCAAACTGGCAAAAATGAACATAATCCAATCTGTTTTATAACAAGGCAATTTTGCATCAAAGCTTAATATTTAAGGCCATGTAATATGGAAGGATGTAACACAAAGCACACAATGTTTGTTAAATCTTAATTTGTGAAATAACAAAAATTAATATTAGCTATACACTCTCCTAGGGTCTGTTTAACCATATCCAGGTTTTCACGTGTTGATGTATAGTGTCTCTTGTAGCTCAATATTTATAATTCTGAAAGCAGAATCCAGTTTTAATGTATTAAACTTTACTTCCAAAATGTTGATCTTTCCAGGGGTTTGAGTCATAGCTTATTTTTATAGGCCTTTAAATTTTACAAAGTACTTAATGGCACATGGGCAAAAAAAAAGACCCTATAAATTCATGTTTCTCCAAATTCCATTTCAGATTCTCTTCTTATAAATAAGTGAAGTTGGCAAGTTTCACTCCATAACGGAAAAACAAAACTAAAATGCTTCATGCAGTTTAGTCTTTTAAGTCTGTATACTTTTTAACCTGCAACAAAATAAATACAAAATTATTTTGAACAACAAAATCCAGATGATACCTGAGAGAAGCCTAAAACTCTATTCATCACCATACTTAGGGAAATGCTGACATAGAATTAATTTATTAGCTGAAATACCTATCATTCCCAATTCTACATAATATAATAAGGCTAAATTTATTTGAAGCACACTTGCCTTTAGGTCCCCAAAATCTTGTGGCCAACAATAAAGAAAACTAATGAAACCAAAAGCTGTTCTTTGAGAATATCAATAAAATTGATAAACCTCTAGCTAGACTGCTTGAGAAAAAAAAGACACATATTACCAATATAAGAAATGAGAAAGATGACGTCACTACAGATTCTACAAATATTACAAGGCTGATCCTGGGTATGGTGGCTGAAGCCTATAATCCCAGCATTTTGGGAGGCCAAGGTGGGTTCACTTGAGCCCAGGAGTTCAAGACCAGCCTGGGCAACACAGCAAGACCCCACCTCTAAAAAACATAATAAATACTTTTTTTGGCCAGGCACGGTGGCTCACGCCTGTAATCCCAGCACTTTGGGAAGCCGAGACAGGCAGATCACGAGGTCAGGAGATAGAGACCATCCTGGCTAACACAGTGAAACCCCTTCTCTACTAAAAATACAAAAAAATTAGCTGGGCGTGGTGGCAGGCGCCTGTAGTCCCAGCTACTCGGGAGGCTGAGGCAGGAGAATGGCATGAACCCGGGAGGTGGAGCTTGCAGTGAGCCGAGACTGCGCCACTGCACTCCAGCCTGGGCAACAGAGCGAGACTCCATCTCAAAAAAATAATAATAATTTAAATAAATAAATAAATACTTTTTAAAAATCCCTGTTAAGCAAATGAAAAGACCAATCACACAGTGGGAGAAAATATGTGTAAACCATATATTTGCTGAAGGATTTATCTAGAACACATAAAGAAACCTTAAAATTCAATAATAAGAAAACAACCTTTTTTTTTTCCTTTAGGATGGAATCTTGCTCCTTCCCTGAGGCTGGAGTGCAGTGGCAAAATCTTGGCTCACTGCAACCCTGCCTCCCAGGTTCAAGCAATCCTTTCGCCTCAGCCTCCCTAATAGCTCAGATTACAAGTGTGCACAACCACGCCCAGCTAATTTTTGTATTTTTAGCAGAAATGGTGTTTCACCATATTGGCCAGGCTGGTCACAAATTCCTGACCTCAAGTGATCCACCCATCTCAGCCTCTCAAAGTGCTGGAATTATAGGCATGAGCCACTATGCCCGGCCAACAGCTTATTTTTGAAATGGGCAAAACATTTGTACTGATTTCACCAAAGATATGCAAATAAGCACATGAAAAGTTGACATCATTCTTCATTAGAAAATGCAAATTAAAATCACAAGAGTCTAGGTGAGTTCCATTTGCAAAGAGGAAAAGAAGCCAGTGAACTGGACAAACTGAGTCACTGGGGTGCAGGACTCAATGGAGAAAGTATGATTTTTCTTGCTTCCTAGAAATCTAAGCACCGTAAGAGTTCAGCCATCTCATCATTTCTTCTTACATGATGGAAGAAAGACATCTCAGAAAATTCCTTATGTTTCTTAATGTCGGATTCTAAACGTGGTATCTAGGTACTAATCAACCCAGGCTTGAGGTCTATCTGACTTTTCTTTTTCCACCAAAGAAATGTTTACATGCTTGTTACTTTATTGCTGAAGAGTAAAAAACAAATTGCTCTGCATCTTCTCTTCCACTTCCAGTAGACCTGATCGTTAACCCCAGTTTGGGGGAGGTTTGTTTTTCAACCCCAGTTAGCGACTGCAGGTGCTCCTGTGGCACACAGGAGGACACATGCATAGTGCCCCCAAGCGTATACACCTTGATGCTTTCTCCAAGCACCAATTCCAGTCCCAGTGGAGTGGGTACAAGAGGCCTTGGAAAATTGTCTAACCTTTCTAGCATAACTGTAGAGGGCTTGTGGTGAGGCCAATATACTGGGCTACGAAAGCATTTTTTGACTTGTAAAGACGTTTCACTTTTAATCTGAGCACATGATCTCCCTGAAATGCCTGTAAGTTCAACTTAAGATCATATTTCCATTCTACTGTTACCTCAGAAGTGGGTCTTCAAAATTGTATTCCTGAGTAGATTAAATGTCAGAATCATCAAGAAAAGATACAAGTATGTATGAGGTATCTGGTTTCTATGAAGAATAGTCATTGAGAGAAATGTTATTTTGAGGCTTTAATACAGTTTTTTGTTTGTTTGTTTTTTGGTTTTTTTTTTTTTTGAGACGGAGTCTTGCTCTGTTGCCCAGGCTGGAGTGCGGTGGCGCGATCTCGGCTCACTGCAAGCTCCGCCTCCCAGTTTCATGCCATTCTCTTGCCTCAGCCTCCCGAGTAGCTGGGACTACAGGCGCCCGCCACCACGCCCAGCTAAAATTTTGTTTTTGTATTTTTAGTAGAGACAGGGTTTCACCATGTTAACCAGGATGGTCTCAATCTCCTGACCTCATGATCCACCCGCCTCGGCCTCCCAAAGTGTTGGGATTACAGGCGTGAGCCACCACGCCTGGCCCTTGAGGCTTTAATAAAGATTTTTAAAAGAAATTTTAGAACATATTGTAGACTGGTTCAGTGGAAAGAACTCTTCCTCCCTTGGAAACAGTGAGTGAGGGGCTGGCCTGTGACTACTGAAGGTTTATCCCAAGGGCTGTTGGGGCAGTTGTCCTTGGAGCTCACCCTGCCTGAGCACACTGCAGATTTCTCATCCCCAGGATTCAGATGGTAGGGAACCAAGTTCCATCCTTAGTTGCCCTGTCCCCTTCTTCTGTCCCAGCATCCACAATCTGAGTAACCCCCCTCTCCATCACTGGCTCCTTGGGGTGGGGCTGTTGATTCCAAAGCAACAGCTCAGACTGGAGAGCTCTGTATGGCATTACAGGACAGGTTGAGGGGGAAACTTGAGGTCTGAGCAATGCTTAAGAAAGGAGCCAGGAAGACCAGAGAACCAGGCCTACTAGAGAGTCAAACCCAGGGCCTTCTTTGCTGTGCATAAGTATCAGTAGAGGCAAGCGTTTGAATGAGAATTGCTGTATTAAGGGACATGGTTGACTACTGAGACACACATAGAGGGCTAACAAAACAAGGAAATAAAAGATTTTTTAATATTGATCCTTAATTATGTGTCACATCTGCTTGTTTTATTATAATTATAAACTCCTCAAGTTGAGCCTTTATCATTTATTCATTCATTCATTCATTCATTCAGAGACAGGGTCTCACTCTGTCACCCAGGCTGGAGTACAGTGGCACAATTGTGGCTCCACTGCAGCTTCGAACTCCTGGACACAAGCGATCCTCCTCCTCAGCCTCCTGAGTAGCTGGGGCTACAGGCACGTGCCACCACACCTGGCTAATTGTTTGTTTTAATTTTTGTAGAGAAAAGGTCTCACTATGTTGCCCAGGTTGGTCTCAAACTCCTGGCCTCGAGATCCTTCCACCTTGGTCCCCCAAAGGTGCTGGGATTACAGGCGTGAGCCACCACGCCCAGCCAGTTTTTATAATTAGTTGCTTGTATTGCATGATCATAGGAAACCCATGATTTCTTATCCCTTCATTTTCACTGATGAGAAAACTCTACGTAATACAAATGCTTACAGTTCTACAAACCTGGAGTATGGCACGCTACCTAGCTATTCAGAGCCATGTCCCATGGAAAGCTCTGCTGTCCTGTGGAGATCTGATGCAACAGGAAGGCATTGGCTCACATCAAGGAAGCAGTTCCGTGGTTTGCAGGCCCACTGCATAGGAGTCAAACTCTTTTTTAATGCATCTTCCTAAAATCCATTTTATTTTACATTACTTACAAGCTAAAATTTTACTTCAATTCAAAAGCCAGTAAGAAAATGTAGAAAACCCTTTAATGATCACAGAAAACCAGGTTCCTAACCAGATGATAAATTTTGATAAATCAATGATATCCAGATCACGACTTTAAATTCCCATTGGTCCACTGGACAATCAACATTATCACACACATGCCTGCTCACTTTGGCTGACCCAGCTGACTAAGTACAGGTCCGTATTGCCAAATTAAACATGGAGGAGAACGCTGACTTTTAGACAGCTTGCCTAAATTTAGTGTTAATTTGAACCAGCTTTTGAGCAAGTACAATTATGATTGGAACTTACTTCAGCCAAACAAAATTTTCTAGCTGGTCATGAGAGATTGTTTGAGCAATATAGAGGTGAGATTGCGAGGCAGACTAGGGAGTGTCACAGGGTCATCAGCCTACCCTCTGCCAATGTAAGATGGCTCCACAGTCTGTATACGGTTTGCCTAAAGCATGCTATAGCTCAATGACCATTCCAAGCTTTGCCCAGCCTTCTGCCTCCCATGTCATTCACTCATTCCTATTCCTGTGCCCAATGACCTCACTGCCTAATTTACTGATGAAAAATTAGGGCTAAAAGGCATTAGCTCCTGCCCTTTCCCTTGGCACTTGAACTATCTTTCTCTTGCTTACCTTTCATCCCTCCCTGTTTCCAAAGCTGTTCCCTAAATCTAGGCCCGAGCCTCATTCATTCTTGCTTTCCCAGGATCTTATTCTCTTAGTTATTAGCTAACAAATTTTTCTAAAATTTGTTTTCTCTACTGGCTCCTTCTGGATTGCCTTCAGACACACACACATTTCTTTTGACCAGAAAACATCTCTTGCTGTCCCCTTAAGCAGCCACCTTCTCTTCTCAATCCTTTTCATTGCCAAACTTCTGTAAGAACAATTTTTCTTGTTGTATGTCACACTATTACACCACAGTTGCCTGGAAAGCAAGAACCATAACTTATGTTAATATATATCTATCAATTGCCAAACACAGTATAATGTAGTGAGTGGGGTAGAGACTTTGGAGCCTAATAAGCCAGGGTTAAATTTGGGCTCACTAACTACTGTTTAATGTCATTGGGTAAATGTCTTAATCTTGCTGATCCTATGCTTTCTCAATTGTAAAGTGGAGATAATAATGCCTCTCTTGCTATACCGTAGAGATTAAATGAGATTATGTTTATTTAAAAAAAAAAAACCCTCGTCTGGTGTCTGGCACACAGTAGGTGCTCGGAAAAGCTGGTTCCCTTCCCATCTCTACTTATGGTAGGGATTCAGGTATTTGTTGAGTGAATGACTGAATGGTCTCCTGCATGTTTCAGTTAAGCCTTCAGTGGCCTGGCATCCACTTTTTGTTCTGTTTGATTCTTACTCTTTTCTTTGCCTTGTGTGTTTCAGGTTCACAACCAGTATCCAACTGAGTTTGAATTCAATCTCTATTACTTAAAGTTCTTGGCTTTCCACTATGTGTCTAATCGCTTTAAAACATTTCTCCTGGATTCAGACTATGAAAGATTAGAGCACGGTATGTGTCTGTATGCCCTTGTTTCATCTTTTTTGTTAGTTCTGCATGTTTTTAATGAAAATTCTAATAATGTAACTATCCCCAAGACTGACAAGCTGAGTTAAGGTTTAACTCTGAACTATGAATGTAGAGGAGTGGATAAGTGGCCAAATTCTGAAATTACGTGCCACGTTAGCTCTTAGCAGGTGGTCATTCCTATAGCATCTTTCTAAAATTAAATATGTTTACTATTTTGATACCTCAAAGTGATCACACTGTTTGAGAAGAAACATTTGACTCCTAGTTTTTCCAACCCTGATGCACTCTGGTAGGAAGGGTGCCTGCCCTTGGAGGCAGCTTGAATACAGCTAAGACCCTGTGCTCTAGACGAAACAGACCAGGGTAAAATCCCAGCATTGCCAGTTACCAACTGAGTATTTTGGGGAGGGGTTAAGTACCTCTCTGAGCCTCAGTTTCCTCATCTTTAAAACAAGGACAGTAATACCATCCCACCTGTCAGGGCCATGATGATCACATGAGGAAAAAGTTGTAAACTTCACACAGTCACTTAGCCTCTTAGCCCAATCACTAGCGCATAGTAAGCGCTCAATAAATTTTAGACATCACTCGCATTAGTAATGATAGTGATGAACTATTTTTTTAATAGCAATGATAGTTGTAATGAGTAGATTCTGAAAGTCAGCCCCGGTAAAAACATTTCCCAAGGGAATTTTACATTCTTACTTTTATAACTGTTACGGGGGAGAGGAAACACATGACCATTTTTGTTAAGCAAACGAAAATCAGTTCTGTTCAATATATTATATGCACTCAGTACCACAAAGAGGACTCTTAATTCCAAGAAAATATTTACTGATGTTCTCAGTTTTAAATCTGAAATCAGGAAATACCGCTTTCCAGGGCATCCTATTGAAATTGTCTAGTATGATACTGCATACTTTTGATAAGGGAAAGAGCACTGGTGAGACCATTTTCCACCCTGTTTATACTTCCAGACCTTTGTTGGCTCATGGAATTGTTATTCTTCACATCACAATCAGAAACCTTAATTTCTTAAGCATCTGCATACTGCTTATTGGGAAGGTAGTAAGTATAACTGGTTACAACTGCCCCAGGCCTGGTCTTTTTTTTTTTTTTTTTTTTTTTTTTTTTTTGAGACGGAGTCCCACTCACTGTATCACTCTGTCTCCAAGGCTGGAGTGCATTGGTGCGATCTTGGCTCACTGCAACCTCTATTTCCCAGGTTCAGGCAATTCTCCTGCCTCAGCCTCCCTAGTAGCTGGGATTAGAGGCCTGTGCCACCATGCCTGGCTAATTTTTGTATTTTTAGTAGAGACAAGGTTTCACCATGTTGGCCAGGCTGGTCTTGCACTCCTGGCCTCAAGCAGTCTGCCTCCCAAAGTGCTGGGATTACAGGCGTGAGCCACCACGCCTGGCCAGGCCTGGTCTTAAGTGGACTGACCTGTACCTACAGGGGTCACCATGTCACTCAGCTTTATCACTGAAAGGAACAACATGTACAAATATTGGGAGTAAAACGCAGGTATTTGCCTCCTTGGAGTAGTTGTGTTTTTTGGGGTTTTTTTGGTTTGTTTTTTTGTTTCGTGGGCAGGGGGGCAGTGGTATTTTGTTTTGTTTTGTTTTGTTTTTGAGGCAGGGTCTCCTCTGTCTCCCCGGCTGGAGTGCGGTGGCAGGATCTCGGCTCACTGCAACCTCTGCCACTGGGACTCAAGCGATATCCCACCTCAGCCTCCTGAGTAGCTGGGACCACAGGCATGTGCCCCCATGCCCACATAATTTTTGTACTTTTTGTAGACATAGGGTTCTGCCATCTTGCCCAGGCTAAGTTTTTGGTTTTTTAATAAAGCAGTTTGTTTTGCTGAATTAAGCTGATCAGCAAATTACCTTAGCAGCATGCAGATGTGGCCAAAGACCAAGGCTTCTCCTATAGCAGATGATGGTTCTCTTCATTAGAGAAGCAACAAGGTCTAGTGCAGTGGTTCTCAGACTTGACTGAACATTAGAATCACCTGGGGAGCTTTTAAAACTTCCAAGGTCCAGGCAACATCCCCAACCACTTAAATCAGAATCTGTGATGGTAAGGCCCAGGCATCAACAGCTTTTAAAACTCCCCAGGTAAGGCCAGGCACGGTGGTTCACGCCTGTAATCCCAGCACTTTGAGGAGGCCAAGGTGGGTGAATTGCTTGAGGCCAGGAATTCGAGACCAGTCTGGCCAACACGGCGAAACCCCATCTCTACTAAAAATACAAACATTAGCCAGGCGTGGTGGCATGTGCCTGTAATCCCAGCTATTTGGGAGGCTGAAGCACGAGAACTTCTTGACCCCATGAGGCAGAGGTTGCAGTGAGCTGAGATCGCACCAGTGCACTCCAGCCTGGGTGACAGAGTGAGACCCTGTCTCAAAAATAAAGAATAAAAAATAAAAACTCCCCAGGTGAGCCCATTATGCTGCCAAGTCTGAGACCCACCACTGGTCCCACGGGTAGAGCCGTAGATCAAGGATCAGAAAATGTCAGTAACTTTGGGTAAATTACTTCATCTCTGAGTCTCAGTTTTCTCATCTGAAAAACTAAACAGCCCTGCCTATCACACAGGGCTGTTGAAAAGATTAAATACAATGATGCGGATAAAAAGATATGTTTGGTATATATTGAAAGATTATCATGATTATTTGAAAATATAAGCATTTCCATCCTATGAAACATGTTTCCTCTTAAAACTCATAAACACAGGCTGGGTGCAACGGCTCACACCTATAATCCTAGCACTTTGAGAGGCTGAGGTGGGCGGCTTGCTTGAGCCCCAGGAGTTCAAGACCAGCCTGGGCAACATGACAAAACCCCATCTCTACAAAAAAAAAAAAAAAAAACACACACACACACACACAAATTAGCTGGGTGTGGTGGCGCACTCCTGTAGTTGCAGCTGTTCAGGAGGCTGCGGTGGGAGGATCACTTGAGCCCAGGAGGTCAAGGCTGCAGTGAGCCGAGATCACACCACTGCACTCCAGCCTGGGTGACAGGGTTGAGACCCTGTCTCAAAAACAACAACACATAAACATGCATTTCGAATCCTAGAATGTCATTGCCGAAGCCTCAGTAGAAATCATCTACCCAGCCTCCTCTCTGGATGTTAGGCCACCCACCTAATCAACATCAAGGAAGCCTAGTTTCGTGTCCCTAGTCCAGACTAGGTTGCCTACTTGAAGTCTGTTCCTTCTTGTGTTCTGGTAGATGCACTCGTTATCAGGCCTACAGTGAAACCTTGTTTAGGAACACCTGTGGTAACTACCCTCTATCTGCCAAAATGACGAAGTGGAGAGTAAGTAATCTCAACCACTGCTGGTAGAATTCATCAGTCATAATTTTTTTTTTTTTTTGAGATGGAGTCTCACACTGTCGCCAGGCTGGAGTGCAGTGGCACGATCTCAGCTCACTGCAACCTCCACCTCCTGGGTTCAAGTGATTCTCCTGCCTCAGCCTCCCGAGTAGCTGGGATTACAGGTGCCCGCCACCACACCCAGCTGATTTTTGTATCTTTAGTAGAGATGGGGTTTCACCATGTTGGCAGGCTGGTCTCAAACTCCTGACCTCAAGTGATCCGCCCACGTCAGCCTCCCAAAGTGCTGGGATTACAGATGTGAGCCACCGCACCACGCTGAGTCATAATTTTTAAGATTTTATCAGAAAAACTTAAACACAATGAATTCTCCTGTGTCCTAAAAGCTTAATATGTTGATTATTACATACTGGATTATAGGGTTATAATTTGATAGGATTTGGCACTAGCTGTCTGATTTGGACTGTTTTTAAGATGTTCCTTATATGTGTACATGTTGCCCTAAGCCAGCCATATGGATACTGTAAGAAAAGTCCATTGGACTTGGTTCCAATTACAAGATGTTACAACAGCCCTAAGGAACAGAGGGCCATGTATTGCATCTCCTCTTCTGGTTTCAGCTCATTCTCTTTCTGTCTACAAAGGTGCCTAGAGCCTATTTCAACTTGGGCTGACTACCACACAGCCTTTCAGTCTAATCCATGCCTCAAGGCGCCAAATGGAGCAATATACAAGGTGGCTTTCAAAATCTTACTGCAACCCCTAGAGCATTTGCAACTTTGGACATTGGAGTTACTTGAACTTTTAAAATAACTAATATCTCGGGCCATCCCCAGAGATTCTGATTTAATTGGTCTGAGGTGAGACCTGGACACTGGGATTTTTTTAAAGCCCTTGGTTTTTTAAATCCATGTCCAAGGTTGAGAACTACTGCACTGGACCCTGCAGTTAAAAGGTAGAGAAGAAACTGTTAATTAGTCTTAGGGGCCCCACATATTATAGAATTTCATGCCATCTTGGGCTTGAGTCTTTTTTTTTTTTTTTTTTTGATAAACTGGTAAAATGCATGTTGATTTTGACTATGTCACTTCATTCCAAGCAAGACACCACTGCTGAGACACCCTTCATGGCCTTTTAAAGAACTACTTTTTGCCTCACCCCAACACATTTTCCTCCCTATTAAAAACAAAGTGGGCTCATGTTAGTAATAGATTGACTATTTGAAAAAGGTATAAAAGTTCTGCTTTTATTTTTAAGTCACCCAAGGACACAGACTACACGCTTCTGTCATCTAGAGTCTCAGTAACCATGATCTGCAGTATATATACACTGCTAAACAAGAAAACTCTTTAAATGGCTTCATAATAAACAAACAGCCAACAACTTAAAAGAGAAACATAAAATTATGTTTTTTACTGAGCTTCATCAAATCAACTCTGAAGTCCTTCCATTTTCTCTTGAAAAGTGTAGACTGCCTCCTGCATGGACTTCTTTGAATCTAGATATAGATGCAGGATGAGGGTTGGAAGAGTCATGATTGATAGACTGCTGGCTGCTTAGGCAAACTTTATCAGATGTTTCCTCCATCTGGATCTGTTTCCCTGTAGCGATGAAATTCATTCCGGTCTTTAGCTTTGCAGTTATTTTCTAAGGTTTTCACACAAATGTTGCTGTTTTTAAAGCCATAAAAAATATTCCACTTTTTTATCTGCTGCATGCATCATACGTTTTTTGGCAAAGTGTGAATTTATTTAATTTTGTTTTGTTGGATTTTTTTAATCTACAGGAACTTTATTTGATGATAAAGGAGAAAAGCATGCCAAAAAAGGAGTCTGTATTTGGGAATGTATTGACAGAATGCACAAGAGGAGTCCCATTTTCTTTAATTATTTATATTCACCATTGGAAATAGAGGTAGAGTAAGAAATCATTTATGTTTCACTTTCTGAAATTTTGTGTTAAGGTTTTCCTTAGTTTTAACATATATAAGCAGTTTAAGCTTTTTATAAACATTGGACTAGGTTTCATACCAAAAAGCTATTTCAAAGTTTGAGACACTATAGGTTTGGGTTGTGACACAAATGGAGACTGTTCCCTAAATTCTTGCCACAAAAATTAGGAGCTGGCTCTCAAAACCTAGAAGGGAAAACTTGCAGAGAATCAAAGCAAGGCACCTTTCCCCAGAAAGAAAGAACTAACAAAATTTGAAATATCAACAGGTGGTCTAAGCTGAAAAACCTTAAAATACTTTAGAAAAGGTTTCTTTAAGTTCATCTGTACCAAAGCCATGGAAGGACCCCTGTAGGAAGCAGAGATATTCGGAGCCAAGCCCAAGAAGGATAACATATCTCGGGGCAACTGCCCCACCATGCACATCTACATAACACACGCCCTGGAATGCAACAGACTGGTCTGATAAGCAGTTCCACCATTACTTAGGGCCAAGAGAGGCCCCTCCCCTGGGCCCCAATCATAGAACCCTAGTCTGGCCTTCCTCCAGCTGCATCCTCCTCATGGAGGTGAGCAGTACAAGAAACCAAAGGTACATGCTTAGATGCCCCTCCTTCATCTAAACCATACTCTGTCTGGGTACTTCAGAATTCTTTGCCCAAATTCAGGCTGCTCACCAGGCTACTTCTCCAAGTCAGTCTCCTAAGTCAGTGCATGGACCCCAAGGCCCAAAGAATGGCAAAAAGTAGCAGGTTTGACAGAGTGGACAGAGTTTGACTTTGTGGGCTGGGGTATACATAATGATTCATGTTAAGACCCTTAGAATGTAAGATAGGGGTGGGTGGAGAAGAGAGGCCAAGGACAGGGGGCTGGGGCCAGCTCCTCCAGTGCTACCACTTGTTAGTATAAAATTCTGAGGAATCCAAGAATTCTCTATTGAACTTGACCTTCTACGTCATTAGGAAGTTACATTTCTCAATGTAGGAGGGAGGATTGGAGAATGTTTTATTTAATAATTTATCTTGATGTATGATTTTTAAATATTTAGAAATATGGTATTTGAACTCCATTCATACTCTTCCTCCCCTGGACTCTATAAATGTTAGGGGTTTGCCTGACAGTGAGCTTGGGGTACTTTGGGGTCAAGATGAAACTATATTTCTGTTTTCTTTAACAGGCTCTAAAGCCCAATGTAAACGTCTCTAGCCTCAAGAAGTGGGATTACTACATAGAAGAGACCCTGTCCACAGGCCCTTCCTATGACTGGATGATGCTAACCCCCAAGCACTTCCCCTCCGAAGACTCTGACCTGGCTGGAGAAGCTGGGCCACGGAGCCAGAGGAGAACAGTGTGGCCATGCTATGATGATGTCAGCTGTACTCAGCCTGATGCTCTCACCAGCCTTTTCAGTGTAAGTCAACTGTAGACACACACCTAGGGGCACCAGGGGCCCTGGAGGCATGAGGGCAAAGGAACCAGGCTAAGTAACTTCTGAACATGGCTCTCCTTACTCTGAGCTAGGGTTATGGTTATGAAGAAACCAGATTTGCTCCCCATCATCAGTGGGGGACCAGGCTTCACTACTGGAAAAGAGTCTCAATAAAAGTGATTTTCCAGCCTGGCGCGGTGGCTCACGCCTGTAATCCCAGCAGTTTGGGAGGCTGAGGCGGGCAGATCACAAGGTCAGGAGATCGAGACCATCCTGGTTAACACAGTAAAACCCCATCTCTACTAAGAAATACAAAAAAAAAAAAAAAATTAGCCGGGCGTGGTGGCGGGCGCCTGTAGTCCCAGCTACTCGGGAGGCTGAGGCAGGAGAATGGCATGAACCTGCGAGGCGGAGCTTGCAGGGAGCAGAGATCACGCCACTGCACTCCAGCCTGGGTGACAGAGCAAGACTCCGTCTCAGTAAAAAAAAAAAAAAAAAAAAGTGATTTTCCAGCGTTACAAGAAAGCAATCAAGCAAATAGAGCAATTTACTCCTTCCAGCAGCTTCCCAGCTGTTTTAGTTGCCCGAGCAGCCTTAGTCAGGTCTTGGCTGTGGCTTCTGTGGGTGCTTTACTTCCTCTGGTCAGAAGTGTGGGTAGTCAGTGGCCTGATGGGAGTGCTGTCAACCATCTTCTGCAAGGAATGTTCCGGAACCAACCCCTCCTGGCAGTAGCCAGCCTGAGGAATAGCTTTGAGCCCTGATATGGGCCAGACAGTTCCTAAAGAGTCTTCCCCATCTGGCTTCCTGACCAGGAAGAGTATGCTTCAGTGGTCATACAGTCACAGAGGCAGCTGCCCTGATTTCCAGCTTCCCTGTCAGAAGGTATATCTGTTTCCTTGGGCATTTCTTGGTTCATTCTTTCCACATCTGGTTTGAATCATCAGAGTTGAGGGGTTCCTCCTGTCAAGGACTGGCTTCTCATCTACCTCAGCTATTAGGGCTGGGCCACGGGCCAGTGCTTGACCTCTTGCTTTGGCTATCAGATTTCCCATGGGCTGCCCAAGGGTGCAGATGTCTGAGATACATATTTCACATCCTAGTATGTAAGCTATCCTGTACAAAAAGGCCTAGTTATAGGTCCTAATAAACCATCTTTGCCACAGTACGGCACACCAACTAGAGCTCTCACCACTATTCCTGGCTGGGAGACCTCACAGGCCCATGTCCACCACTTTCCTCAACTGCCCTCTGGCCATGCTGCTCATCTGGGCCTAGTACAGAAGCAGTGTGGCTTTGGGGCCCATCCTGATTTCTATGAAATACTGATCAGAAAACTTTTAATTTCTTTGCAGGAAATTGAAAAATTGGAGCACAAATTGAACCAAGCCCCTGAGAAGTGGCAGCAGCTGTGGGAAAGGGTAACCGTGGACCTTAAAGAAGAACCAAGAACAGATCGCGTGAGTTGGCAATGCCCCTTGAGAGCCACTTCTGAGCTTTCTGAGGGTGCTAAGTCAGGTGGAGCCTGCTGCCACAGGTGACAAGACCCAGCTGGGTTTATGGCCAGAAGGAAGGGTGGAAAGGGGAGGGGTCATGTCCTGGAGGTCCAGGGCAGAAAGTTCCAAATGACTGAATACTTCCTGAGTGTCTCACTTCACCACAGTGACATAATACTTATGTCTCAGCACCCCGAATCCAAGGAAAAGTATTGGGTTCTTTTCTATCTCAGTGCCCGTGTGGTTTCAGCTGATCTTCTACCACATAAGGCAGGAGGGGAATGCCAAGACCACGTTTGCTCCACAGAAAGTATTTTAAAACAACAAAATATGCTACCCTGTGTTGTTCACAGTCCCTTTTCTGTTTCTGACTTAAGAAACATTTATCATAAAAATATTTTAACGGCCGGGTGCGGTGGCTCACGCCTATAATCCCAGCACTTTGGGAGGCCGAGGTGGGCGGATCACGAGGTCAAGAGATCGAGACCATCCTGGCCAACATGGTGAAACCCCGTCTCTACTAAAAATACAAAAATTAGCTGGGTGTGGTGGCGCATGCCTGTAATCCCAGCTACTCAGGAGGCTGAGGCAGGAGAATCTCTTGAACTCAGGAGGCGGAGGTTGCAGTGAGTGAGCCGAGATCGTGCCACCACACTCCAGCCTCGTGACAGAACAAGACTCCGTCTCAAAAAAATGTATATATATATTTTAAAACCAAATACTCTGTTTTCTGCTTCTCATACCCCATTTCCTATTTCTGATTTAAGAAACATTTATCAAGCACATAATATGTGGAAGGGTCTGTGCTTAGTACAGTACACACCTTCGTATCCTATTTAATCCACTGTGAGGGAATGGCGTTCCCTCTCCTACACAAGGAACAGGCACAGAGAGCATACAGTGGCAACTGGTAGAGCCACCAATCGAACCCACATCAGACTGGCTCCAAATGCAACAGAAGGGAAATTAGGACAGATGAGTGTTCTGAAGAACAGTTCAGGAAGAAGAGGCCAGCAGGTCAGATGTTACAGAAAGGTCAAGAAGAATGGAGGGTAGAAGAAAACCTTTGTGGTAAAAAAAGAACATCTGGGGCTCTATCTCTTACCCTCAAATAGCAATTCAGGAGCTGTTATCAGACAGACAACAGGTGGGTGATGCCTTAATGCTTTTTTGTTAGAAAAATAATAGTTTATTGATTTTTTCTAATAATGAAAGTAATAATGTTCATTTTTTTGAAAGAACACACAGAAAGTTATAAAAGATGAGAATCACCCATAATTTATAACCTAGAAGTAAACCACTATGCTATCAAACTTGTTTTACCCTTATAAATTCACATATAAAAGAGATTTTCTAGACATACTATTTTAAACCTGCTTTTTCACTCCACGTTGGCATACGTGTCCTTCCAACTGTCACTGTGTATAAACCAGTGTCTGCCAGGCGCAGTGGCTCATGCCTGTAATCCCAGCACTTTGGGAGGCCGAGGCAGGCATGAAGTCAGGAGTTCGAGACCAGCATAGCCAGCATGGTGAAACTCTGTCTCTACTAAAAATACAAAAAATTAGCCAGGCATGGTAGTGTGTGCCTGTAATCCCAGCTACTTGGGAGGCTGAGTCAGGAGAATCACTTGAACCCAGCAGGCAGAGGTTGCAGTAAGCCGAGATCATGCCACTGTACTCCAGCCTGGGCGATAGAGTGAGACCCTGTCTCAAAAAAAAAACCATCAACATCTTTATTTTTTTTGAGATAGTGTCTCACTCTGTCACCTAGGCTGGAGTGCAGTGGCGTGATCATGGCTCACTGCAGCCTCAACCTCCAGGGTTCTGGTGATCATCCCAAGTAGCTGGGACTACAGGCACACACCACCATACCTGGCTCATTTTTAAAATATTTTTTGTAGAAATGGGGCTTCGCCATGTTGCCCAGGCTGGTCTCGAACTCCTGGACTCAAGTGATCCACTCACCTCGGCCTCCCAAAGTGCTAGGATTACATGCATGAGCCACCACGCCTGGTCATAGCAGCATCATTTTTTAATGGCTGTCTAGAATTCCACTGTATGGAAATGCCATAATTTGTTTAATGTCCCTAATAATGGACGTGTAGGTTGTTTCCAGTTTTTTACCACGATAACTAACTCTGAGATTGATACCTTTGTACATTATTGTTGCTTATTAGTCCAGTTTTTTCCTTGAGATAAATATTTGTAAATGAAATTTTCCAGTCAGTAGTTTAAGTGTCTGTAAAGGTTTCCTAGCTCCTGTCCTGTCTTTTTCAGTCCCAAAGACACCTGTCGAGATCCCCAGGAATTGTGTCTACCAACCTACCTTCCTATCAGAAGAGGTCTCTGCTACATCTCCCAGACAGCAGCATGGGGGAGGAACAGAATTCCAGCATCTCCCCATCCAATGGAGTGGAGCGAAGAGCAGCCACGCTCTATAGCCAGTATACATCCAAGAATGATGAAAACAGGTGACATGCTGAACCCTGCTCGCTGTGCTGAAGACTTCCCCACAGCACCTGAGGCTAAACCACAGGTCCCTCAATAAGCTAGGCCTGTGCAGTACAGCCTTTTATAAACTTGAAATGGATTTGCTTTAATTTTTGTAATGTTTTAGATGTTTCTTTGAAAAGACAAAAAACAAAAATTACAACTAAAAATAATTCGAAGAGGTTGTAGTTATTTGTAGTTGAGTCCTGATGGCTCTTATCTCCTGTCTGCCAGAACGTTTGAGGGAACATGTGTCAGCCAGCACTTTGTCAGTGGCACACATCAGAAATCCAGCTTATGCTAGCTGAAGCAAAAAGGAATTTACTCACATAAGCTAGGACAGCCAAGGGTATGCTAGCTTCTCACACAGTATCTTCTATCCACTTCCTGGCTCTGCTTTGCCCTCTCTCTGTGTTATGTCAGTCCCAACATGGCACAAAGGATGGCTACTGATCATTCCAAGCCTCACAGATGTGGTAATCCCAGCAGAAAGCAGCAGTCTTTCCCCAGAGGTCTAGCAGAAAAAATCCAGGGAGAACTCTTATAGGCCATTTTTGAATCATCTAGGGGAAATAGAGACTTGACAAAAACAACAGATATCCCCTCCCCTTTACAGCATTTTGTAAGTGTAAATCAAAATTAACTCTCCTGTCATCATTTCTTCTAGGTCCTTTGAGGGAACACTTTATAAAAGAGGGGCTTTGCTGAAAGGTTGGAAGCCCCGTTGGTTTGTTTTGGATGTAACAAAACATCAGGTAATACTCTTAAAGCCAAAAGAAATTACTTCTGTCTAGGCTAGTCCCAGTCCCTGGCTATTATGTGGCTCTAGCAGACAGATAGATTCCTCATGTACAGACTGCTTTTTTAGTGCCTCTCATATGTAGTCTGGAGGCTCCTCAAGGGCCCCAGATGTCCCTGAGTAAGGGCAATAGCCTTCTGAGGGAGTTTCCCAAGTAGCTCGGCCTGGTACATGCAGGCAGAGGCAGCAACAATTGAGCCCAGAGCATAGAGCAATAGAACTCTTTTTTTAATGCTCAAATATCTCTTGCTGCCTGATCTTAACACCCAGGTGAGGGGATTCCTGAGGTTTTCAGCCAGTTGCATACATACCACATGCACATATAAGCCTATGCCTGTGAACACTCCCCAGAATACAAGTTACCTTCGTCCTCGCAGCAGAAAGCATCCATTCAAAACAGAGGGCATTAATTTATTCTACAAACATTTATCGAACACCACCTCTGTGCCCACTGCTGTACTGGTTACTAAAGGAGGCACTGTTACCCTTCAAAGATGGCAGCAACAGGGGAGTAAAGGGGCCCCAAAAGCGGCAGAAGGGGATGTGCCCACCCAAACTTGGAATTCACCGTGGGCAAGTACTAGACTGGTCCTTGCTGACTATGTCAAGAAATCTTTTGACTACTGTTAGGTTCTTAGCTATTCCTGTAGCAGCCTCTGCAATCCTTAGCATCATAGTCTTTACTCCAGTGATTTCAAGGGAGAGCAGTTCCTACCCAAACCTCCAGCAACTCTGCACCCTGCATTACTGAGAGCTGCATGGTCTCCTGTGTTCTGACTGCAGGCCTTAACTCCACCTTGGGACTGACCACTCAGCCTTGAGGCTGAGGCTTACACATTTTGATTCTCAATGCATTTATCTATAAAATGGAATCTGTTAGGAAAAACCTGAACTGTTACTCCTGTACAGTGCTTTGGTTGGACCTGCATCTAAAAGACTCCTTCCAAATGAAGACTGTATTTGGAGTCCAGCTTTTCCTCTGCTCAAGGAGTTTCATAACGATTACAGAGTCTTTGTGGGACAATATAGATAGATAATTTATGTTCAAATATACAAATGGAAGCCCTGTTAGGGAGCTATACTCTGAAATCATAGAGCCTACACTGTGTAAAAAAGTTCCATTAAGCTTCTAAATATAACATAGGAGAATGTCATAATTTTTCTATAATTTACATCAAATTACACTTGCATTCTTACCAGTCTTCTGGACTTCTTTAACATGAAAGATAGATACAGTTTTTTCCACTTAGCCCTGCTCATACCATGCCTGAGAGGAGAGACAGAGAAAAGTCTCAGGTCAGAGCCACGGTATCAGAAGCACCACTTTCTTGCCATGTATACTAGAGAGTGAAATCCACAGATTATGGCCCAATAAGGCTTATTCCCTAGCAGTCTCTTTGACTTTTTTCCTTTTTTCTTTTTTTTTTTTTTTCTTTTGAGACAGAGTCTCGCTTTGTCACCCAGGCTGGAGTGCAGTGGTGCAATCTCGGCTCACTGCAAGCTCCACCTCCTGGGTTCTCGCCATTCTCTGGCTCAGCCTCCCGAGTAGCTGGGATTACAGGCGCCTGCCACCATGCCCAGCTAATTTTTGTATTTTTAGTAGAGACGGGGTTTCACCATATTGGTCAGGCTGGTCTCAAACTCCTGACCTCAAGTGATCCACCCGCCTCAGCCTCCCAAAGTGTTAGGATTACAGGCATGAGCAACCGTGCCCGGCCTGGAAAGATGTTTCAATAGGCATAAACATTCTAAATTTTAGTTGATATTGCCAAATTGTTCTCCAAAAAATTTCTAACAAATTATATTCACACTGGCAGTATTTGAGATGATCTAGTACCTTATTGGATATCATCAGCCATTTTTAATATTTCTCAATCCAAAAGTGAAATCTCATTTATTGTCATTTATTTTTCTTTGATTAATGAGGTTGATCATCTTTTCAGATGTTTATAGATCATTTGTATTTCTCTGTGACTCGCCTGTTGAGATATTTTGAGCATTTTTCTACTTTATCTTTTTCTTATCAATTTCTGGGAATTCTGTATATTACTAAACATTAGCCCTCTTTTTATATGTTACATATACTTTTTACAGTTGTTACTTGACTTCTTTTTTTTTTTTTTATTTTTTGAGACAGGGTCTTACTCAGGCTGGAGTGCAGTGGCAGGATCTCAGCTCACTGCAGCTCGACCTCACAGGCTCAAGCAATCCTCCCACCTCAGCCTCCTGGGTAGCTGCAACTACGGGCATGCACCACCACGATTGGCTGATTTTTGTATGTTTTTGTAGAGACGGGGTTTCACCATGTTGCCCAGGCTGGTCTCGAACTCCTGGGCTTAAGTGATCCGTCCACCTTCACCTCCCAAAAAGGACTGGGATTACAGGCATAAACCACCATGCCCAGCCTTGATTCTATTTTTTAAGATGTAATACATTTATTTGTTTGATTTTCAAACAGTACATAAGTCTTTCCCCCAATGCTTTCTCCAAGCCACCTAGTTCTTCCTAGAAGCAACAAGTATTATTAATTAATTTTTTGTGTATTCTTCGAGGCATAGTTCAGCATATATAACCAAGGTACAGAGGAAGGTATTCAAATGCAGTTTGAAAAGCCATGGCATTTTCTCTTTCTGTCTCTTATATCTCACTTGTATCCTTTTGGTTCCAGCTGCGCTACTATGACTCAGGTGAGGACACAAGCTGTAAAGGCCACATTGATCTGGCTGAAGTAGAAATGGTCATCCCTGCTGGCCCCAGCATGGGAGCCCCAAAGCACACAAGTGACAAGGCTTTCTTTGATGTAAGTTGATCTTACTTCTCTTTTCCTGGCTCTGTCTGCACATCATTCTGTCTGTCTCCAAGAATGATGGAGCCCTCAGAGTAATTGGTGGTGACTACAGATGGATGACAGACCCCCTTGGCTATGGGAATTGTTCCAGAGCTTGAACTCAGCATTATTGACCCCCAAGGCTATCCTCTCTTCCTGTCTGTATGTCTCAGAAAAGCTACATATTGCTTTGTGCAAAAGGAGTCCAGCGCACATGGAAACAGATGAACTCCTTGTTAAATGTTGTTAGTTATTTCAGTCACCACCTACTTTCAAGAACAGATGCTATTTCCCTAGTATTCAGTGGTCTTCGTGCTTGACTACCCACAAAAGACTGTCCTTAGTCACACATGATAAGTGTCTACGCTAACATCTTCAGCAGCCCTTAGGTAGGCCATGGGGCACTTTATAGGCCACATAATAGAAGGAGACTTATGTAGTCCCTGGAGTCAAGCAGGGCTTTATAAAGAGGATAGGTCATCCTCTATGGCCCTGCTCAGGCCATGAGACCGTTTTCCTGACAGTGGGCTTCCAATATGGCTCCAACTAAAGAAAGGGGACACGAAGGCCAACTTTATGGTATGCATGAATCTCAGGCATCCCCCTGGAGCACAAGGAGCTCCCTCACCTTCAGTGCATTGGTGCAGTGCATGGGAAAGGTTAAAGGCACCATTCATTGCTGACCCTTCCTCCTTAGTCAAAGACGACACTAAGAAAATGCAAAATAAGGCGCTCCCAGTGTGTCTCCCTTTCCTGCCAGTACCCTTCTATCAACATCCCCTATGACTCTAGAGACCACAAAAGTAAAGGCAATAACAGTATGGTAGTTGAGGAAGAAAAATTCATACAGACGTTCTGGGGCAGTATGGAAAAGAAAGGTCACAGGAACTGATTTACCACTTACCCAAATCCATAAAACAGCCCTGCCCTTCATCTCTGGTTCACTGTCATTTGGTTTTGTAGCTCAAGACCAGCAAACGTGTGTATAACTTCTGCGCCCAGGATGGACAGAGTGCCCAGCAATGGATGGACAAGATCCAGAGTTGTATCTCTGATGCCTGATGCCCATGGTCAACCCACGCAGAAGAAACAGAAGAACTCATGCTGCCAGATAGATAGAAAAAGAAGCATGGATCCTTGAGGAGCTGACAACAAGTTATCCCAGGGCCTGAGGTTCTCCTGCCCAGTCCCCTCTTGCAGGGGTTGCTATATCTACTTAACCTGAATAGGTGTTTCACACAGGTCTGGTCAACAGCCCCATGCACTCCCTGTATCTTGCACTAAATTTTTCTAACAGGGTCTTAGTGGTTAATGATCAGAAGATGTCTCCTGAGCCAACTGTGAACCTCACCCAGGCAAAATGGCTACCACCTACTTGGGTCCTTCTTCATGAAAGCTATAGATCCTTTTTTGTTCTCTGAGGTCATAATTTCCTCGGAGACCTGTTTAACAAGCAAAAATCAAAACCCTCCAAGATTGTCTCATATTCTACCTGGACTAGGTTTCCTATGAGAGACATCTACTTGTAATGCCTGACCTTTGAGATGCTCAGTTCTCTGGTGCTGCCAAAAGATGCTTCCATGGTCCGTGCTCTGCCAGTGGGGTTCACAACAAGAGACGTCATTGTTCAGTAGCAGGCAAAGAGGGAGCACACAGCATTATTCTGATGGAAAAAGATTATCCAGGGAATGGTACAACAATGACCAGCCCAATGCAGGAAAACACTACTTCCAAAACACTGAATTCTCTAGACCAGAGGTGCTCTGAGGATCCAGGGCCTTGTGTTCTTATGTATCTTCTGCTTCCTGACAGCTTCTTTTTCAAAATAACATGCAAAAAAAGCTGAATGCACTAACTCACAAAACAAACACTTGCACTGAATTCCCAATGAAGTGAAGATGTTGGAAAGACAGAGGCCAGCTATTTAGGACCATACGCACCTGTGACAAGGGCTGTGTTGACCACAGTCACACTGTGGCATGACTGGATACCCAAACTACACTTCTACACATGAAAAGTAAGAACTGTCTTTAGATTTTCTTTACTTTGATAACTTGTGATTGTTTAGCTTAAGACCCAAGAAATGCTGTTTGCTCATGGTAAACAGAAACAGCATCTTCGCTACAACCACTGACACCAGCTGGCGTCATAGGTAGCTAGATCATTGCATTTGTTTTGAAATGTTAATATGTTAAATACTAAACTAATATTTCAAAAATGTGTATATATGATTTCTATATCCTTGTTTTTCAGATAGCCTGCTTATAATTTAATATAAATTAACTGATGCATTCATAAGATTTCAATAATGAAATGGTTCCCTTTTAAAAAATAAAAATACTTTGTAGATTAAAAATAAATCAGAATTTCAAATTTAAAATTGTCCACACACTAGGAAATAGAACTGTGTTAATATATAAGAAATCTGGGGATAATTAAGAATGAAGGACTTTTCTATCATTTCCATTTTATAAATTGCCACCTGTGAAAATGGTTTTTGCACATTATTTGTATTTTTCTTTGTATATGAAATAATTTTTTGTACTTTGTAAAATATGGAGCCCATTGTACCTTCAGCTATTTGAGACTATACACAGTGCTTCTTTTGTAACTGGATTACTTTAACTTTCGTGAAGGCATTACATTGCCTCACATTCACTAACCACCTTGAATTAAATTTATTTCTTAAGAAAAAGCATCCCTCATTTACTGTGAACTAAAGTTCATTCTGTAGTGCACAGCATTCAGGAGGGTAACACTCAGGATTCATACATGGGACTAAAGGTTCAAGAATAAAACAAAGCATGACCCACTTTGTTCCTTCATTCTCCTAATGTCATCACTGCCCTTTGCTCAAGAAGTAACTAGGGATACTGGACATGTTAGCATGAGCTTCTGGGTTCCAGACACACTTCTGCAGAGTTTAGGTAAGAGACTTGAGGCCAAGATTCTCATATGTGCTGCCACTCCTACCACTGTCTCTAATAAGCTGTTTGAAATTGCTTAAGTCCCTTACCTATTCTGGGTCCATTCCACCACCCAGAGTATATGGTAATTTGTGAAAATTTTAGGCATGAGACATTGAAGTCTGTTTGAGCAGCAGATTTTTCTGCTTCAGGGAACTTTTTTTTTTTTTTTTTTTTTGAGACAGAGTCTCACTCTGTTGCCCAGGCTCTGGAGTTCTGGAGTGCAGTGGCGCAATCTCGGCTCACTGCAAGCTCCACCTCCCGGGTTCACACCATTCTCCTGCCTCAGCCTCCCAAGTAGCTGGGACTACAGGGGCCCACCACCACGCCCAGCTAATTTTTTGTATTTTTAGTAGAGATGGGGTTTCACCGTGTTCGCCAGGATGGTCTCAATCTCCTGACCTCGTGATCCACCCTCCTCGGCCTCCCAAACGGAATTGTTAAACAGTACAAATGATCAGTGATTTCAGTTCTAGACAGTACTTCCTTGGTTAAGCCCATGAGTTTACCTCATGTAGCCAACAGAGAATGCAAGTTTTCATCTAGGGCAGAGCCTTTAAGTCCTTTGACATCCAGAGTCCTCTGAGCCAAGCAAGAGGATCCCAAATAGCCACTGAGGCTCAAGGTGAGATAGATAGTGACATATTCCCTTGAGCTTTCGGTTCTCCTCAGTCTCAAGAGCATGCTGATCTAGCCAAGGGCCCTCAAGCCTTTCCTTGGTCCTAGGCCTCTCAACAGCTACCATTACACATTGCCGTGTCCCTGAGATTCAGTCAGGAGGGAGACAACTGGGATTAGGGGTTGAGTAGAAGCTGTGTTCACAGCGTCAGTATCTGGATGCCCTTCATTCCTCAGGTCTTAACTGTGAACGGGGAGAATACTGGGTTCTGTAAACAAAAATAAAATTCCAAGCCCCCCAGATGACTGAATGGACCCCCTCTCAGCCAAGGGGGTTCCAGAGAAACCTGAAAAACGAGTTCCAGCCATGATGCTCGGGCAAGGAGGTAGACATGCCTCTTTATACCCTCTCCCTTTTGGAGTTTAGACACAACAGACCAGCATTAACATTAAAACAGATCTTAAGACTGACAAAATAGACTGTCACAATAAAATACCAAATTCCAACCTGACTCTAGTATAGCATCACACAACAGATAGCAAGCCCTGAAGGAAATCAAAGCTTTTTTAATCCCAAAATACATTCCTTTTACATATTTTGAAATGGCCCTGCAAAGCTGTATCTTGTGCGGGGGGAGGGGATTTACATTCTGTAGAGGATCCCTTTCCCTTCCCCGGTGTTTTTCTGATCCTGAAGAGATTAGCTAAGAGTCTAGTACCTTTTATTAAAGGTCTGAATAGGAAATATTTGCTATCTGTTGCCTCTAAGGGCAGCCACCTATGAGACTTCATCTACCTAAGAACCTAGGTCTCTACAACCCCTTATCTTAACCCAGACTCTCCTTTCAATTAATTTCAGCCTTTTAGATAATAACTCTTTCAGCCAATTGCCGATCAGAAAATCTTTGAATCCACCTGTGACCTGTAAGCTTCTGCCTTTCCAGGCCAAATCAATGTATACTTCACATGTGTCGGTTGATGTCTTATGTCTCCCTAAAACATATAAAAACAAGAGCCTTTAACCCAACTACCTTGGGCTTGTATTCTCAGGACCTCCTGAGGCTGTGTCCTGGGTCATGATCCTTAACCTTGGAAAAATAAATCTCTAAATTGATTGAGACCTGTCTCATATACTTTTTTGCTTTACAGTTCCAAGGGAGAAAGACCAGGGCTTGGCAACCTGCAGAAGCCTTAACAGGGCCCTTCCTTCTGTGGTCCCAGTGACAAAACCCTTCTAATAATGGGCTCTTGAAAGATGCAAACTCAAAGGAGCACATAGCATAAGTCACTTCCCAACCCCTTTGACCCAAATCCTTTATTCCCACCTCCCAAACCCCTTCACTCTATTGTCTCCACTCCAGAGCTAGAGCTTAAACTGCTAATAACATGGCACATTTGCTTCTCAAGGGAAACTGACATTTATAGGTATTTAATCAGGGATTCTTGTAAGAGTTACTAAGTAGCCCTATCATCCCATAAAGAATTTCTGAAAGATCCCAAGCTGATAACAGAGAAGTGCCCTCAGCAATGCCAGCCAAAGCTATGAATTAAGCAGTGAATAAAGCAGTGTTGACGAAGAGATAGGGTTTACAGCAGCACCATCAAACATATATAATGCAAGCCCCATAGATATCTTCAAGTTAAAAAAAGACATTAATTTTAATATATTTGTTTTTACCATATGTTTACTCCAATATATCAAAAATATTTTAATGAGTAAACAATACCAAAAAAAATTAATGAAATATATTCCTTGTTCATACTAAATCCTCAAAATCTAGTGTGTATTTTATACTTACAGCACATCTGAGTTTGGACTAATTTTTTTTTCAGAGGCCATTTCTGATAAAACAAATGCATGTCATGTTTCTATACCAGTTCTCCAACATCAACTGGACATCCAACAATTCAGTTCAAGTCTGACACTAACTCCCCGGATTTAGCGTAGACTCCACAAGTTCAGGTCTGTCCTCAAGACTGCCCCCACTTCAAACACTAGTTGCAAGTTCCAAGGGCCACCAGAACTTCTAACCAACCAGCTATAAATATGAAGGTTTCCACAATCCCCCCTCCTCAGGTTCAGTAATTTGCCAGAACAAATCATATAACTCAGGAAAACACTTTACTTACATTTACCAGCTTATTTCTAAGGGATACACCTCAGGATCAGCCAAAGGGAAGAGATGCATGGTATGGAGGGAGGCAACACACCACCTGCCCAGCATCTGATGTGTTCACCAACCCAGAGGCACTCCTTATCTCATTATTCAAGAGTTTTTACAACCCAGTCTCAAGTTACCCTCCCTCCCCCGAGGTTGGGGGTGGCTGAAAGTTCCCACCCTCTATTCACTTGTTTGGTCTTTCAGATGACCAGCCCACATCCTTAACCTAGCTAGGGACCCCACCCTGAATCACCTTGTTAGCATAAACTCAGGTGTTGCGAAGGGCAGTTATGAATAGCAAAAGATACTCCTAAAGGGTGGGGTGTGTTAGGAATAACAAACTATCACTTAGGGAATTTCTAGGGTTTTAGACACTGTGCGCCAGGAACCCAGAACAAAGGACAAATATATTTTGTACTCTACCACAACTAGCCTTATTTCCACTGCTACCACACTAAACAATGCATATTTACAGCAAATAGCCTGCTCACAGCAGAGCCTGCGGGGGTAGGGAAGAGCTGGGTGGCAAGAGACCTGGCTTCTAGTGCTGGCTCTCTTCTAATGTAATCTATGACCTTGAATCAGTCCCTTAACTTTGCTGGGCTTTGACTTATAAAAATGCAGGACGCAGATGATCTGTTACTTTGTGATTCCAAATATTTACCTTGGCAAGGACTCAGTTTCCAAACTGAGATTTAAAGGATTTGCTGAAAAATCCAAATCATCTAAATCAGTGCATCTCAAATTGTAATGCATACATGAATCATCTTGTTAAAATGAGATTCTGATTCAGTAGGTTTGGGGTGGGGCTTGACATTCTGCGTTTCTAATGAGGCCAGTGCTGCTGGTCCACGGACCACAGCATTGGTCCTTGGTAACAGAATTGTTCTTGGAGTAACAGGAATGTGTCTCAGTCCTCTGAGAAGCAGATGCCTGATAGGCAGGAACTCTGGGGAGGCTGGAAGAGCCAAGAGACGATGATGCTGGTGTAATCCTTGTGAAAAAGAAAGGGAAGCAAAGATGAGTGGAGGAGACTTGGAGTGCAGTGCAGTTCTAAGGAAGTTCAGCAAGGCAGATAAGAAGTCCTTGAGCCATCAGGGGAATCCCACATATTCCAAGAATGGGCCTTCCTAGGATCCCCACCATGCTCAATCATTGGCTAGGAGCAGTCCATGGGAAGCATGGTTTTGGTGGAAACACAGTAATAGATTTCAGAATATACCAGCTGAGGCCAATAGTCAATGACAGTCCCTGCAGTCAGAGATCTGAGAGAAATCTTTTCATGGTTGTCAATGTTAAAGTTGTCAGAATCAAAATGGAGTCACTTATGTTTAAAAAAAAGCAAAACAAAACAAAACAAAACAAAAAAGCCTGATAAATTGAGCCAGGGAAAGCTATGAAGAGAGAGTACTCATGCATAAATGCCTGATAACAAAAACTATCAAAAAAAAACCTGCAAAAATTGCAACCTTGCACAAAGGCCATTGCAACCTTACACAAAAATTACTCCTTTGAAGGCATCTGTCTAGCAACTGCCTGTCCAGCCTTGGATTAGTGTCACCCTTGTTACTGATCCTTGTAGCCAGGATAATTATCTCAAAACAATTATGTAATGATCCTCATTTTTCCTTTAAAAAACCTTTGTGTTCCTTTACCTCCCTGAATACACACATAGTTTACTATGGTGTTATATAGGTATTCCCATTGCAATGCCCTTGATATAGTTTGGATGTGTGTCCTCACCCAAATCGCACGTTGAAATGTAATCCCCAACTGGAGGTGGGGCCTGGTGGGAGCTGATTGGATCATGGGAGTGGATTTCTCATGAATGGTTTAGTACCATCAACTTGGTACTATTCTCATGACAGTGAGTAAGTTCTCCTGAGGTTTAAAAGTGTGTGGCACCTTCCCCCTTACTCTCTTGCTCCTGCTTTGGCCATGTGACATGAAAGTTCCCGCTTGGCCTTCTACCATGATTGTAAGATTCCAGAGGCCTTCCCAGAAGCAGATGCCACTATGCTTCCTCTACAGCCTTACAGCCTGCAAACCATGAACCAGTTCAACCTCTTATAGTTTTGTTTTTTTTTTTTTTGAGACAGGGTCTTGCTATGACACCCAGACTGTAGTGCAGTGGCGCAATGACAGCTCACTTCAACCTTGACCTCCTGGGCTCAAGCAATCCTCCCAGCTCAGCCTCCTGAGTAGCTGGGACTACAAGTGTGCTCCACCATGCCCAGCTAATTTTTTTATAGAGACAGGGTCTTACTATATTGCCCAAGATGCTCTTGAACTCATGGGCTCAAACAATCCTCCCACCTTGGCCTCCCAAAGTGCTAGGATTCCAGGCATGAGCCACCACACCTGACGTCAGGTATTTCTTTTTTTTTTTTTTTTTTTTTTTTTTTTGAGACGGAGTCTCGCTCTGTCGCCCAGGCCGGACTGCGGACTGCAGTGGCGCAATCTCGGCTCACTGCAAGCTCCGCTTCCCGGGTTCACGCCATTCTCCTGCCTCGGCCTCCCGAGTAGCTGGGACTACAGGCGCCCGCCACCGCGCCCGGCTAATTTTTTGTATTTTTAGTAGAGACGGGGTTTCACCTTGTTAGCCAGGATGGTCTCGATCTCCTGACCTCATGATCCACCCGCCTCGGCCTCCCAAAGTGCTGGGATTACAGGCGTGAGCCACCGCGCCCGGCCCAGGTATTTCTTTATAGCAATGCAAGAACAGACTAATACAGCCCTATTAAATAAATATTATTTTCTTTTAGAGACCCTCTCTGTTATGTAGGGTGACATAAATGGTGTCCAGAAGCAGGACCTGAAAAAGAATATCAGAAGGAATTCGTGACTCTTGGAACTAGTGTGCAATACTCGCCTGAGCCCTTTGAGCACTCTGTTTCTATGGCTCACATTTTCTGCCCTGGTGCATTTTCTCTCAGGCCAAGCCTCTCCCTTTTTGGTAGAAGCTCTTGACTTTGAACAGGAGTTGTTGTCTAAGGTAATACCCGAGGTTCATTGCCTCATGCCAAGAAAATTAAGGACACAGACACACACAAGGAGTGAGTTTAAGAGCAGAGGTTTACTAGGCAAAAGAAAGAGAAAGAACAGCTAGCTCTGTCCTTCAAGAGAGATGGGCTCCCAAATGGGACTTCCGGCCCACAGTGGAGTGCACAGATTTTATAGACAGGCTTGAGGAGGTGATTGATTACATAGGGCCCAAAGATTGGTTGGACCAGGTGTGACATTACGTAGTGCCCAGGGAATCTGGCCGCACCACCCTAATCTTATTATGCAAATGAGGTCTTTGCTTGGCTGGTGCCATCTTGTCTGCTTCTTATGGTATGCGTGGCTAGCAAAGAGAAGGGAAGATGGAGCTGTCATGTTGGATATGCCTAGCCCCAGGTAGCCTTTTCCTATTGGCACAGCTGCTGGCATTCACCCATGCAAACTTCTAGCTTCCTTGTTTATGTCTGCAGCTCAATTTTACAGGCTGCTCTTTGTTAGAAAAGAAAATCATTTGGGAGCTACTTTTCATAAAAGGAAAACCTTACCAAGGACTTCCTTACCCTATCTGCCTAATTTCTTAACTCCTCCTATATCAACTTTATTCAGGATTTGGTTTCGTTATAAAGCCACCTTTAATAAAGGACTGTACGTTCTCCTGGAATGATAAAAGGTTTTTTATCTTTTTTGGTTTAAAGACAAGTGTCTTTCTGGATTGAGTACTCTGGTTTCTCCAGAATCCACGTTCTTTCTGCAAGACATGACTTCTCTGGTAAATTCACTTTTGTTTCTTTCTTCGTTGTGATGGTTAATACTGAGTGTCAACTTGATTGGATTGAAGGATGCAAAGTATTGATCCTGGGTGTGTCTGTGAGGGTGTTGCCAAAGGAGATTAACATTTGAGTCAGTGGGCTGGGGAAGGCAGACCCACCCTTAATCTGGGTGGGCACCATCTAATTAGCTGCCAGTGCGGCTAGAATATAAAGCAAGCAGAAAAACGTGAAAAGAGAGACTGGCCTAGTCTCCCAGCCTACATCTTTCTCCCGTGCTGGATGCTTCCTGCCCTTGAACATCAGACTCCAAGTTCTTCAGCTTTGGGACTCAGACTGGCTCTCCTTGCTCCTCAGCTTGCAGACAGCCTATTGTGGGACCTTGTGATCATGTGAGTTAATACTTACTAAACTGCCCTTTATATATATCTATCCTATTAGTTCTGTCCCTCTAGAGAACCCTGACTAATAAATGCATGCATAATTTAATTTTTTCTACATTCCTGGGTTGAAATTTTTGTGAACATTCTTATCTTGGTTTCATTTTGGTTTGGTTACATGAATCTGTAAATGATTTGGCTCCTTTCCCTTGCTTGTTTCTAAATATCTTCTGAGAGCAAAAATAAATATTCTAAATGGCAGGGGCAGGATGGCTATTTAAAAGCCACTAGGACAGTTGTCACTATCTAAAACATGGGTCCAAACTCTTGACATTCTCTGACAGGATTTATAGGATTTTCTTTGCTCTCAAGAGATTAATAAGAAATGAAATGGGATTCTCAAATATTAAGGCATGCCAAGGTTTTCTGAGACTCCAGCCAGCTACATATTATGGTCTATTCTCATGAATATATTTAAACTAATGGGCCAGGTGCAGTGGCTCACGCCTGTAATCACAGCAATTTGGGAGGCCGAAGCAGATGGATCACTTGAGCCCAGGGGTTCAAGAACAGCCTGGGCAACATGGCAAAGCCCCATCTCTACAAAAAGTATAAAAATTAGGCAAGCATGGTGGCATGCACCTGTTGTCCCAGCTTCTTGGGAGGCTGAGGCAGGAGGATCAATTGAGCCCAGGAGGTTGAGGTTGCAGTGAACCATGATTGCACCACTGTACTCCAGCCTGGGCAACAGAGCGAGACCCTGTCTCAAAAACAACAACAACAACAACAACAACAACAACAACAACAACAAATACTAATGGACAAATCATATCAAGGAAAATTCAGGGCTAAAATGGTCTAACGTGGTGGCTCATGCCTGTAATCCCAGCACTTTGGGAGGCCAAGGCAGGTAGATCACTTGGGGCCAGGAGTTCGAAAAGAGGCTGGCCAACATGGTGAAACCCCATCTCTGCCAAAATTACAAAAATTAGCCAGGTGTGGTGGTGTATGCCTGTAGTCCCAGCTACTTGGTAGGGTGAGGCACAAGAATCACATGAACCTAGGAGGTGGTGTTTGCAATGAGCTGAGTTCATGCCACCGTACTCCAGCCTGGGTGACAGAGCGAGACTGTCTCAAAAAAATAAAAATTAAAAAAAGAGTCATAATTTGAACTGTCTAAAATATACTACAACTATAGTGTTAACATCACAGTCTACCCCTTGTGCCACACAGATCTTTACTCTCCACCAGGTTCAGGGAGAAGTTCCTCCCCATTTCCCTTGGGCCTCTATTCCCAAGGGGAACTCAGAAGAAAGCAGGAGGTCTGTGGGACTAACTACGGCCCCTACCAATGAAGTTAATCTTGGAGCCATAACTGGCCTTCATTCTCTCCCTCGTCCACTATCTATTCCGAATTCCCCCGACCCTCAACAACCTCCTCAGATGTTGGTGGCTTACCTGGTGGTGTGAGCCAAACCTTCATTCTGGGGGTGAGAGGAGGGGGAGGGAAGGGGATAAATGCTAAATAATCAAACCCTTCTCAGGGTTGCTGCATATCCTTTCACAATTACAGTGGGGCTACCTGGAGGTGCACAGTGGATCACATGGGCTCCACACACATTCCTCCTGCCCTCATTATCCAGAAGCAGCCTTGCCCCTTCCTGTTGATCCGGGTCAGTTATCCCTGCCAGTATGATGACTCTTCTTGTCTGCTGGTTTCTGAGCACGAAGAATCCCAAGTGCCCTGCAGCAGCCGCAAACCATACATAGTTCAATAGGACCCTTGCTATCATACTGTCCCCCAGTTAAGTGCTGTGCTGTGTGGAATTCCATGCCTTTGGATCAGGCATTCTGTACATCCCTGGAAAGTGACGCTAACTAAGGCTCTGTGGTGAGGAAAGGCAAACCCATGCCCAGAATAAGTCTCTATCCCTGTAGAGATGAACCATTGGCCCTTCCAGAATTGAAAGGGCCTGATGCGGTTGACTTGCCCCAAGTGATGAGTTGGTCTCAAGGAATAGTGCCATTTCAGGGGCTCAGCATTGGCCTCTCTTGCTGACACACTGGACATCTGAAGGCCCCTAGACTTTTCTGCCATATCACATCACAGTGATCTCCAAAAGGCCTCTTAAAGAGGGGCCATGATGATGCTTTGGGCTCCAAGTGTTAATGTTAACTCAAACTCTGCATCTGCTACTCCTCAAAATGTCTTGTTATCCCCATTTCTCTAGTGAATGATTACCTAAATGGCCATAGGTCCCTTTGGGGGAAAAAAATGAAGGAATCATTGTGACATATACTTGCTGCAATTCTGCAAGGTCCTTCCTCTTAGAGAGCTGGCCAGCTCTTTAGTCAATGGTTCTCAAACCTAAGCTAATTTTCAGATATGGAACCATTCCTTTCTAAGGGAAGCACCTGTGAGGGACAATGGGCAGGGAGGCCAGAGAGGTTGGGAGGGCTATCAGACCATGATGGGGGTGGACCGCTGTGAAAGAGAGAGGGAAGGAAGGAACAAATATATTGAATAAATTATAAACATCTGGTGCATACTGGGCACTGAATTGCTCCCAAGGAATCTCTGGATGAATACAGTACAGCTCAGCCCCCAAAGAACTCACAACCTAAAGTAGACCCAGGCTATTTGCTGTAAGCAGAATAATCCCCCACTTCTCTGAAGATGTCCATGTTGTAATCCCTGGAACTTGTGAATATGTCATCTTACATGGCAAAGGGGAATTAAGGTTGCATATGAAATTAAGGTTGCTGACCAAGACATTATCCTGGATCGGTCCAATGTCATCACAAGGGTCCTTATAAGTGGAAGTGGGAGGCAGAAGCAAATGTCAGAGAAAGACCCGATAGGAAACTCAATAGGAGAAAGATTTAATGAGCCATTTCTGGCTTTGAAGATGGAAGGGGGACAGATGTGAGCCAAGAATGTGGCAACCTCTGGAAGCTAGTAAAAGGAAGAAAATGGATTCTCCCTCAGAGCTCCAGAAATGAACATAGCCCTGCCAACACCTTGATTTTAGCCCAGTAACACCATTCTGGACTTCTGGCCTCCAGAATAGTAAGAATAAATCTGTATTGTTTTAAGCTGCTAAATTTGTAGTAATTTGTTACAATAGCAATAGGAAACTAATAGGGCTATATAATGAACCACAGTGATTTGTGCAATTGCATCGTATTCGTACAACAGCTGTATACTGGGGGCAGGAGCTCAGAACAAGCAAATTGGATGGGGGATGGCCTAGGGAGAATAAGATGAGGCAGAGGGGCATAGGTGCAATGTGATATGCAGAGGCAGCTGCTGCAAGGCCAAGAGGGACACTCACACATGCAAACATATAATCCTGTGCACACACATGCAACACAAACAAGGGCATACATGTTCTCACATATACACACCCTAGTGATACTGGCACTTACGCATGCAGACTCTTTCTGACGTAGGCCCACCCACTGCCTGGATTCCACCTGTTTTTCGTGACCTCTCTTGTATTAGTCTATCTCATGCTGCTAATAAAGACATACCCAAGACTGGGTAATTTATAAAGGAAAGAGGTTTAATTGACTCACAGTTCAGCATGGCTGGGGAGGCCTCAGGAAACTTACAATTATGGTGGAAGGGAAAGCAAACATGTCCTTCTTCACATGGTGGCAACAACAAGAAGTGCTGAGCAAAAGGGGGAAAAGCCCCTTGTAAAACCATCAGATCTCGTGAGAACTCAGGATCACAAGAACAGCATGAGGGTAACTGCCCCCATGATTAAATTACCTCCCACTGGGTCCCTCCCACGACATGTGGGCATTATAGGAACTACAATTCAAGATGAGATTTGGGCGGGGACACAGCCAAACCATATCATCTCTGTCATCTCTTAACAGCATATTTCCTGAGGGCAGCTGAATTTAGCAGGTGGGGATAGGGCTTGTCTACCACGGCTCCATCACTAGCCTTCACCTGAGCAGGAGGTACACTGGGAGGCTGAGACTCACCAGTTGGGGGGCAACTGGTTATTATTTACCTGCCCAGCATTTTAGTATGTGCGGTGTCAGGGTAAGCCCTGACCATGCACATGTTCTCCCAAATCTCAGTCTCTCCCCTCACAGCTGTATGATGGAACCTATTATGAATGAGCTGGTCACCCAAAACCAGTGTGTCCATCTTCCCATGCACTTGTCTGTCCATTTTCTTTCATTCAACATACATTTATTGATGCTTCTTCTGTGCTAATGCCTGCTCCTGGATACTCTGGACCCCAAATAAAATAACCTACTATCCAAGATATGATTTCTGGTGTAACCAGAGCTATGATAGGGTGAGAGCAAGTAGGAGCCTGCAGAAAGATGGGAGGAGCTCATAGCCCAGCCTTGGGGTAAGAGAGGACTTCCTGAGTAAATGACATTTAGGCCGAGTATTAAAGGATAAGATCACTGGGCAAAGGTGAAATCACGAGGAGCAAGGAAAAGAAGTTAAGTCAGGTTTGTGACATGTATTTTAGAAAGATCTCCCTGGTGAGGATGGCGAAGGGGGACTGGGAGGGAGGCAGGCCAGTGAGCAGCTGCTGTAATTATCCCAACCTGAGAAGGCAGTTGGGCTGGATAGACGTGGGAGCTCCAGAGACATGCCTGAGGTGGTATCTGTAGGATGTAGGGCCTAACTGATGGAGACAGAGGGGATAAAGGAGGAGAGGGGCACTTGAAGACTGTCAGGTTGATGTCTGGGACATCTAAGAATGGCCCCAGCCTCAGACTCAAGTGCCAGGAGTAGAGAAAGGATGACCAGGTGGGGGGCACCCAGGCCCTGGTGCTGACTTCAGGAGCAGGCATATGCTTCCCAGCTGGTAGTGAGGGTATGTGCAGCACTTCCAGGATCCGGGAGGGGTTCCCCAAGTCACATACACACACACCGATCACACGTCTGGGCTTAGAGAAAGAAGTTAAGTAGCCCCTCCCCATTTTAACAGCCGAGGAGTCCATGATTTCAGGAGGTTAAACGACCTTCTCCAAGGCCACACAGCAGTGCCTGATGGAACTGGGATTTGAACCCAGGCTTGTCTAACTGCATCCTGTGCTCTTCTCCCCAGTCCTGACAGGTCAACCAGGCCAGTCTTGGCACCACAGAATTAAGAGTACAGGGGACCTCTGACCTCTACGTCACACCCAGCCTGGCCAGGCCATTTACAGGGCCATTCAAAGCCAGGACTGCCTCACCCTCTTAGACACTGGACCAGGACATAAAGTTCTCTTTGTGGGCAGAATGAGCTTGGGCACTCCAAGGAGAGGTGGGATGGGCCCACAGCTAACTTAGCCCTCTCATACCCACTCCATACCGTGGCCACCCACCCCACAGCTAGAGCACCTAAGAAGTGCATCTCCTAGCCTGGAGGTGAGCAGGAGGAGCCAAGGCCAGCATGTCCCCCACTGACACACAGCTCAGCCATAGCTGGGCCTTCCAGGAAATCCAGACCTGGGCAATTAGAAACAGAGAGCTCAGGGCTTAGAATGAGATACTATGCAGGATCCTGGTGAGGATCTGGCCCTGTCTGAGCCTATTTCCTCATCTGTAAAACATGAAGTTAGGCTTATTTATCCTACAGCTCCCACAGCTGCAATGGTCTTTTTGCATCTCCTCTGCAGTCCCTGGCCTCATCCAAGCCTAAGAGTTGAACAACAGATGCCTGGTCCCTACGGAAAGCCCCCAACTCTGGCCTCAGCAGATCCACCTCCTCACTCCCCACAGGTCCCCTGAGGTTCAGTGCAGCCCCAGCCAGAAGAATGTGAACCATTCCCGGCATCTCCTCCCCTGTGGCCAGCCCAGAGAGGGGCTGAAGCCTCTGGGCCCTTCTGACAGGAAATTAGCTGGGCCTGGCCTTCCCCACTACCAGCTGCTCTGCTGACCCTGACCCTGTGTTTTCTGAAACTTGATACTGCAAATTTCAAAGCCTCTTCTCCATTCCCTGGAGGCCTGGCTGAGCTGTGTGTCTAGTGGGGCCTCCAGCCTACGTGTGGGCCTGCCTTCCTGTCCTGGAAAGGGCCCTGGCTGAGAGTGGGGCAGGGAAGCCTGAGGCCCAGCCTCTGCCATGACCCTGAGCAGGGCCTACCCCCAGGCGATTCATCTCCCCATCTCTGAGCTGCCAGATGGAACCCACGTGCAGAGTGGCTGCAACATGGAGAATGGGTTGGAGGGACACAAGAGGGGCAGTGGAGAGACCACTTCAGAGGTAACTGTCATGGTTCAGAGAAGAGATGGTTTGGACTAGGATGGGATAGTGAAGATGACGAAAACTGTAGACTCAAGAGGTACTTAGGAAAACGGAGAGATACTGGTGGTGGTTTGGCCATGAAGACTGGGGGACACAGGTGTCAAAGGACCTGCTAGGTTTCTGAGTTACCCAGCTGAACGGATGGTGGTATCTTTCCCTGAGATGGTGAACACCAAAGGATGACCAGGGTTGGGTGGAGGAGGGGAAAATATCCTGTTTGGCCTTAGTTAGAGGCTGAGGTGCCTTTGAGATGTCCCAGTGAAGAGGCTGAGCACTTGGATATCAAGAGGTGAATAAGCTGAAGATACTTATTTGGGAGGGAGAAAAGTAGATGGTAGCTTGAGGACATGGATAAAACTGCCAAGAAGGAAGAGTATTAAGTAAGAAAAGAGCCCAGCCTGTGTCTTAAGGACACTAATATTCAATGGCCAGGTAAAGGAGGATAAACCTGGAATAGAGGGTGAACAGAGAAAGAGCATTGTTGTGCCTTGCAATGAATGGAGAAGAGTGTTTCCAGAAGCAAGAGAATGTTTGGATGCTGCTGGAAAATCTAAAAGAAGAGTAGAATGAAAAATGCACTTTGGATTTAGTGTCCTGAAGGTCACCTCACCAGTGATTTTAGGGAGTGCTGTTTCGGTGAAGTGAGGCAGGTAGAGGCCAGGCTGTCATGGACAGGAGGCATGTGAGGTGTGAGGAAAGAGACAGTGCTCTGGAGATGTTTGACCATGGTTGAGAGGAGGGTGGGGCAGTAGCTGCAGTAAGACATGGAGTCAAAGAAAGGGGCTTTTGTTGTTTTTTAAGGTAAGTGAGATTCAAGCATGTTTAAATGTTGATAAGCAGAATCCTGTTCAGATGAGAGGTTGACAATGCCTGAGAAAACAGGGACAACAAACATAAAAGTGTTTTTGACAAACCAGGAGGGCTTGCCAGGGCCCCTCAGCAGGGTAGGGCTCAGAGGGAACATCTCTAATCCTTTGAAGCTGGCTCCTGGGCACTAGGCTGGCTGTGGCACTGCCTCTGAGTGCTCTATATGCCCCACAGCCAAGGCCAGCGCCCTTGGATGGCCAAGTACATGTACCTTATGGATCTTATTCAACCCTAGTTGAGGATGGCAGGGGTTAGAGATGACTGGACAGACCATGGTGGGCCATGATGTCCTAAACAAGGGTGCTACATCCCTGGAAGAAGAGCCATGGGCCTCTAGGCCTATTGTGGACATTAAGCCCATTGCCAGTGACAGGATGCCTGGAGCCCTGCTGGATGACATCCCTAAGTCCAGGGTCCCCAGATTCCTCCATTCCAGCTTGGCAAGGCCATTTTGGCTCTACTGGCATGGGACACTTCCAGGCATACCACAGGGCAGTGGTTCTCAGAGGACGGCCTCTAGACTAGGAGTATCAGCATTACCTAGAAACTTGTTGGAAATGCAAACTCTGAGGCCCCACCACAGATCTATCAAATCGAAAACTCTGGCAGTAGGGTCCAGCAGTCTGTGTGTAACAAAGTTTCCAAGTGACTTTGAGGCACCACTTCTATAAGGTATCAAGCTGTTCATCCCTCCATTTGCTGTCCATCCAGTAACCTAAAATTCACACATCCACCAATCTAAACAGCCATCATCCAACTGTCCATTTCTCAATGTAATTCAACCATCTGTCTTAGTCAGTCTGAGCTGCTACAACAGGACATCCACAGACTGGGTGGCTTATAATCAACAGAAATGTATTTCTTGCCGTTCTGAAGGTTGGAAAGTCCAAAATTAAGGCACTAACAGATCTGGTGTCTGGTGAGGGTCTGCTTCCTGGCTCACAGAGAACTAGCTATCAACAATCCATGTTCACATTCTGTCCAGCCACCTGTGCCTATCTATCTAATCTGATGTAGTCTAGTCTATCATCAGCCTAAATAGTCATCATCCTAAACATTCCTTTATTTATGTTACATACATCTACTCACTATCCTCACAACTCATTTATAATACAAAGGAATGTCTAAGTTCTGGTACCCACCATACCCACCTCCCCTTTCTAAGGAAAATGGACACAAACATTTCTTTCTGCTTAAAGTTTCAGGATCATATCATGTGTATTAAGTGAAATCAGTTCTATTTCTCTGGGCAGCAACCCTGACTGGACAAGGGGCAGGTTCTTGGGGTTCCTCAACTAAAGGCAACTGTGTTTGTATGTGTATAATCTTAACATATATACACACACATATATATATAGTAGCTTATGTATTACACACATATATGATATATTCTATAGATATAGATCTGTCAGACATATGCGTACATATATAACTTCAATAGCTTGCCATAAAACTCTGCCCAAATGAGGTTCTCTGTACTGGATGGTGACAGACTTAGCCAGTCATAAACATTCTCTTCCTTCATTTTCTTCCTTGGAGAGTGTGAATGTTTGGTCTCACTGAGAAGTCAGGTCACTTCAAGCTCCAGTTCTATCCTAACAATGGTAAGCTATGTTCCAGTTTTCAATTAAGCCTGCTGAATATACCTGCCTTGAAAGAGTGGGATTTAGAGTGACCTTACAGTTCAGACAGAAACAGCTTTGCTGCTGGGCGTGACTCTCAACCCTGCATTTAGCCCTCATTATCCAAGACAAATGTCAAGCTGCCTCTGCTGGAGGGTGGAGCTAGACAGCCACACTATACCACGTATCCTCCTTGTCCACAGCTGATTTGAGCAGGGCCACCTCACCAGAGGGAGGTCGCACCCATATCCCATCCATCAGCAAATCCTGATTACCTTCAAAATACGTCCTAAACTGGACCACTTATCACTGCCCTCACCACTGCCACCCTGGTCCAAGCCACCAACATCTCTCACCTGGATTTCTGCAGTTGCCTCCTAAGTGGTCTCCCTGTCTGTCTCCCTTTCCCACCTTGTCCCTTTCAGTCTATTCTCATCACGGCAGCCAGAGAGGTCCTTTTTAAAATCTAAGATCATGTCATTTCTCTGTTGAATATCCTCTAATGCCTCCCCTCCTTCTTGGAGTAAAAGTCTAAGTCCTCACAATGGCTTGTAACACAATTCATGATCTGTCCTCTGCTACCCGTCTGACCTCATCTTCCACCATCCTCCCCATGTTCACACAACATCAGCCACACCAGCCTCACTGATGTTCCTCACACAGTGCCACACAGTTCCCACCTCAGGACCACTGCACTTGCCACGCCCTCTTCCTAGAGCATTCTTCCCCCAGATATCTTCACGGCTCACCCCCTCAATTTCTTCAGATCTCTGCTCAAATATGACCATATCAGGGACACCCCCTCTGAGTATCCTATATGCAGCAGAAACCCAACCCCTCCCCAAACTGCTCCCTGCTTTATTTTTTCCATAGCATTTAACGTCAGCACACATGTAACTGCCTACTGTCTCTCTCTCCTCATTAGAAAGTATGCTTCATAAATGCAGCAACTTTGTTTTGCTTGCTATTTTTCAACACGTAGGAGCTTTGTTGAGGTACAAACAGTCACATAAATAAGCACTTGGTAAAAACTTGTAGAAGGAATGAGTAAGAGTGGCTGAGAGTAGACCATGAGCAAGAAAATCGAGCAGAGGGAGCCTGCTGAGACAGGAATGAGTACAGAGAAATGTGAGAAAGAGAGGAACCTTGAGGTCCTCGGGAGACGGAGAGAAGAGCCACCGTTCCTGACTTTCCAGTTCCAATCTTCATGAGGCCTGAATGTCAGTGCTCTCTGCAAGGTTGTCCACTGTATTCTCACAATTGTACTCCTCATTCTTGAAAACATTTGGAGTTTTCTTTGTTCCTTGCAACAAAAACAACCTTGACTTGAGCAGTATCCTTCCAACCATCCATCCACCCATCTCTCCAACCCTACATGCCCTCCTAATCATTTATACTTCTTTTTTTTTTTTTTTTTTTTTTTTTGAGACAGTTTCACTCTTGTTGCCCAGGCTGGAGTACAATAGTGCAATCTCAGCTCACTGCAACCTCTGTCTCCTGGGTTCAAGCGATTCTCCTGCCTCAGCCTCCTAAGTAAGTGGGATTACAGGCATGCACCACCACACCTGGCTAATTTTGTATTTTTAGTAGAGACGGGGTTTCACCATGTTGGTCAGGCTGGTCTCAAACTCCTGACCTCAGGTGATCAGCCTGCCTCGGCCTCCCAAAGTGCTGGGATTACAGGCATGAGCCAACGTGCCTGACTGATCATTTATACTTCTAATCATCTGTCTACAGATCAGTCCACTAGTCCATTCATCCCTATAAGCATCCATTATCCTAGAGTCCACCCATCACCCATCGATCCATATAACCAACAACTATCCATCCACATGTTACCCTTTCATAACCTCCAGGTAGAGGGGAGTAAGGTCATGAAGGATCTCATCACAGGGCTGAGGCCATCCAACTTTAATGCTGAAAAGTGGGAAGCTATGGAAGGATTTTGAACAGGAAAGTTATATAGTTGGACCTGTATTTTAGAAAAATAACTCTGACAGCTATAAGCAAGATAGATAGGTCTTACTGTCTAAAGGCGGGAAGACCAGTTGGGGTAATATTAAAATATTCCAGATGATGAATTAGGGCAGAGACACAGGGGCTTCAGAAAAGAAGATTCAAGGGAGAGACAGGAAAGCAGCTCTGGGAACAAGCCCAAGCCAGAAGGGCAGGCCTAGATGGAAAACTGTCTAATAGGGGGCCTCAGTTTTGCAATCACCAGCTCAGCCCAAGCACTGTATTTGCCCCAGATCTCAAGTGGAACCAGGCCTCCTGCACATTCTGCACATTTGGGGCAGAGTTCCCAAGAAGCCCAATCCAGAACCAGTCCTCTCTGGGCCCTTCAGCAGAGCACTCTGTCCTGCATCTCAGGTCTCTGAGTAAGTGGTATTTCCAGAGTACACATGCCCCCACCAACTCATCTCACAGCTCAGCCTTGGCTACAGAAAGCCAGGGCCTCTTCTTTGTTAATTTTCTTCAACTCCTCAGAGGTTGGGCCTCCGGCCCAGTGAAGTCAGGGTCTGGGAGGCAGCCCTGGCTCCCTGCCCGCCCACAGAGGATATATTTGGAGCAAGACAACTCCTTCTGGACACAGAGCTTGGGACCCACCCCGCAGGGCTGCCCCAACCAATTTTACTGAGTATCCACGCAGTGTGGTTGTCACTCACGTTTTCACTTGTTAGTTCATTCATTTGTTTACTCATTCATTCATTCCACAAACATTTATTGATCTGCTGGTATGATGCAGCAGGTACAACAGGATGTGTGGTGGGCACATATCTGTATATGTGTGTATATGGGTATCTCTAAGCAAGGATGGCAGAACACACTCTGGGTGCCCTCCCTCAGGGTTCAGTGGTGATGATGACTCACACTCAGGTGTATATGGCATCTGTGGGGACCTGTGTGCAAGTACATGCAGGCACGTGCTCTCTGAGGAGGTAGCTATGACTCAGTGGCACGCGGCATCTGTGGGTATCTGTGTGGATATGTGTCTGAGTGCAGGCATGAGCATAGGCGCTTGCTCCCCAGGGGGTGGGGGAAGTGGTTGTGACTCAGCTGCACATGGTGACTGGGAGCCTACAGGCCAGCTGTGACTTTATGGCTTTGCTTATTTGCCAAGCCAAACAGTTAGTGTTGGGCGTAAATATTCTATCAGAGTGTGCATGGAATAAGTCCTGAGCTAGGGACCTCCAGCAGGCAGGAGAGACTCAGTAGTCTTGGCCCAGCAGCATCTGTCCCCCGCCTGCCCCCTCCACCGTAGGTATACAGGTCCTACCCTCCCTCCCTCGCCCTCTCCACTCCTGCCTCCTGGAGACTCAGCGAGCTCGTCCCTCATTGACTCTACATCACCCCTCACCCACCGGTCCCAGGTGCACACACGAGACCAGGCCCAGAGGTACAGGGCTGTGGCCTTCGAGCTGCCAGCCCAATCCATTTTTCTACCATACCAAAAACCCCTTCTTTTTCAGCCCTCATGACCGCGTCTTCCTCCAACATCCCAGCCCCGGTCGTAGGCTCGGCAAGCCCGCTCCAGGGCCCACTTCCCATCTCGGCGGCCGCAGACCCGCTGCCTCCCCATCGGCGCGGCCCCATCTTCACCTCTGAGCTCCTTGCCCCTCTCTCCCTGGCTGTCTCTGTCCTTATCTGTCCCAAGTCTATCTTTGTCTCTTCTCGAGCCGGGCTGTCTGCAGCAGAGGCTTCACCAGAGTGGAGGTGCTGACAGAGTGCGGGGTGTGGGGAGGACAATCTGTGTCCCTTCTTGAGCCTTATCGGGAAAACTTAAGTCACTGCTCAGGGCTCAGACTGGAATTTCGCCCTAGATGACCTTGCTGGGTCTGCTGGGGCCTCCGCAGGGACAGCCAGGGTCAAACGAGTCAGGAAACAGGCCCCTGCTTGTGGGCCGCCTGCCCGCCCTCATCCCAACCAGGCCGCCTGCAGCGCCCTCGGCGGGAGACGCCGGGGAGGGGAGAGAAGGGAGGAGACGGGAGGGGCGGCCCCGTCTTGGGCACTCGCAGGGACTGGCGGGAGGCCGTGTGGGGCTGGAATCGTGACCACGGATGCCGCAAGGCCACAGGGCCCTCCTCGGGGTCCCGGCCGGAAATCCTCAGGGGCCCGAGGAGGAGCCGGGGCGGCCACCCGACCACCTCCCCGCGGGCCGCAGGCAGGCGGCGCGCCGTACCCGCCGAGAACGCGGGAAGAGGCCATCGCGTCTGGACACCTGGGCTTCGTCCCAGAGCCGTCACTGCTGTGTCCCCTTGGGCAACTGCCTAGCTCCCTGAGCCTCACTTTTCACACCTGGAACATAGGAAAATTGCGCCCACCTTCTGGGTCGTGGCAGATAAAATGAGTTCACGTCAGGGCTGGCTCTCAGGAGGCGCTCAGTGCTCGTGGCTTTCCTCCCCGGTGGACAGAACCCCGGGGCAGCTCCCCGCGCCCTGACGCCCAGAGCGGAGCGGCCCGGAGCGGAGCGACCACCGCACACTGGACCCGACCCTAGTCGGCCCCGCGCGCCCGGGTCGGGGCTGGAACCTGCGGGCGTGGCGCACGCCTGCCACCTGGCGGCGAAGCCCCCAGGCCGCCCGTCCCGCCCACGGCTGCGCGCGTGCGCAGGCCTGCACCACCCAGTCGCCCCCACCACGCCGCGCCCCGCCTCCCTCGCCCAGGGACTTCCTAGGCCACGCCACGCCGCTCCACCAGCTCAGGGAACCCCCTTGGCCGTGCAGACCTGCGCCACAGGGTCGTTTCCTCCCCTCCTTCCCTCGAAAGCGTATGCATTTCGTTGCCCCTGGAACTGGGGTCATTTCAGGACCTCCCAAGGAGGGTCAGGATGGTGGTATTGGCCTTAGGGGACGCGGGCTCAGGTTGGCGGTTGAACCGCATGTTCCTGTTTCAAACAAACCTAAATGTAGGCCTGGAAGGCTGTGCACTGAAATCCTAGTATTAGGTTGGTGCAAAATTAATTGCGATTTTTGCCATTGTAGGTTGTCTGCAGAGTGAGATTATGGCGAAGCATTTTATTCTTTTTACAAACCTGCTTTTTCTCAGTTTTCCACATTGGGTATGTATTGGTGATAAGGAAAAAAAAACTACAAAAGATATTTTTTGAAAAAAAAAAATCACATGGAGAGAGAGAAAAGGGGACGAATTGGCCTATCAAGGGGGTTTCCGGAAGTTAACTTTCTAGTATCTCTGTTTGCATGTAGACTCCCAGGGTGCCCTGGGAGAAATGGAGAAATGAAGCCCAGGACATGAGGCATTGGGATGGATGGTCCATCTTTCACATGTGCTGGGATTAACTTCCTTTAAGAAAAAAGGAAGGCAAAAGGGTTCCCAGCCTTAGGGTTGGGTGGGGTAGAGGCTCCAAATAAACCAGAAACTCTTGAGTAGAGGTGGTCAGTCATTGCTGTCTGGTTCAAGCGCTGATTGGACCCAAGGGGACCAGATCCAGGATATATTTGAGAACAAGGAATTTATTTCAGAAAGGGGCCACTCAACAGTCAGCATTTACTAAGAACCTGCTTGGTACAGGGTGCTGGAACTACCACAACGAGGCTGCCCCTTCCCTTAAGGAGTTCTGGGCTGACTTTTGGGAAAGTTCATCAGCGGTGACGGGTAGTGAGTGAGGCAGATCAGCAGGAACATTACAAGCCGCAGGAACCGTCAGCTGCTGATAGAGGCCCTGGGAGGTAGAGTGGAGAACAGCTCTGGCCACCACAGCTAATGGCCACCAAGGGAGCGACAGGACCCTTGAGGGGAGAGCAGAGGCTGGAGGTCCTTGGGGTCTACTGGGAGGTGGCAGTCACAGGCCCTTGGGTCCTCTCCACAGCCTTGCTGGAACCTTCCAAAGAGCAGGTG